>NC_000014.9:63248076-63551106 GCF_000001405.40 Homo sapiens
TACAGTTCAAGATGAGATTTGGGTGGGGACACGGCCAAACCATATTAAGTATCATATTAATAAATTAAGATATGGATCTTTGACTAGGTGTGTTAGTCTTGAGTAGTGTATCAAAACATATACATATTTTCTTTTATAATACAGTAATTCTATAAATTCAAATGGGGGCAAAATTTTGATAATTTATGTCAAGGCAAATGCAACTAAAAGAAGTGGAACATTTGTAGAGCTAAAGAAATAATAAAATACTCAAGTTTTGGAACTCCTTGACTTACATGCCTTAAATCTGAGTCAGACTTCCCTAGATACCAGTGTTATGGAAAAAAGAATTTGCTCCCTCCCATCCATTCCACTGCCAGATTTATTATTTATTATAGCTCTTTTCCATTTTAGCTCCCTTTGTCATTCTAAGGTATCCAGAAGGGAATTCCATATTTTACTATTTCGAGTAGATTTCAGAGACAGAAAAAATGATGGGAATTTGGCCCTTAATAGAATGGTCTTTTCTTCTGCAATTATATAAACTCAATACTGATTTATATTTCCTAACATTGCTGTCTTTCCTCTGTTTACCATTCATTTATTTAACAAACATTTATTGGCATGGTGGAGCCACAGAATGAACAAGGCAGACACAGTCCCTTTAACACTACAAGTTACAGGGTTAGTCCTAGCTTCAGATGAAGCTTTAAACATCACTCATATGACATCTTTCAGCCCTGCCTTCTCAGGGTTGCTTCCATTCTCAGATAGATTTCTTTTCACAGTTCCCAGATGGCTCCCAGCAGCTCCTGGAGCTGCCTCCTTACTTATGCACTACTAGTCAGAAAGAGGAACCATTCCCCACTTCCCCCGCATCTCCACCCTCACTCAAAGAAAGGACCTAGACTTGAGTATTGTTGGTCCCAATTGGTCTGACTCAGGTCATGTACCAGTGCCTAAGCAATCAATGTGATCAAGGACATGGGATATACAACAGGTTTAAACTCATCAGAGCCCATTCTTGCAAACAGTCAGAGCCCACTGCATATGGCTGAGAAGCTCAGGGCACTTCTAGGAAAGAAAAGAAGGCATGAAATTGATGCTGGAAGGAACAAGACATGTCCACTGAAGTCCCTGTCCTTACAGAGCAAAAAGCTTCTAAAGAGTTGGCAGAATAATGGGAACTCACCAACCCTACACACACATGAATCATTTCTGATAGATGAGGGCTAACAAGTGCATAGTCTTGGGAATCTTCCCACAGCAACAGGATGCAGTCCAAGTGTTCTGTTAAAAACTACCACCGAGCAGCCAGCATATGCTCAACACTGCTGGCCTCTGGCAGTGATTTAGAGGTGAAACCTTTTGTGTCCAATTAGTCTACGCCTTGACTCATGCAGTGCCTAAGAATTCACCTTTATTTATGAAGTTCAGGGTCTCAGATAAATTTGACAAGAGCTGCTGAAAGTTCAAGTGTTTGCAAGGATATTAGTTTTCTCATTTAATCATAATTTAATTTTGATTAACAAGTGGACCTAGTTAGAGAAAACTGAAAATAGCTCCATTTGAACCTCATGTTAGTAGAAATATTCCTTCTCAATCTTGTTTTCCACCTTGAATGCTGGATTTATTTCTAAGCTTATATGTTATACCTCATCAATCTAATGCTCTAAGTCAGTGGTTCTCATCCTCGGCCACTTGGGGAGCTTTAAGAAATATGAATACCTAGGTCTCAACCCCAAAACATCAATGCCTGGATATCGATAGATTCTGTTGTAATTGGTCCAGGGTGCAACCAAGGTTAAGAACCACTGCTCTTAGTAGAACCACGTTAGAGACAAAGATAATGTCTCCTAGGAAGCATGTCAAATTTGCACAAGCAACAAATTTAAATGCTGTAGCCAGTTAGGAAACAGTTAAAGTTGACCCAGGATTAAATCAAATTTGGAAATAGGGGGAAATGTTCTCCACATGGACAGCAAGTCACCCATTTGTGCATGCTTTTGCCCCAGCTAGACACATCTCCCACATCTCTACTGCTACCACCTGGTCTAAGCTACCATCATCTTTTCCCTGGGCCACTGTAATATGCTCCCAAGCTATAAAATATAAAAGCTCTGCAGGCCATTATCTGCTTACTCCCCTCATTCACTACACTCCAGCCATATTGACCTTTCTTTTTGTTTGTTTGTTTTGTTTTGTTTGAGACAGGGCCTCACTCTGTCATCCAGGCTGGAGTACAGTGGCCCGAACATGGCTCACTGCAGCCTTAACCACCCAGGCTCAAGTGATCCTCCCACCTCCTGAGCAGCTGGAACTACAGGTACATGCCACCACGCCCTGCTAATCTTTGTAATTTTTGTAGAGATAGGGTTTTGCCATGTTGCCCAAGCTGGTCTCAAACTCTTAGGCTCAAGCGATCTGCCCACCTTGGCCTCCCCAAAGTGCTGGGATTACAAGCGTGAGCTACTGCGCCTGGCCTCACATCTTTCCCATCTCAGGACCTCTGTATGTGTTTTTTCCTCTGCCTAGAATGTCCCCCCATACACACACACACAAATACACCAGGACTTTTTTCCACTATGCACACAAACACTGTGCTTGCACACTCAACTTACTGCTCAGGGCTCAGTTTCAATGTCACTTCTTCAAAGGGGTTGTCCCTGACCCCTAATCTAAAGTGAGCCTCTAGAGGCTGGGTGCGGTGGCTCACACCTGTAATTCCAGCACTTTGGGAGACCAAGGTAGGCAGATCACTTGAGGTCAGGAGTTCCAGATCAGCCTCGCCAATATGGAGAAACCCCATCTCTACCAAAAATACAAAAAATTAGCTGGGCGTGATGGCAGGTGCCTGTAATCCCAGCTACTTAGGAGGCTCAGGCAGAAGAATCGCTTGAACCTGAGAGGGAGTGGCTGCAGTGAGCCAAGATTTCACCATTGCACTCCAGCCTGGGCAACAAGTGAAACTCCGTCTCAAAAATAAATAATTAATTAATTAATTTAAAAAATTAAAAAGTTAAAAAAATCAACTGAGCCTCCTGTTTTACATTCCCCTTGAGTCCTGTTTTATATTTTCCTAGCAAGGGGTTATTTGTACAGTATCTGGCTCCCCTTCCAAACTATAAGCTCCCTGAAGGCAAGGATAATTCTGTTTTCTTCACCCATGGATGCCCTAGCACCCAGCTTTGCCCCTGGTCCATAGTAGATTCTCAATACATAATTATTAAGTGTAAAGAAAAGAAGTATGTTTTATTGTACCACTTCCTTAAACTGAAGGACATTGTAAGAAATGGCTTCTGAAGTATATAGCCATAGTTACTCAAGATCACATTTAGAACCTTGTTCACTACATTATTGTAAGTCTTCTCTTTACAAAAACCCATAGAAAAGAATTTTTCACAGTCTCAATTCTAGAAATAGTGTTTTTCCTGAGAGAGGAACACAAGCCTAAGCTTCAACAAGCTCTCTGCAGACAAACCCAAAGAGAAAGGGGAAGGTGCTGAGCAATGCATACCCAGTTACTGCTCCCAGATTTACCAATCAGATGATTCTCTCACTCCACTGGGGGCATTCAAGCCAAGTGTGTTGACCCTAAGTGATTTCCGTCACATGGAAATATTACGTCAAGGGAAAGGAGGTCCTCTCTCCCAAACATCATTGACTTAATAACATTTATTTAGTAAGTATTTTATAAGATAAAGTCTCTATTCATTTTCTACTGCTTCTGTAACAAATTACCACAACTTATTATTATCTTATAATTTTGGAGGTCAAAAGTCCAAAATGTCACAGTGGGTCACGCCTGTAATCCCAGCACTTTGGGAGGCCGAGGCAGGCTGATCACTTGAGGCCAAGAGTTCAAAACCAGCCTGGTCATCATGGCAAAATCCCATCTCTACTAAAAATACAAAACTTAGCCGGGCTTGGTGGTGCACGAGAATCACCCGAACCCAGGAGGCAGAGGTTGCAGTGAGCCGAGATCACGCCACTGTACTCCAGCCTGGGCAACAGAGAGAAACTCTGTCTCAAAAATAAATAAATAAATAGAGTCCAAAATGTGTTTCACTAGACTCAAATCAAGGAGCCAGCAGACCTGCATTCCTACAGGCTCCAGGGGAGAATTCATTCCTTGCCTTTCCCAGTGTCTAGAGGCTGCCTGGCTCATGAGCCCTTCCACAGCACCTCAACCTCTGCTTCTATTCTGACATCATCTTCTCTGACAGGTTCCAGGAACTAGGATGTGGGCATCTTTGGGGGACCATTATTCCACCTACAATAGTTATGTCAAATAATTAGAGGTCTGTGGATAAGCCAAGGTATATATTTATGATGTGATTAAAACCATATCCAAGAACTGTCTACTGATTCAGTATCCGGTATCATCCATTCAGACCAGTTCATGAATTCAAACAGTTCAGCCCAAAGACATGATATAAAATACTTTTCATCCTGAAAAAGTAGCCCAGGGATATTTTCAAAACGTTGTTTTAACCCCAAGAAAAACATCCTTCCTAATCAATAGTCCTCTAGTGTGCAGCTGTGATGAAAGAAGATCTTGTTATTCCTCCTGCCTAGAATTTACTACTATCTTTGTTGTCCCCCAATCCCCCATACCCCTGACTCTCACTCCTAGCCATCTCCTAATCTTCTCCCTCACTCCTCCATGCCTTCCCAAAAAGGCAACAGCATCAGGAAAGGGACATGAAAATGGAATAAGATATATCTCTTTTTTCTTTAAGAGATGGGGTATCATTATGTTGCCCAGGCTATTCACAAACTCCTAGCCTCAAGCAACCCTCCCACTTCGGCCTTCCCAGTAACTGGGACTACAGGCATGAGCCTCCACACCTGATAGAAGCACCTCTTAAGAATAGGAACATGAAGATGAGATCATTTCTAACAGACAAATTACAAAATTCTCTGTAACTATTTAGGTTGGCATTTGGCTGGATTTTTAGACAATTTTTCTAGCTTTCCTTCTAGCCCTGAATCTGTATAGAAATTGTTTATATCACTTGCCTATTCTTTCTTTTCTTATAAACTCTTAAAGATGAAGGCCTCTATCATTCTCAAGGTCATGCAAGGGGTCATTCAATAGATACATGTCTGTTATCGGTCCTGAGCCTAAGGCTGTCATTTGCACATGCCAACTCCTAGTTCCTCCATCTGCTAAAAGTACACTTCCCTGAATGCTTTGAAAGCATATAGGCTTTAGATAATTTTTTTTAGAGGCAGGGTCTTACTCTGTCACCCAGACTGCAGTGCAATGGTGCAATCATAGCTCACTATAACGTCAAACTCCTGGGTTAAAGAATCACCTGCCTCAGCTTCCCAAGTAGCTAATTTTTTTTTTTTTAGAGATGGGGTTTCACTATGTTGCCCAGGCTGTCTCAAACTCCTGGCCTCAAGTGATCCTCCTGCCTTGGCCTCCCAAAGTGCCGGGATTGCAGGCATGAGATACTGTACCTGGCCCCTAGATAAAATTTGAAATCATTTGCTTAGTTATTTTCTTGTATTCATCTAGGACACTTCCCCCTCCTTACCTATCTCTGCTTTCCTCCAGCCATTTCTATTTTTAGGCAGGTTAGCACTTATTGATTTGTAAGGCTACTCCCTTCTTACTGTTTCTAAGATCATATGACAAAAACAACTAGTTACAAATGCCATGGTCAAAGAGCAGAAGATCTGATCCTTGCAGCACAGTCTAAAAGAGAACATTTTTTGTTGACTGGTAGAGGGTCAACCAATGTGATAGTTAAAAACACACACACACTGCTTGAGTTTGTCTCAGGAGGTATGGCTAATATCCATTTATTTTCACTAATTCTTAAGTCTGGAACGTAACTAGCAGGTATGTTCTGTTTTTTTCTCTGTCTCTTCGCTGGGAGTCAGATTTGGAAGCAGAGTCACTGCAGCTCTAGAACTGTCCCTGACAGTGTTCCCAGGCAGCACAGTGGTTGGAGTGATGGTAGAGCCAGCCGCTTGTGGAGGTGGGGGTCAAGGTCTTGAGCTGATCCCCCAGGACCTGAAATTGACAACTGCAATGGCTGCCTTATGTCACACAGGACCGGATCAGCATTGTCTCGGCTGTCAGTGCTGGGAACTGGCCAAACACTCCATCACTGTCTATCTTGGAGTGAGCCCAAGCCATGGGCTCAATAGCCTTCCTTATTTTCTAGAATTGATCAGTTTCAATTCAACAACTGGGTCTCCTGGCATGCACACCAGAAAGTATCACCGTGGCCTTCTGCTATGATTTCCTGGGTGCTGGGAAAGCTACAAGACTCCACAACTCACTTCCAGTCCACCAGATGCTCCTGAGATCCCTAGCAGAGCTTTATCCGTTTGATGTGATCCCCTGAGAAATGTATGTGCTCCTGGGGGAGGGGGGCATTTAAGCCATCCATTCATTCAGCAAACCTCGTTGATTGAATACTCATTACTTGCAAGGCACGGTGCTGGGCCTTAGAGGCTTCTCTTTGCCTGTAAGGAGTTCACAGTCCAGTCAGCTATTAAGCATTTGTAGTAGCTCATTGTGTGGGGGAAAAAAGAAAATTGGATAGATTTTAGTCAAGGAGAAGAGAGAAGCGGGATACCAATTTCCAAGGCTAGGGAGGAGAAAGCAGGGAAAGCGGAGCTCACCCAGAGAAGATAAACATGTGCAACTTCCCCAGCTGCTCCTAAAGCCATGCCCACACAGGCTGCCATGGTAGACAGATGGACAGATGGACAGAGAGCAACAGTGGGTACTTCCACAGGTCCAGAAGCACATCTTTAAAATTATGTCAGAGAACTTCAAAAGGACTCTTGAAGTCCCCATATAGAAGAAAGCACGTTGGGTTTTTATAGCGATCCAAGCTGCTGGGTACAATCTACTGAAATATTGGACTGAACAACAGAAAAGCGGCTCTTTTCCCAGCCTTCTTGGCCCCCATCGCTCACTTCCCTCCCTTTACTCACGCTCTCAAATGTTGAGGCCATGATCCCCTTAATAATGACCCAGGGGAGCAAGAGAAAATTTTCCAAGACCTAAGGTTACTTTGTTATAATTTCATCTCTTTCATCTCTTTTTGGCCAAAGTCCCTTCTACGCCTCAAATCCCCCCCTGAGGTAACCATCAGCCCTCTTGGGAGGTTCTTCCCACAGCAGGTCCCTGCAGCTCTCTGCAGGAATTCATCCGGGACCATGCCCCCACCCTCTTAAGGTCTGGTGACTAGTGATGGGGCAAGGATGAGCACTCCAGCTGCTGTCCTGACCCAGTTGCCTCTCTGCATTTCCTTTGTGGAATACACTGCTCCCTTTATACGTAACTGTCAACCACCTTAGGGGCTCAGAGAAGCTACATTTAAGGGAAGGATGAGAGCCTTGTCTCTTGAAGTGGGGTCTGCAGACCAGTAGCAAGGGCACTACCTAGAAGCTTATTAGAAAAATAGATTCTCAGGACCCACCAGACCATCTGAAATAGAACCTTCACATTCACAAGAACCACCACCACCACCCAGCCCCACCTCCCCCCAGCCTTACCCTCCCCCACTCCATGCTCCTGATTCAAATGCACTTGTGATGGCAGCAGGAGGAGAAAACAGCTCCAGCCCTGCTTGCCGCCCTGTCTCACACTCAACTGAAGGGCCACCAATCCAGGTGTGAGCTTTCCTATCTCTGTTTTGGAGCCACACATTTCTTGCAGCCTTAAGAAGAGGCTCTGGCCTTGACTTCACCAAGAATGCCAACTCTACCATGAACAGAAGGATATTCTGTGTCACTGGGGCATTCGCAAATCATTATGGCACCTTTATCCTTTTTTTTTTACCTTTTTTAAGAGACAGGGTCTCACTCTGTTGCCTAGGCTGGAGTGCATGGAGTGCAGTGGCCCAGTAGTAGCTCACTGCAGTCTCCAACTCCCGGGCTCAAGCAATACTCCTGCCTTAGCCTCCCAAGTCGCTAAGAGTACAGGCACGTGCCACCTGGCTAACTGTTTTTTGTTGTTGTTGTTGTTTGCTTGTTTTTTTGGTAGAGACAAGGTCTTGCTAGTTGCCCAGGCTCTTCTTGAATTCCTGGGCTCAAGAAGCGATCCTCCTGCTTTGGCCTTCTGAAGCACCAGGATTACAGGTGTGAGCTACCATGCCTGGCCACGTGTTTATCCCTTATTCCTCAACCACATGCTTCCATAGCTCATCCCTGTGTCACTTACTCCCTGCACTATATGCCAACCGGGGGCCGGCATCAGATCTCTGTGACTAAAAATATTCTTTTATTTATTATCCATCTGTTGAATCCCTATAGTGGGCCAAATACTCTGCTAGACATTTGTCCTTTAAGCAAGAGCTTGTGGATCAGAGTGCACAGTCCCACTGTGTAGCCCTCATTAGAAATTTGTGATTGGAGGGGAGGGAGAGGCGTAAGCTTCACAAGATAGGGATGCCAGAGCGACAGCAAAGGTAGTCAGTATGCTACTGCAGCTCACCCCAATCATACTCACACGTGGCTCTTCTGTAACATCCTTTGTCTCTTGGCCAGTCCCTTCTTGGAGGGCAGGGCTCAGTAATGTACCAGTCCCCCCAGGAAAGAATAGGCTGGACCGAAGTGACAAGAGTCTCTTGGCTGGGTGCAGTAGCTCACGCCTGTAATCCTAACACTTTGGCAGGCCGAGGCAGGCAGATCACGAGGTCGGGAGTTTAAGACTAGCCTGGCCAACATGGTGAAACCCTGTCTCTACTAAAAATACCAAAAAATGGCCAGGCGTGGTGGCTCACGCCTGTAGTCCCAAAACTTTGGGAGGTCGAGGCAGGCGGGTCATGAGGTCAGAAGTTTGAGGCCAGCCTGACGAACATGGTGAAACTCTGTCTCTACTAACAATACAAAAATTAGCCAGGCATGGTGGCATGCACCTGTAGTCCCAGCTACTCAGGAGTCTGAGGCAGGAGAATCACTTGAACCCGGGAGGTGGAAGTTGCAGTGAGCCAAGATTGCACCACTGCACTCCAGCCTGGGTGATAGAGCGTGACTCTGTCCCAAAAAAAAAAGAAAAAATTAGCCAGGCATGGTGGCACATGCCTGTAGTCCCAGCTACTAAGGGGGCTGAGGCAGGAGAATTGTTTAAAACCAGGAGCTGGAGGTTGCAGTGAGACGAAATCGCACCACTGTACTCCAGCCTGGGTGACACAGTGAGACTGTCTCCAAAAAAAAAAAAAAAAAAAAAAGAGTCTCTTTACCAGCTCACCCCGACCCAGTCCCCAGCATCCCTGACCCCTATCCACTCAAGAGCCAAGCCCAGCTCAGGCTGAGTTGCCCTTCCAGGCAGAGCCAGCTTAGACAAGAAGTTTAACAATCCTCCAGAATTCATTTGGGTTTTCCCAGATGAAGGGTCATAGGTCAAGACTGATGGAAGCAGAGAGAGGCCACAGGTCAGAAAGTTATCTGAGCAACGAGGTCAGGTTAGGGCAACAATGAAGATACCGTGGAAGCTGTGAGCCAGGCCCGAACAGCCTAGGAAACCAGACTGAACCAGCCCCTTCTTCTCAGGAGGTGCTTTCAAAGATGGATTCAGGTTACAGTAGCCCACGGCTCCCTACATCCTCCTTCCTTCCTCACCATATTCCTTCCCCACCCACCCCATCCTTCTCCCCTGCAAATATGACTTTTTTCCCCTCCTCTGATTTTTTTTTTCACAAGGCTGTCATTTCTCTGCAGTTACTGGCAAAGCCACTGAATATCACCCCTCCCCAGCCTTTCTCCCGTGCCAGGTCCTGAATACCTTGCTCCACGGGGACAGAGGAGGGGAGGTGATTTCACATCCCTCCATCCAGGGGAAGTCTCAACCCCTCATCCACAGGGCTCCCTGGCACAACCTCACTTTGCCTCTAACCCATTAGTGACTGACTCCAAGAGGGCTATCATCTGGCTCACACCTGTAATCCCAGCACTTTGCGAGGCCGAGGCGGGTGGATCACCTGAGGTCAGGAGTTCAAGACCAGCCTAGCCAACATGGTGAAACTCCATCTCTACTAAAAATACCAAAAATAAGCCAGGCTCAGTGGCGGGCGCCTGTCATCCCAGCTACTCAGGAGTCTGAGACAGGAGAATCGCTTGAACCCGGGAGGTGGAGGTTGCAGTGAGCCAAGATCACGCCATTGCACTCCAGCCTGGGCAACAAGAGTGAAACTCTGTCCCAAAAAAAAAAAAAAAAAAAAGGGCTATCATCTTATTTCTAATTCCCTTTCCTATCCTGGAGCCTTTAACCTTCTGGTCTAATAGAGATTGCAGTTTCAGCCACCCATGCTAGCCTTGACAGTGTCATACTTTACGCAGCTGAGCATCTACAGGTTCCAAGAGAAAGATATGAGGTTAGTATAATAAGAGAGTTTAGCAAATAACCCCTTGAACTGTTTAAAATATATATATATATATAGTATTATAAATGTTCTATGTTGGGACTACAAGAAAAAGTATTAAATTATAAAAGTTTATCATCATTCCCCTTCTATTTTCCCCTCCTTTGACTGAGGAGAGAAAGCACCCTTGGCCACCCAGCTTCCCTCTCCCCAACAGCCCAAAGGAGAGTATGAGGGTACCAGCCATGCCCTGGGCTTTCCTGAGTTGCCAGAAAGGAGACTAAACCCTTTACACAGGCATGCTGTTAAAGAGGGTAGAAGCAAAGCTTCAAGGCTGTGGCAGGCCATGAAAAGTTCTGAGAAGAAGGTGGTTTTAAGAAGCAGTGCTATGGTTCAGGATTTGAATCCACTCTGGTGTCTTTATCTTTCAGGTGAGATCAGAATGGTTTACAAGCATTTTTGGCTGCAGGTACTGTGTGTTTCCTTGTATGTGAAGCCACCATGAGAATGTACCACATGGTTCCCATTTATATTTGAGTTGCATTTTTTAAATGCTTTGTTTTGTTTTGAGATGGAGTCTCACTCTGTTGCCCAGGCTGGAGTGCGGTGGCATGATCTTGGCTCGCAGCAACCTCCGCCTCCCAGGTTCAAGCAATTCTCTTGCCTCAGCCTCCTAAATGGCTGGAATTACAGGTGCGTGCCACCACGCCTGGCTAATTTTTGTATTTCTAGTAGAGATAGGATTTTGCCATGTTGGCCAGGCTGGTCTCAAACTCCTGACCTCATGATCCACCCTCCTCAGCCTTAAATGCTTTTAAATGCACAGAAATTCTAGTGAATTAATTGTACCTTACCTAAAACTGGGCAGAAACACATCAGCAAAGCCAAGAATAAAAATTCAAATCCTCAGATTGCTAATCCAGTGAACCTACTGACCCCAGGAGCCAAATATGCACAAGGCATCTTTCTATCTTTCAGTGACAACGCATAACATAGGTTCTGAAAGGAGTCAACATTAAGTGCATCCTTTCACCAGCTTTGAAACTCTCCTTAAGAGGAGTAGCTAGCCATGCACTTTATGTTGCTGATAAGCATCCCAAAAATTATATTTTTATTTGTAGGTGCTTTGAAGGAAAACAATTAGGAAAAATATGTGAACAAGGACAGAGAAGTGGTAGACTTCTTACCTTATACAAATTCTGAGAACATACTTAATAATAAAGGTAACAGTGAAAGATGGTCTTGCATATACTTATTGCAGAAAGGATCCAACCGCTGTTTTATCGCAAATTATCATATATACAATCCTCCCCAATCATAATTAACCATCAAATGTGAATCAGCAGACATGAATATTTCTTGACATATATTAAGAAATAAAAAATAAGGTTACGTTATTTTTATTTGAAAAGAACCTATGTTTCGTTACCTAAAAAGAACCCATATTCTGGCTGGCGATATTAGAAAAAGATAAATGAAATAAATAAAGGGAAAAACCACAAATACATAAAATTCTAGGACTGAATAACAAAGAGACAGGCAAGTAAATATAATCTTAGGATGACAACCATGCACCAAAGTAGAAAACAGAGAAAAACAGCTTAATGGTCTCCAAATTATATTGTAATCATATGGAAAAGAAGTTATTGAGAGCAGAAACACACACTAAATATTCACTTGGCTAGTTTATCTCACTATACCTAGACATTGTCAATAAAGGGCTATATTTAGAACCTAATTTACTATGTTGTCTTTATAGCTCATATATTTCTTTCAGTTTACAACTAATACATTTTGGCAAATTCCCACATTCTCAAATGCACAATATTTTCTTGGTACCTTTGGAAAGCAAGTATAGGTAGAGCATTAGTGGTTCATCATAGTTTTCTGAAAAAGATGAGTTGCTCTGCAATACACAGTTTATAAACCTCCACTGCAGCAGACCTATTTATCACACGTTCTACTCGTAAAATTATAAGCTTGGTCCTACAGCCTAAAATAAATCTGGATAAGCCTAAGACGAAAGCTTCTGAGAGTCAATCTAGGAGAAATGATAGAATTTAAGTGATGGGAGGTAAGTTAAATGACATTTAATCCAATCTGTATATACATCAACAACAGCACAATAACCATGATTGCTGAGCATCCAAATACTAGTTTTTCTAACTGTTTTACATGTTCATGATAGCAAAGAATGGAAAAAATAAAGTGTTTTCTGTGGTTATTTTACATATACATGTAGAATTTTATCTCCTGCTATCTGCACATTATATCCTGAATATTTTACCACATTCCCCATTATTTTTTAAAAGGTTCCATCTTAAGGCTGCTCCGTAACTGTTAAGGACCAATCCCTGATTGTTGAGTGTGTAAATGGTTTCCAACTGTTAGCTACTATAAACACTTTGATGACGAATAGACTTACATATACACATTGTTGTACACATGTACAGGTTTTTTTTTTTTACCATAATTACCAAATGCCCTCTTGATATAAATACCTGATAGTACTTATATCAACACTACATTAGCTTTTATTCTGTCATGGGGGATACACTGCAGAAATAAGACTGCCGAGTCAAATGTGAAAAAGATGTTTCCTGTTTAGGCTTTGATCTATATTGCCAAATGGCTTTCCAAAAAAATGAATCCATAAATTTGCATTTTCTCCAGCAGTGTGAAGTGTCCACATTCACCAGCACTGGGTATTTCTTCTCTTCGTCATTGCCAATTTGAATGACCCAAGGTTGTATCTCTCTTTAATTTAAATTGTTTTCACTCCAATGTTAATTTGCCCTTTATATTTATTTCTTTGTAAATTGTCTATATTCTTTCTTTTTTTCTTTTGGGTTAATCCTTATTGATTAGAAAACCTGTTTATGTATCAAAGATATAATCTTCTTTGACCCTCATATATTGTAACCATTTTTCCTGGTGTATTTACCTTTCTTTTTGATAACATCAAAAGTTATCTTTTCTATAGGACAGTAATCAGTTTTCTATTGAACCTAACCACCTATGCTAACATTGCCTTTTTTCTTTTTTTTCCTTTTTTTTGAGACAGAGTCTTACTCTGTTACCCAAGCTCTGGAGTGAAGTGCCAAAAACATGGCTCACTGCAACCTTGATCTCCTGGGATCAAGCCATCCTCCCACCTCAGCCTCCCAAGTAGCTGGGGCTACTTGATACACACCACCATGCCCAGCTAATTTTTTTTTTTTTTTCATGTTTTGTAGAGATGGGGTCTCACTTTGTTTCCCAGGCTGGTCTCAAACTCTTGAGCTTAAGCAATCCTCCTGCCTCAGCCTCCCAAAGTGCTGCAATTACAGGCATGAGCCACTGCACTTAGCCTAACATTGCTTTTTAAATATTATAAATGCCTAGTTCTTCAAAATGCTCTTTGAACAAGATTTACCATCTTACCGGTTCACTCACCAATGAGTTAATAAATCTTTGACGTGCTCATCCTATATTCGCATGAAAGCTGTGTTTTTAACTTTCCTAAAATTATATTTCTCGCTATATCCAGAATCTAGTGTTTCTTCCTCCAACAAAGCAGCTTTGTGGTACTACATACACCACAGTCAGGCATGCCTCATTCTAACTAGCAAACACAGTACACTAGACACAATAATGCAGATAGCTGGTTATGTGCTAGCAACTGAACGGCACTTGGAGGCGTCCCTATAACTGACCTGACATTTCCAACATTTCTCTTGAAAGCCATCTTATAGTCATCATATTGACTTCAAAAGACCACTCTCGGCAGCTGAGACAGCCAACCCAATGAGGAAGGGGCTTTGATGGTTTACAGGGCATGAACGACACTTCCTCATCCAGATTTGCAGAACACACACTGTTTTGTGAGATGACTGAAATGCTAAGGGAAGTAGACGTAAGTTCTACCTGAGCTATTTTCTCTCTGGGTGGAACTCAAGACAGCAAGACCAGGACTTAGACTTCATTAGCATCTCATACCAAGTCACAAAATTAACCACTCCAATTCACTCAAAGAAGAAAGACAAGAGAGTAAAGAGTTTAATGGATTTGGGGGAAAGGACCTTCATTTTACATACTTAACAGGTCACTGACAACTTTTCACACTTTATTGAGAGAACCCTCTGAGCCATTAGCAGGTCATTTGACCTACTCTCTTTAAAACCTCTCTAAGCTCAGAAAGCAACACTAATAGCTCCAGGAATAGAAGGTGATCTGAGATTTTAGTCTGACCACTGTCTGCCAGGCAGATTTGCTGGCTAGAGGCACTTCCCAGCAGTTCCAATCTTGCCAGGAGCTTCAAGCTGCCCCTCCGTACATTTCGAAGAACTTTATTCTGCCCCTGGTGCTGTATATCTGCACTGTGTATTCAGCATCTATTATGTATGCCAGGAACTGGCTGTGTACTCTGGGGTATACTGGGCATGGAGACTCTGCCCTCAAGGATCTTCCTGTCCAGTGGGGAATATCAGACAGATCTAAATACCTATTATAGGGTAGAAAATGACTAGTAATTCACAAATATTAAGATCACACCATGTGCCAGTTAATGTGCACTGAGTATTCAGTGGAGAGCAAGACAGGCTAGTCCTTGTCCTTAGAATGGGTTCAGTAAGCATTTGCTGAAAGAGGAAAAATAACAGTCGTTTAGTACCCACCATAGGTCAGACTATGTTCCAGGCATTTTCTCGTTTAATTTCCTTCTCACAAGTACTTTCTTTGGTAGGTGATGTTATCCCCCATTTTTAATAGATAAGGAAAGAGGGGCTCAGAGATGGTAGGTGACTTTCTCAAGGTCATTACAGTGATGAATAGCAATGATAGGATTCGAATACAGAACTATCTGACTTGAAAGATCCTGCTCTTTGAACCTCACTATGTTTACCATTAGCATTTTATGACAATAGCTTCCTTCTGTGCAGGTGTGACTGACTGATTTCCAAATTAAGAAGCCTCATAGGACACAGGCTGGCAAGCAATAAGGCATCCACTGCTAGTCCAAGATAAGGACTCACGAAGCCATGACCCGTATAACCCTCAATGTTTGATTGACATTTGATCTATCTCTGGCTGTCCCTTGACATCCTCTGGCATAAACTGTGTGATCTACTTATCTTCCTTCTGATAGAACGAGAGAATAAAAGGGCCGAGAAGAGGAAATGAAAAGTTAAGGGCACAAGCTCTGCCCCCTCTTTTTAGGATTCCTCCAGCAGTACTGGCCCCACACACAGACAGACTAGACAGCCACTACACAGCAAAGCTGAACATCCAACATGGCTTCCACACCCATAATGGCATCCTCCCTTCCCCCACCATTTTGCCTTAACTCAAGGAAATTATTTTAAGTCATTCTCTTTTACTCATTTTGAGGAAAAGAATAATTCAGGACTTCAAAGCTTAACAAAGCCATCAGAATGAAGCCTCAGTTAGTGAGCCAGGGCAGCTCCACCCTGTGTGCCTACCTTCTTGGCATCATCTTCCCCAGTGCACCCTGGGCAGCTCAGGACCACAGCTGTTCCTCCCCCAGTGCACCCTGGGTAGCTCTTGGCCATCCTCAGGAACTCAGCTCAGACACCCCCTCCTCCAGAAAGCCTTTTCTTTTTTTTTTTAATTTCAACTTTTATTTTAGATTCAGGGAGTACATCTGTAGGTTTGTTCCATGGGTATCGTGAATGACACTGAGGTTTGGGGTGTGATAGTACCGATCACCTGAGTACTATGCTTACTACATACCCAGGTAGTAAGCATAGTACCCAATAGTTAGTTTTTCAACCCATCCTTCCCTTTCTCCCTCCCCACTCTAGTAGTCCCCACTGTCTATTGTCGCCATCTTTGTGTCCATGAGTACCCAATGTTCAGTTCCCACTTATGAGAACATGCAGTATTTGGTTTTCTGTTTCTGCATTAATTAGCTTATGATAATGGCCTCCAGCTGCATCCATGTTGCTACAAAGAACATGATTTTATTCTTTTTATGGCTACATAGTATTCCATGAGGTATATGCACAAGGCTTTCTTTATCCAATCCATCCTGGATGGACACCTGGATTGATTTCATGTATTTGCTATTGTGAATAGTGCTACAATGGACATACAAGTGCATATGTCTTTTTGGGAGAACAGTTTTTTGGTCTTTGGTTTTTTTGGATATATACCCAGTAATGGGATTGCTAGGTCAAATGGTAGTTTTAAGTTCTTTGAGAAATATCCAAACTGCTTTCCATGATGGCTGAACTAATTTACATTTCCACTAATAGTGTATAAGGTTTCCCTTTTCTCCACAGTCTGACCAGCATCAGTTGTTTTTTGACTTTTCAGTAATAGCCATTCTGACTGGTGTGAGATAGTATTTTACTATAGTTTTGATTTGCATTTCTCTGGTGATTAGTGATGTGGAACATTTTTTCATAAACATGTTGGCCACTTGTATGTCTTCTTTTGAGAAGTATCTGTTCATGTCTTTATTAAAAAGTTTTTTGGTTTTTGCTTCTTGAATTAAATTCCTTATAGATTCTGAATATTATACCTCTGTCAGATGTGTGGTTTGTGAATATTTGCTCCCATTCTATAGGTTGTCTGATTACTCTGTTGATAGTTTGTTTTGTTTTGTTTTTGTTTTGCTGTGCAGAAGATCTGGAGTTTAATTAGGTTCCACTTGTCCATTTTTGTTTTGGTTGCAATTGCTTTTGAGGACCTAGTCATAATATCTTTCTCAAGGCCAATGTTCAAAATGGTGTTTCCTAGGTTTTATTCTAGAATTCTGATAGTTTGAGGTCTTATATTTAAATCTTTAATTCATCTTAACTTCAGTATATGGTGAAAGGTAAGGGTCCAGTTTCATTCTTCTGCATATGGCTAGCCAGCTATCCCAGCACCATTTATTGAGTAGAGTGTCTTTTCTCTATCTCTTATTTTTGTAAACTTTATCAAACATCAGATGGCTGTGGCTGTGCAGTTTTATTTCTGGGTTCTCTATTTTGTTCCACTGGTCTATGTGTCTGTTTTTGTACCAGTACCACACTGTTTTGTTTACTGTAGCCATGTAGTATAGTTTGAAGTAGGGTAATGTAATACCTTTGGCTTTGTTCTTTTTGCTTAGAATTGCTTTAGCTATTCAGGTTCTTTTTTGATTCCACATGAAATTTAGAATAGTATTTCCTAATTCTGTAAAAATGACATTGGTAGTATCAATGATAAAAAGTCAAACTTTGTAAAATATTTGAAGAGATTTATTCTGAGCCAAATATAAAAACCATGACCCATGACACAGCCCCAGGAGGTCCTGAGAACATGTCCCCAAGATGGTTGGTTACAGCTTGATTTTATGCATTTTAGGGGGGGACAGAAGTTACAGAGACATAAATCAGTACATGTAAGGTGTACGTTGGTTAGGCCTGGAAAGGCCAAGGGCTTCCAAGTCATAGGTGGATTTAAACATTTCCTGACTGGCAATTGGTTGAAAGGGTTAAGCTCTGTCTGAAAAGTTGAAATCAACAGAAATAAATGTTTCTAGTTAAGATAAGGGGAGTTGCAGAAACCAAGGTTCTGCAACCTATCTATATAATATATAGGTAGATAGTTATATAGATGAAGCCTCTGGGTAGCCGGCTTCAGAGAGAACAAACGGTAAGCGTCTCTTGTCAGACCCTGAAAGTGCCAGACTCTTAGTTAAATCTCTCCTGGATCAGGAAAAGACATGGAAAGGAAAAGGAATTTTCTATGGACTGTAGACAAGAGACAGTTTTTCAAGGCCATTTCAAAATATCTCAAAGATATTTTAGGGGAAAATACTTTGGTTTCTTTCAAGGCTTGTTCTCTTTCATGTGATGCTATACTAGAGTCAGGTTGCAATTTGGTATCTTATTACTACAGAGCCTGTTTTGTCAGTCACAAGACCTCTGTTTTCATGTTAATGCTGGTCAGCTGTGCCTAAATTCCAAAGGGAGGAGAGTATGATGAGGCATGTCCCACCCAGCCCCGCTTCCCATCATAGCCTGAACTAGTTTTTCAGGTTTACTTTGGAATGCCCTTAACCAAGAGGAGGGTTCCATTCAGTCAGTTGGGGTGCTTAGAATTTTGTTTTTGGTTTACAGTAGTTTGATAGGAAGGCTGTTGAATCTGTATTGCTTTGGGCAGTATGGCCATTCTAACAATGTTGATTCTTCCAATCCATGAGCATGGAATGTTTTTCCATTTGTTTGTATCATCTATAATTTCTTCCAGCAGTGTTTTATAGTTCTCCTTGTAGAGACATAGGTATTTTATTTTTGTGTGGCTATTGTAAATGGGATTGTGTTCTTGATTTGTCTCTCAGCCTGAATGTTATTGGTGTATAGAAATACTACTGATTTTTGTACATTGATTTTTATATCCTGAACCTTTACTGAAGTCATTTATCAATTCTATGAGCCTTTTGGCAGAGTCTTTATGGTTTTCTAGGTATAGAATCATATTGTCAGCAAAGAAGGATAGTTTGACTTCCTCTTTTCATATTTTGCTCAGAAAGCCTTTTCTGATCCAGCTCCACAGTGTGTGTGTGCAGACATATGCACAGCCAGCAGTGCCCCTGCCGCAAGCCCCCACACCCCTCACACTACCCCTGACACAGCTCATGCCACACTGCACAGTGCCCATGCTTTACCAGGAAACCACTTGTCTCCATGCTCCATGGCAGGAAGAATTGAATCTGGTCTTTCTGCTCCTACCATTGAGTTCAGTCCAGGAACCTGGTAGACTCTTGAAGAAGGAAAGAACAGAGGAAACAGAAAGCTTCGTCCAGACCCTCTGCCCACCACCTCACCTTCCTGTGCTCACTTCAGGCCTGGTGAAATTCCCAGGGATCAAAGCTGCCATAGGAGAAAAGGGTGAGGCCCGAGGAAAAACAGACTGGAGAGAATGACTGAGAAAGCAAGGACTATCTGAACAGGCACTCCAGGGCTCCCATAACATAGGTCAGAGCCATTGCTTAGGAATATTTGCAGTGCCCAGTGGGGCAGTGAGGATGACTCGACTTCTAGGAATCACTCCACAGATGGCCCCGGGCCTGTATGTCATGAGACAATCTAAGGGGTCTCTGGAACAGCTGCCCCTGACCTGCATGTACTGGGCTCACCTAAGGTTCCATGCTGTGATAGCTGGATGTCTCCCTTCATGCCTAATCCATGACAACTTAGTGAACTGGTCATTGAAGAAACCATTTAGGCAGATTTCAGAAACATCTGACTGGGCTCTCTTCTACCATTGTGCATGAAGAGGAAAAATTAAACAGGACAAGAGCTCTGGGCCACACAGCCTCACCTCCATTCCTATTGCTAGCCTGACTTGTGAAAGGAAGTGAAAACATTTAAATGTCCTTCTTCTGTCAGCATGGTAACCGGGGTGGACGGAGCTGGGTGTACCATTTTAAAATACACATTTAACAGCTCATCTGAGCGGCTGCAGCCATGTTATCAAGCTGAACACACGTTGATCTGAGTAGATTATAAAAATAGTTCCCAGTGTCTGGGGACGTAGCGCTTTTAAACAAGTGCTTTGCTTTTCAAAGAACGAGCCATTAAGAAGTTCCTTGTATACATGTAGCCCATGAACCTGAAAAGAAATAAAAGTAAAATCAATACCGAATCAGCAACTCTAAGCAGCAGGCTAGAGAATTTGGCTGTTAGAGATATGGTTATAAAAGATTGCTATTCAGTTTATCTTTCATTTCCTGCACAGCTAATGATAGGAGGAATCAAAAATCATCTTCACACTGAATTTGCACATTTTGACAAGAGAAAAAACTCACACTTTTCTTCATATTTTATTTCCTTTTTCCAAAAAGCGATTCAATTTTTTTTTTGGAAATTTAAATTTGCTCTTTCCTTTCACGAAAAGAATTCTATTACTCCTGCATTCAATCTGTTCAATCTCAGTTTAGTTTCAAGTTGAGACTTTCATTTCCAGACATGTACAGAGTGGTTGCTGTCCCTGTTTTCCTTCTCATTTTCAGGGCACAATTCCTTGGCAAAGTAGTAAGCTACTGAGTTAAGTCAAACTCACTACTTTTCACCCTCTAAGCGCCCTTTATGTATGTGAGACTGAACCCATACAACATCTTCTGCAACTAAAGTTCAAAATCATAATGAATCAATTGTGCAAAAGCACAGGAATATCTAATTTTAAAAAACTTTTCAAAATGAACGCTAAGCCCTTCTCATTTAACTATTTGCCTTGCTTTATAGGCTATAAAAGTATGTATTAATAGGTGTGATAATATTCTTTGTTTTTAGGGTTTTATAAATATTTCAAAGACAAATACAAGCAGAGAGATTTCTAATAGACAAGCTACTTACACAATTCTGTGCCCTGAAAGGTGTCTCAAACCGAAGAAAAGAAGGCAATAACCTAATGAAAAAGGGGCCCAGCATTCTTTTTCATCAGAAGCTTGGTGTTCTAGAGCCGAATAAGGATCAGTGGGTAGCCCACAGAGTGTCCTGGTGGCACCAATAATATCCATCTCTTTTGAGAAATTTGGACTTGGCTCAGACCATCTGCCATCACTGCAGCCCAAGGTTACCTTTCATTTGGAAATTATGCTGTCAACTTGGTTTAGAATGTACATGAGCGAGGCATATGCTTCTTCTTGCTGCCCAAGGAGATGCTGGCATGGAAACAATGTGAAGGCTCCTGATTGAAGCTTGTGTTTATGGACTCTCCTCTTCTTTTCTTTTCTCTTCTCCCCTAGTTACTGTGACTGTGGGAGGCAAGCAACACTTGCTCGGACTGTATGACACCGCGGGACAGGTACATTTTTATTATCTTGATTCATTGGAGGGCGGTGGTGTAGGGGAGAAAAAGATCCATTTGCTTATGCAGATGGGACTCATAGCACAGATATTACCCATTCTGATCATTTGGGGCCAATTTATTGTCTGCCTAAATGACGACCAAAAGCACATTCTCAATATTTTAAAAATTACAAAAATCTAAATTGTTACATCATTCAAGGCATTGATAGGTAAATAATGATTCTTTTGACTGATGACCATCAAAAACCAGAATAACAGATATGTGACCACGAGTTTCAATTTCTTTCTGTGGAAACCTATTCCAGATTCAGGATTCATAGGTCAGTTTCATAAATTTTAGTTCCACACATGTTTTTTCAGGTTATTTCTTTGCCCACGCTTTATTTGAATTGCCTAATGAACTGTGAAAAGGCCCAAAAAGAGATTGGTGGGGGTGAGGGGAGGAGAGAGGGAGAAGATGGATTACGTGTTGGAAGGAAGAAAAGCCAGGATCCTAGATGTTTTCCAAAATGAGAGTCAACCCTGAATAACTGGAGGTTGACTCTAACTTCCCTAAGATTCTTGAAATATTCTCACTTTGTCAGGACTGTTTCTTCAAGTTGGAGAAACTGGCCCACCAATAACACAAGACAACGGGCTAAAACCCTCAACAATTAATCAGCTGGCACATGCTCTTTTTGGGTGAAAATGGCACTTAATCTGTCTTTCCCAGCATCCCACACATCGCTACGAAGTTTCTCAAGTTCTAATGTTCTAATCCAGTTCACGGATTGGTGGAGGGGAAGTGGTTAAGCAACTGATGGCCGTAGCCCAATTTCTTGGATAGAGCTTTTGTTACCGTATGTCTTGGGTCATCTATTTAGGTCAAAATCAGCGGGTTGTTCAGTCTGTCCAAATTCATACATCTTAAATTCTTTGGAGTGAACATTTTACCCTGCTATTTCTCAGTGTGAGTTTCCTGGGAATTGTTATTTGTAGCGATGCATTCGTCTAGGCCTTTTTTTTTTTTTTTTCACAATTGTTTGGATATACATCGTTTTGCTCAACTTGAAAGTTCTTCACAAGAATATAAATAAATGGAATTCTCTTTGGGGATTTCTGTGAAAATTTGTAAGGACCACTGTGTAAATGTGTGTGGAACATCAAAGGCTGGTGTTGGCCAGGCTAGGGTGTGGAACCTGGAAAATCTAGCACCAGACTCAAAGCTTCTAAGAGCATCCGGCGTCCCCTCATTGGCAGATGCCTGTTTTGGTAAGCTACCGCCAGGAACTGGGAGTGGTAGCAACCTCTCACGCCAATAGCAAGACATACGACTAAGAAAGGAGGCCCCCCATGTGCTCCAATGAAAAAAATCATTTGCCCCTCTGATCTAAGATACAAGAGCCTCGGGATAACTCATACCCCAAACAGAAAGCATTCCAGCAACAAGGGTACACCACTTTGGAGGCCAAAGTTGCCTGCTCTAATTCACTCACATAATCACTGGGGTGTCCCCATTCATCAGGAACTCATAGACTGAAAGAGAGAGGAGTTTATACCCTCTTGCCTCATAGTCAAATTTTACTAATATAATCCTGTTTGAAAAGTTCAATATGGCAATGATTATGTCATGACTCGGAAACCTCTCTCTGGTCCCTCTGGCTTCCGAAAAAGTCTCTCTGTCCCCTGCTGCCCAGTCAGTTGTCCCCTCTTCTGCAGCAATCCAACAAGTATTGCCTCCTGTGTGTTAACTGCCCCAAGAAAAACCTCCACAGGCTTCTGTTTAATTTTAAATCCAATAAAACTCTTTAAAAGCTCTTGTGGAGTTTAATTATTTTTCCCACTGTTCTGTCCTTTTAAGAAAAAATTTAAATAATACTGGTATAAGAGTTGAAGCTGTAAGACATTGTAAAAATATCTTTAAACTCCACATCAAAGCAAACAGAATGGCCCAAACCTCTGACACAAAAGCGATGAAGACTGATAAAATATAACAAATAGATTATAAGATATTTTTTCAACTAACTCTCACTTGAATGCTTTATATTCAGAGGTAGACAAGGCTCAAAAGGAACCATAAAGCATGGGGAAAAGGAATCAGAATATATCTTAAAGTTCCTTCTAGGCCTAAAATTCTGTGATGAGGACTTTTCACATATAATCTCAAGAAATCCTGATAGAACTGGAGTAATTAGGCAAAAGGATTTGAGGCTAGACCCATGGGAGACCTTTCAGCTGTAAAAGCTTACTAAATAATGGGAATGTGTTACACTACAGGATAACTTGTAATTCATTTTCTAGAACAGTGATTCTCAAACTGGAGTATGTGTCAGAATCACCTGTAGGGCTTGTCAAAACTCAGCTACTGTGCCCCACTCCAAGAATTTCTGCTTCTACAGGTCTAGGGTGGGACCCAAGAATTTGCATTTCTTTTATTTTATTTTATTTTTTATTTTTTTGAGACAGGGTTTCACTCCCATCACCCAGGCTAGAGCGCAGTGGCGCAATCTTGGATCACTGCAACCTCCGCTTCCCGAGTTCAAGCAATTCTTCTGCCTCATCCTCCCAGGTAACTGGGATTACAGGCACCTGCCACCACACCCAGCTAATTTTTGTGTTTTTTTTCTAGAGACGGAGGTTTCACCATGTTGCCCAGGCTCGTCTCAAACTCCCAACCTCAGGTGATCCACCCACCTCAGCCTCCCAAAGTGCTGGGATTACAGATGTGAGCCCAAGAGTTTGCATTTCTAACAGGTTTTCTGGCAATGCTGCTGCTGGTCCCTACACCATACTTTGAGAGCCACTCAAAGTGTGGTCCACCAACCAGTGGCATCAACATCACCAGGAAGCATGTTAGAACTGCAGAATCTCAAGGTCTATCCCCAGCCTACTGAATTTGCAAATCCATTTTAAGAGATCTCCAAATCATTAGAATGCACACTAAATTTTGAGAAGCACTACCTAAACGTTTCTGGTGGCTGAGGCATTGTTCTGAAAGTTAGGAGGATGCAATGGAAAATAACCATTACTGAAATGTATCCCCGTAGTTCTACAATTCAGCTATTAAGACTTTGTAACAAATTTAATTTGGAAACAGTGTCCCAAAATTTCCATTCCTAGTCCTAGGTAGAATAATCTGCCTCTTCTCAGTTGTATTCTAGTAAATGTGCTGGATAGCTAAAGAACACATATAATTCAAAATATTCATTTGGTCAATTACAATGGAAGAGAGATGATTTCAAAACCAATTGATTAATCCCTGAACCACAAAAAGAAAATGTCTCTGAATCCAGCTATAGAGTCCATCTTGCTTGAATAATTAGATTTTTGTGCGTGAATAAACCAAGAAGCAATCCTCCACATCTTTGTCTTGAACTAACTGAAGCAAATGTGTTCTGAGAGGTAAAGTAATAGGAACTCATTGTCTCAACCCTCAATGTCAGCGCTAAACAAAATCATTTGACCTGCTTTCCCTTGACTTTGAGGCACCTAGTCTGCCTCAGACCTGGCTACAGCCCCATGAGCCATGGCCTGAGATACTCCTGCCCCTCCGCAATTCAGGCAAGCATGTGCTAAAGATAGTTTATAATGGGCTGGGCACGGTGGCTCATGCCTGTAATCCCAGCACTTTGGGAGGCCAAGGCAGACAGATCACAAGGTCAGGAGTTCAAGACCAGCCTGGCCAATACGGTGAAACCCCATCTCTACTAAAAATACAAAATTAGCCGAGCATGGTGGCGCGCACCTGTAATCCCAGCTACTTGGGGGGCTGAGGCAGGAGAATCCCTTGAACCTGGGAGGCGGAGGTAGCAGTAAGCTGAGATCGCACCATTGCACTCCAGCCTAGGCAACAAGAGCAAAACTCCATCTCAAAAAAGAAAGAGAGTTTATAATGAAGTCACTTGCATACACTGTCAACATGTGGTGGCTGCTGTTAAACATTAGCTCCCTTCCCCAAACCCTGAAACAAACTAACATTTGGACTTGGAGTGGAGCCCTTTGAAGATAGATTCTTCACAACTCCGTTTAATTCCCTGTTAGGTAGAATTCCAAACATTAGATTAGGCAATGAATTGAGGAATTTTTCTCAGGGTGAGTGCATGTTACTTCTCAGATCACACTAGGAAGGAAATAAGGCCAACCAGCCCTGTAAGCCAAATCTATTTAGGTTGTGCCAACTCATCCTGTACGAGACATATCCCTAGTAGTGTGTTACTGAATGTTAAAGGGATATCTAGAGCTCAGATCTTTGGCTCAGCTATGAAAGAGTCCCAGAGCTGACTTTCCCATGATGTCCTTGCAGGCCAGTTTGTTTACAATGCTTCAGGAGAGACCAAGTGGACAGCAGGGTGTTGGTTGGGTTGGGGACGCCACAGCCAACCCTGGGCATTCACCAGCTGAGGAACTTCAGACTGGGAGAGGGCTCTTTCCCAGGTTATGGCTTGCAGCCAGATGTCCTCCTACCTCACTGCAGGTCATTACAGTGGAACCAGCCATAGTACTAAGACAAGGTCTTGCCTCCTTCTCTTGATGTGGCCTCACCTAGAAGGATGATGTGGGCAAAGCCCTATTCAGATTGTGGCCTCTTGGGCAAGACTCTAGGATGGGCATATCTCAGACACAACACCTGTGAAAATGGCAGCTAGCAGCACTGCCAGGGAGGAATGACCGTCTCCTGGTGTCAGGAGCCAGGTGCAGCCTGGCCAGGCGCCTGGTTCTGTGGAAGGGTGAACCACTGCATGTGGGCAAGCACAGAATGGTGTCTGTCACTGAGAAACCACAGCCCACAGCAGCTCAGCTGTCACCAGTGTCTGTGGGAGTAGAGAAGCAAGGAAGGCCATCAGCCGAGCCCCTCACTCGCCCAGGGCTGCTTGTTGCACATCTCCCCCAGGCCCTGATTTCTGAAGTCCCGCTTTCCCCCAATGGCTAAGGAAGCACGCAACCAAGCAAGGAAGCAAGCACAGCTAGGGTTTATGAATGGCAACCCAGGCTCCACTTGGAAGGACACACATAAGCCTTCCCCTTTGCTATTGGCTGATCCAATGGGGCCATCTGGAGCACAGGATCTGGCAGCAACCCTCTATGGAAAGTTTGCCTAAAACCTCAGAACAAATGTTTTCCCTCAATGAGCAACTCCAAATTTCTTGCTCACGTGTATCTTCATGTGGGATTTTCAGGAGTAGGCAATTTGGGAGATTAGGGAGAAGTTTGCCCACATGACAGCTGCTTAGTAAAAGCAACCTCAGGACACAATCTTACTTCTCCCCAAATTATGAAAAAGAGAGCTGTAGGAACACTGAGAGTTGCAGTTGGAGTTTGCAAACATTTGGGTCTTATTACTACTCAGTTCAGAAAAAGTTAATTTCTGAATCAGCCCTGGCATCCAATAAGGGTAGGGAAATGCTTCCAGGACCAGCAGCTGTTGTTGATATGGGCTGGAGGACGGACTCTTTTACTGGATCATTAAAGTACTTACTATGTTCAAGACAATGGTCTAAGTGGCTGCAAATATTAACGTATTTTATTCTCATAACAACTCATAAGGCCAGCACTATTAGCCTCATTTTATGGATAAGGAAAGGGAGGCATGGAGAACTTACCCAGGATCACACCATAGTCACAAACCCAGAGAATTTCTACCCACCACCCATGTTCTTAAGCACCATGCTATGCACGCACACTATACATGGTGCCCACATTTTTCAAATTAAGCCTGATTTATGGGTGAATATGAAAATGAGACTTGTACCAAAAAATCTGAGATAAATGTCATTAAACCCAAGACTTGGAAGCAGAATTCTATTTCCAAATTAATGTGGGTATGGCGGGGTGGGAGGAGCTCAGCGCCTCTCTTTGCTGCTCAAAGTGTGGCCCCTGGACCCAGTAGCACTAGCATCACCTGGACATTTGCTAGAAATGCACATTCTTGGGCTCCATTCCAGTCCTGCTACTGAATAAGAATTTGCACTTTAGCCTGGGCAACATAGCGAGACCCTATCTCTACAACATTTTTTTAATTACCCAGGCGTGGTGTGCATACCTGTAGTCCCAGCTACTTGGGAGGCTGGAGAAAGGATCACTTGAGCCCAGGAGTTCAAGACTCCAGTGAACTATGATCAGTGCACTACAGTGTGAGCAGAAAGTGAGACCCAATCTCAAAACAAACAAACAAACAAAAACAAAATTACATTTTTAACAAGGTCCACAGGTGATGCAAATATATGTAGTGTCTAAGAAGTGCTATCTAGAAAATAATTTCACTTACCTGTGTCATGATGCAGCCTATAATATTTAGGGCCCAGGTGTTTGGCGCATCTGATGCTAACACTTTCTCTGAACTTTTCGTGTTTCATAATCACCCACAGTCACCCCAGAGCACCAGATCTGCCTTCAAACTGAACATGTTCTTGCCTTCAGGGTGAAGTTGGGCTAAAGGCACTCAAAGGCCTACTTTGCCCCAAATCCTTCCCTGCACTCCCCAATCCTAGCCTCTTTGTCTACTTTACCTCCAAAGCCCCATTTGAGCCTCTCTTTTAGATTAAAACGCTGTCTCTTCAAGAAGCAAATAAGCACCTGTTTTCCATTCTGAATTTCAGCATTAGAAAGGGCCTCAAATACCAACTAAACCACTTATCCACTTCTCGTAGCCGCTTGACATCATCTCCACCTGTTACCATCTAACCCAGGGCCAAAGCATGCTCCCTTGTGAAAAAATATTAAGTTACCAGCTGGCACAAATTCAACTCCCCCCAACCCCCAGTCCCAAGGGGACACTTTCTTTTATTAATCCTGACCCCTTTACCATATTTTATAGCTGTAGCCCAGGGTTAGCTCCCAATAGCCCAGGTGTGAGCCTTCTTTAAAAGTATTTTTGCTCTGTTGTCCTGGTTAAATTACTCCATCTGTCTAGACCTTTGTTTCTTAAACCATAAAACTGGCTCAGGGGAGAGGGAAGAACAGTCACCTGTGGTTCTGAAACTTGAGCTGCATCAGAATCACCTGGAGGGCTTGTTACAGCACTGATGGTGCAGCCTCTCCCCCAGTGCCTCAGCTTCGGTGGGGGGGGGCGGGGGCTGCGTGGCACCTGGGAATGTGTATTTCTAACAAGCTCCCAGGTGATGCCCATGCTGCTGGACTGAAGAGCGTAGTTTGGAAACCACTGCATTAGCTAATCTTTAAGGCCTTTTCTAGTGTTGGAATTGTATTTTCCCAATTCAGTCAGATAACTATTCTACATCATTCCATTTTGAGATTAGCCAGCAAAGAGTAAGAGAAACTTAACCTGTCTTACTTCCACATAAATCGAATAATTTCATGTATTTTCATTTTCTTTCCCCAACTGAATTGCCAATTCTTATTCACCTTATATAGTTCATACAGCATCCTCAACAGTGCTACGCATTCAGTAGGCACGAAATCTTTTTAAATGGAATGATACAGCAGGACTAAGGTTTCCACAGAAGAGAGATCCAGAATACAGAGCACGGTGAGCCCAGTGACTGACACTATCAAAAACGACTCAGCTGGAGGGCCAGGAGGGTAAATGATCAGAAACAGACTTCTCTCACCTGCCCCACCTACAGTCAACCCAGCAACCCATGGTCTTCCAACTTTTCCATAATGTAAATAGAAATCCTTTGATAGCCACTGGGTTAAAAAATCAGACAAGCATACTCCTTTCCGACTATTAACAACAGTTATTTGTTCCTACCCAATCTAGTTGTGACATTTCTCCTGATGATGTTTTGCTTTGGTTTTTGGCTTTGAAGTTTTAAATATACAGTGTTGCTGCCATCCAGTGGTAATCTGAAGCAGATGCAGGCCATCAAATAGATGATCCATCCTGTGGTCAAACATTTTGATTGCTGGGTAACATATGAGTCAAGATTCCTAGATAAGTGAGTTAAGAAAATGCTTAATCTGTCACTTTAAATTCTGAGCTGCAGAAAACAGTGTGGTCACAATTGAGAGCCAGAGCTGGATTTAGGCTAAATACCCCATCCTGGTATTTATGAACTCTGTAACATTGGCCCATCATGGAACTTCTCTAAACCTTAACTTCCTCTTCTATGAAATGTGAATGTTGATGGTACCATCCTTCCAGTTCCATCAGGAGGATGCAATGAGAACATACATAAGAGTTTGAAACAATGGCTGACCTTTAGCAATAACCCCTTGGGTGCATCCTCCATTAATGTTGGAGATGATAGTGAAGTACAGCCGTGTTCTCAACTCCAGGTCCACCCCAAACCAATTAAGTCAGAACTCCCAGATACGCAGGCCCACTCTCCAGAGATTCTAATTTAGCTGGTTCCAGAGTAGAAAAGGGGGTGGAGCAAGGAGTTGATTAGCAGAGCTTCAGGATGGTTTAAAAGCTCCCCAGGTGATTCTAATAAAAGTCACTGCAATAAATGGCCCACAGAAGTGCCACGTGTTCATTTGCAGGTCACTGTAGAGGTCATTTCTTCCAGTCTGTCAATAGCATTTATTGAATATTTACTGCGGAAAGAGTACCTGTAGGGATGAGAAAAAAATCAACATGGTCCCTACTCCATTTATGACAATCCAGATGGGAGCATGCAGTGGCAGAGGGCAGGTGGTGTGGTGAACAGCTGTAGATTATAGCCTGGGAAGGAGACTTCTTGGCTCACGGGCCTTACAGCTGCTCTTTAAGGGAACACTCCAGAGAGAAAAGAGAGAAGTGGGGAGACCATGGAAGAGGAGGTTTGTTTTTCAGAGCTAGTTGTGTAAAGAGGAGAGGGTAGTGCCAAGAATTTAGCTATCCCTTTCTCCACTGCCTCACCAGCTACACAAACACACACACACACACACACACACACACACACACAGACATAGGCACAACTTGGCTGAGATGCAACCCAGTAGACCTGGCACAACTTCCCAGTATGACCAGTGATTATTCAGCTGTGCACCCAACTCCCAATTATTGACTAGAAATGTGGTAAATTAGCCACAATAGTGGGGGTTTTTTTTGTTTTGGGTTTATTTTTTAGGATTTTACTTTTCAGCATCATTGCCCTCTTGCTTTGCATTTTGCATTAGGTACCTAAAACCTGTGCTTAAGTTTTAATAGTAGTAGCAGTAGTGGCCACATATACTGAGTCCCGTGTTCTGCATACTCTGAGTAGCTAAACAATAGATCAATGCATGCCCACCAACAGGAGTGGACCATACTTAACATTCTAAGGTACTTCCTTTCAGTCTCATGTGTATGTAGTGTGCACATGTGTGTACTTCCTTTTCTGGTCTTTTTTAAAATTTTTTTTATTATACTTTAAGTTCTGGGATACATGTGCAGAACGTGCAGGTTTGTTACATAGGTATACACGTGCCATGGTGGTTTGCTGCACCCATCAACCCGTTATCTAATAAATATATTATTAGAGTCAATAGAAAGGTTGATATTAAAAATATATCCATGATATATTGTTTTAAAAAACACAAGTGGCACAACAATATGAACAATTTAATCAATTTGTTTTTAAACTAAACATGTGTATGTGGTATACATACATAAATATAAAATGGGCCAGGTATGGTGACTCACGCCTATCATCCTAGCACTTTGGCGGGGGCTGAGGCAGGAGGATTGCTTGAGCCCAGGAGTTCAAGACCAGCCTGGGCAACACAGTGAGACCCCCATCTCTACAAAAAAAATAAAAATTGGCTGGGTGTGGTGGCATGTGCCTGTAGTCCAAGCTACTTGGGAGGCTGAAGTGGGAGTATCGCTTGAGCCCGGCAGTCTGAAGCTGCAGTGAGCCATGATCACGCCATTGCACTCCAGCCTGGGCAATAGATTGAGACTCCATCTCAAATAATAAAATAAAGTAAAATAAAATGTTTGGAAGGACAATGTTTAAGCAGTAGCTCCCTCTGGGGAGAGGAAATACTATTAGACATCATATCAGGGATGAAAACAAGCTTTCACTTCAACTCTGTGTACTTCTTCAATGTTTGCATTTTTGCAATGAGCACATACATGTTTTGTAAGTTTCTGAAATGTTTCATGAAGAGTAGTCATGCCCCTAATAAATGAGTTAATTATTTATTAACCCATCTCTATGAATACATGTATATCATAGGTGTGAACATATAAGTTTAGTTGCACATATAGTATACACACATATATAGTGCACACACATCATATATAGTGTGTATACACATACAAATTATGTATGGTGTGTATGGACACATGTCATGTTGCGATATGTGATGTATATATAAATATGGTATGTGTATGCACGCTTACACACAAAGTTACTGTCTGTTTATGTGTTACTAAATTCTATAAAAACATATAAAACTTTCTATTGAAATATCAGGTTTTACCGTGGAACCTCCTAAAACATTTTACATACAGTAAAAGCCCTTGCCAACATTTTCCCAAAGTCGAAATGATGCGCAGTTTTACTTTGTATTTATCAACTCCCACTAAAATAGCAAATACATAAATATCTTATGTAACCAGAAACTCTTCCATGAGCATATTCTGCTCTGAAAAATCTTTAGAAAGAAAATAATTAAGCCAGCATTTTATTTGGCCTTTAAGTAATACTTGAAACAAATCCAAAATTCTTAGCTCTAAACCCTCACTCAACATATTTCTTCAAATATTGTGGTGTCAAATTTGGCAATAACTCTTGTTTTGCATGTTAGTTCATTTATTCTAAATTAAATTTGGATATAATTTTTTTTAATCGTGTGAGGAGAGGATTCCTGTTGCCTTGGCAAATAGCTCACTAATTTAAATATAGTATATTCAATATAACACAATTCCAACATGATGGAAGAATTGCAATAATCTTTACTGAATGTTACACTTTAAATGGGTGAACTTTTGGTCTTTTGTTTTATTTTGTTTGTTTTTTGAGACAGGGTCTTGCTGTGTTGCCCAGGCTGGAGTACAGTGGCATGATCACGGCTCACTGCAGCTTCAAACTCCCAGGCTCAAGCCATCCTCCCACTTCAGCCTCCTGAGTAGCTGGGACTACAGGCGTGTGCCACCATGCCCAGCTAATTTTAGTATTTTTTTGTAGAGATAGGGTCTCGCTATATTGCCCAGGCTGATCTCAAGCTCAAGGAATCAGGTGATCCTCCCGCCTTGGCTTCCAAAGTGCTGGGATTACAGGCATGAGCCACTGTGCCTGGTCAGGTGAACTTTTGAATACATAGAAACAGAGAGTAGAACTATTGTTACCAGAGGCAAGTAAGGAAAGGAAACGGGGAGGTTTTGATCAAGGGTACAAAGCTGCAGTTAGCTAGGGTGAATAAGTCTACAGCTGTAATATACAGCATGATAACTATAGTTAATAATACTATATTGCATACTGGAAATATGCTAAGAGAGTAGGTCTCTGGTCCTCTCACCGTAAAATATATTTTTAAAGGTAAGCTGTAAGGAGATGAATATGTTAATTTGTTTCACTGTAGCATATATATGTATATCAAACACCATGTTGTACACCTTAAATGTATACAATTTAAAAATAAAAATAAATGGGTGAACTTTATGGTATATATAGGTAGGTATATAAGTTATATCTCAATAAAACTGCTAAAAATATTTTAAGTTCATCTTAAGAAGGGGCAATACATAATCTCTGTACGTAACAAAAAGGTATTTTTCTGACTGATGGCTCCTTTAGTTCTAGTAGAGAAAGAACTACCAGATTCCAGGGTTGAGGAAGAAACGGGATCCCAGTGCGCTGTAGTGGACTCTTACCTGAAATCTGACCTTGGAACTACATGGGACACACCTTACACAGGCTGTACAAACCCTTGTCTGCTCTTCCCACAGGAGGACTACAACCAGCTGAGGCCACTCTCCTACCCCAACACGGATGTGTTTTTGATCTGCTTCTCTGTCGTAAACCCTGCCTCTTACCACAATGTCCAGGAGGAATGGGTCCCCGAGCTCAAGGACTGCATGCCTCACGTGCCTTATGTCCTCATAGGGACCCAGGTTAAAATGTGGGCGATGGCAGGGTGGAGCGGGCTGCAAAAATGGGAAGACCCTTTAGGTACCTCGTGAACATCCTATTCTGCCAAACGCTATGGAAGTGTGTCTCAGACATGTCAATCCTATGAACAGAAGTTCTTAAGGTGTGCGTGATGATTTAGCCCATAGTGGAAAAGATAATAGAGCTATTTAATATGGAGCAGAAAGTTTTGATATGGCCTTCAAAAATTAATCTCTATGATTTTTTTTAAATAACAAAGTAATTTTTAAAATAGACACCCTTTGCCAGGCTTGAATCAGAGCAATGAGGTGAGGGTGTCAATTGAACATATTATCTAGTATTTTTTATATCTGAAACCCACAGTTGTTTTAAAATCACAAAATAGGTAGGAGTGTCAAGGTGACCACAGCAATCAGAATAGGCATTCTATGACAGGAACTCTTTAATTACACTTCCGGAGAAGGAAGATAAAAATTCACCATTGTCTATTCCTTTTAAACCTCTTGGTCTTCCAGATCTTAGAGAAGAAGTTAAAACACATATACCAGCTAAACAAACCTACGACTGTGAAAGCCTTTACAGTGTTCTGAAAGCTAATCAATTTCCATAGTTTGAGTTTCCAGTAGTAAGCCAATCACATCAAATGTATTAAGGATTGTTACTGTTTATAGTTTTAAATGGATTTTGTTCTTTGGCATTTTAAAATCCAAATGACTATCCCAAAGACATAGGAATATACGAATACTGAAGGGCTTCATTGTTATCTGTTTCATACGCTATTTCTTTCTATTATTCATTTATGTTCTTTTTGAACAAGAGAATTTTTTAACACAAAGGAGAGAAAAGAAAAATATTTCCTGAAGAAGATATGGACAGGTACACAGTAGATGTATTTACTTAGAGAAAGTAGAGGAATACACATCTCCATAAATCAGAGTAATCATAGTTAACGCTTCTGCTCTGAAAGATAATCGTTTGTTTAAATGAAGTCTTTTGCCTTGAATTCCAGATAATAATATTTGCCCATATTGATGGAGCCTGAATCCCTGCTGCCAAATATGTGACAGAACATTCAATCACCTTTCTGTGATTCAAGCTGATTTTATTAGAGATAGGCACAAAATTGAACAATTATCACACACACAAACACATGCACACACACACACACACACACACACACACACACACACAATTAGTAGAGCTGAGTAATATGCTTATAAAAGGGACCCTAATATATTGGTCTTTCTTTAAGACACAAGCCCTTGCTTTCCCACATTCACACCCACTCATGAACACATGGATTCGCATACACAGTGAGGCTTTAAAGCAACCAAAATATGTAATTAAATTATCAAATCTAATCCAGATATATAAATGCTATCTTCAAAGTTCTACCTTTGAAAAGATGAATGCTTATCTTGAGCAAACCCTTTGAAAACTTCTCTTAGGGACTTGCCTTCCAGAGCTTGCAGAACATTTGTTAGAATATCCTCACAGGTAGCAAATCTTCATACCTCCTTTGAGGATGAAGATTTTATTTGGAAAAGCGAAAAAAAAAAAAAAAAGATGGGTTCAAAGCCAGGAAATAAACTAGTAAATAATGAGTAATATAATTTGGGATCAAATAAGGCCTCACTGAAAGGTAATGAGACTGATTGGTTATCTTGCATGCCCTGTAAGTAGAATCTAGAAATAAATAGAAAATTTTGAAAAAACATCTGAGATAGCAACAGAATCATCCGAGTAGTCTTCAGCTTGCAGGGTAACTGTTTGAAGGGGAAAACGTAAGGAAAGTCTGTTGTGTACATTTACAAAGAAATGGCTTTACTTTTTTAGACATAACATGGGCATGTGAATCTGCTTCCTTAAAGAAAATTTAGCAACTTCAAAGATGTTAACAGGGAAAAAGACTCTATGATGTCACAGTTTAAAATATCTGGCAAGGCCTGAGAAAACAAATAAGTTTTCACGTGTGTTTTCTTGCCAGATTGATCTCCGTGATGACCCAAAAACCTTGGCCCGTTTGCTGTATATGAAAGAGAAACCTCTCACTTACGAGCATGGTGTGAAGCTCGCAAAAGCGGTACAGTCAGATTTGAATTTCATTTTAAATGTATGCTGAGAGAAGAGTGTGTTGTATGCTTTGGAAATGGGTGTGCAACACTGGGTTTTGCTTTAAAGTGCAATGTGTTTAGAATCTTCTCTAAGCTTTCTATTCTCCCCCTCTGTTCTAGTCGGGCTGGAAGGAGCCATTTGGTTAGCCTTCTTGTCAGCCAGCATTGTCTGTTTTTCATTCAGAAAGCAATTTGGTGAATTTAAACAGCTGAAGCACTTATCATTTGATTTAGCAACCTCTAGAACATCTACTTGCCATATTTAGTATGAATATAGGGAGTCGTTAGATATATATTTGTAAATCTCACTGCTTATTATGGATGTAGCTCATTTAAATAACCCCATAAGAGGCATTTTGTGATTTTCTTGGGAGAGACTTGGGTTAGCATCTGGCAGGGTTATATTTGTCCAGTATTTCTCACCATATAATGAATAGCCACTTAGAGAGCCTGGATTGTGTCACAAACAGCATCTGGAAGGATAACAGATACCAAAAAGTGACTAGCTGGGGATCTAAGTGGCTGTTTGGCAGATAATAGCTCAGAGCTGGAACTGTTTTCATGGACCTTTCTTCCTTCTTGAGAGCTTAACATGAAGAGTTAAGAAAATGCTTTAGAAAGTTTTTGCCAGACACCAAGTCTTTGCCTCCCCCATTACCCCGAGATGTGAGCAAAGCAGCCACTGAAAAATATTCGAGAGGGTGGACGTGCTTTATGCAAGAGGAGGCCGATAAATCACACCTCCAGAGCTTAAATCGGACTCCTCATCAAGTCATAAATCTATTGACCCAGGTCAGAGGTTTGGAAATTTTCAATCTTACTTTCTAAGTGACTAACCTAGTAAAACGCATACCGCAGGCAGAGTTAGAAGTCACTCTCTTCAAGCCAGTCAAGAATATTAACTACAAATTCTTCACTTACAAAATTGTATGCATTTATCTTATTAAATCTTGCTTGCAGGCACTAAAACTAAGCATGATACACTCAACTAGAAATGAATTAAATACAATCATGTTTTTACAGGTATCCTGCATGAGAACCTCTCACAACACCTGATCGAGATACTGAACTCTTCCTACTTCTATGCACAGTAATGTCAATACTAACTAGCGCCAGACGTCCATGGAGTCCTTAGGATCCTAAGTACTTAATAATATCTCTCACTTCAGCCTCATAATAACCCTCTTAAGCAGATAGCGTTGGTCTCAGCTTACAGATGAGGAAACAGTCTTAGAAGACAAGCACATAGCTAATAACAAAGTCAAAAACTTCCAATCCAGCTCTGTGGACATCACCACTCGTGTACCTGACCGTCACGTAAATGACCTCCAACTGTGTATCTTTCCTTGGGTGAAATGGGTTTATGCCTGTAGGTGCTTCTACCTTCTCCTCAAACATTCATCCTCAAATGCTCTCATTAAGATACCTAAATATGTAGCTCCATAAATAATTGTAGGTGGCTCCTTTCTACACATTTTTCACAGCCAGGATGTCCCCATTGGCCGGCACCAGCTTCTTGCAGGAACTCGCGTTCTGTGTTCCTTCATGCCGTCAGCTTCCTAGCCTCACTTCTCATTGGGGAAGTTGTTTTTTTTCTGTCTGAAAAGAAGTCGTTTCAAAGCCTCCCATCTCGTTTCATACTTATTTTTGGAACAATGGCTGAGTTCACCATTTATATTGCCTTTTGCTAGTTTCTCCTAGCAACTGCTCTCAGATACAGACGGAATCATGTTTAGCTTACAAAATCCAATTTAGAAGAAAACCTAGCAAGATTTTAACTTGTTTTATCACAATTCATGTAATTATAGAGATGCTTTAAGTTTCTCTACTCTCTGACTTTTCTGTCAAGTAGTTTATAATCTCAGCTAGCATTTATGGAGTGTTTATAATGTGCTAGGCTTGGTGCCAGGCGCCTTACAGCCTTTGTCTTAATTAATCCTCACAGCAACCCCCTGAGGTGTGTATATTATTATCTCCACTTTCCTACAGGAAACTGAGGCTCAGAGAGGTTAAGATCGCCCAGCTAGCAAGTGGCAGAGTGAGGATAGAAAACTGTGCTTTAACCACCTGCTCTTCTGCCTCCCTCCTATAATCTGAAAAGAAACCTTTAGGTTTGGGGCTTCTTTTTTATATACTGGAGTCCCTTATTTTCATGTGCAAAGTTCCCCCCCAACTTAAAGGCTTTGCAAGTTCAGATTTTTCATATCTGATTCTTTCTGTTCAATACTTTTCCATTTCCAAAGCATTTTCCACCTAACATCTCTTTTTGGTCTCAAAGGGTGTTTTATTTTCAAAGGACATTTTTATATCATACACATTTACAATTCTTTATACTCCAAAGTCAACCACATTTACATATTTTGCACTAATTTATTATAAATATTCATTATTCTTTGACTTCTTTTATTCTCCCTCTTCTTTCTATTACTGTAGTTTTTAATCCTCAGCCTACTTTTCCCATTCTTTTACACATTTGTAACTGCCCCTATTGCTGCTAGAATTATTAAACAACAATTGATTAAGCACCTAATATGTGCCAGGTGCTATGCTGGATGCTACACTGTTTAGCTCTAAGATTGTAATTCTTTGTGCATTCTCTTTCCCAGTTCTATCTAATACAGTCTAAACATGATCTTCTAAGTTCAGACTTCCTAAGGTATTTTTTGATACAGGAATTTGCCATTTTTTCTTTTTTAATCTCTGGGTTCTCTTTGCCCTCTCCGGCCATCTTCTTCACACTGTGCCTTTTGTCGTTGTCACTCTTTAACTTGGCACCTGCTAAGTTTCCTGCTGGGTTTTTAACATGCACAGGTGGGATTTAAAGCAGCAAAATTGCTGCAAACACCCTGTCATCAATGTTCAGTCACGTTAATCAACTGGAGTCTTTAATGCCCTCTTCCTGACTGGAAGAGTCACTGCCACCTGCCTTGTGCTGGCCATTTTCCCTTTCTCCCTTGGTCATTGAAAGTCACTTCACCACTGGTGTCTGGGTTACAAAGGCCAGAAGAGGAGGGAGACAGGCAAACAAAAGCATGCCACCTGGATAAACACAGTAACACACATCTGGGCAATGTACCAGGTAGCACAGAAGAGAGAGAGACTAATACATTCACGGAAGGAGGTTTCAGAGATTTCTTTAACCAGGTAACATCTTATCCAGGTTTGAAGGATGAGGAAAAGTTTTTCAGGTGGGCAAAGGGGTCTGGGGAGGGCATAAAATTCTAGACAGGGAGACCAGGACATGCAAAGGCATCCTTTAAAGCATAGGGAGCAGATTGGCAACTGACGGGCCAAAGTTCACCCACAAATGTTTTCATTAGTCCAAACACATATTTTTATTGCAATTTAGTGGCCAACATTTAATAGTTTGGAAACACATTTCTAGCCTCTAAAAGAAATTCAGAAGGTCGAGCAACTCTAGCCCAGCATTTCCTCATCAACAGAAACTGTTAAACAGTCTCTTAGATTAAGCATGTATTCTTCAGTCTGCCACAATCCCCACCACTCCATATTATCCTATACTCAAGTAACACACTTTACATTATCCAGCCTTGAATTGGCATCTCTGCATTATAGTCTTCAAAGATCAGCAGCAAATCTGTCTGGCCTAGAAATGTTTTTCCTCTTTCACCAATTTGATCATAATGCTGACTTGTTGAGATGGCGGCTTTTCTCTTACAACCTGTTTGGTTCTTTTTCTTTTTCTTGGCTCTCTATTTGCCTTCTCTGTGTGCCTTTGCTAATTCTCAAATGAGGAATACAGAACTACTCTGCTACTAGCCATTTCTTTAGATACGAGCTTACTCTGTTTATTCCACTAACATCTTCTCTTCTTTTCTCTCCATTTACAGGACATGCCTTCCTTCTTCTTCCCTTCTCTCATCACCTTTACTATATCCGTAACAGCTTTGCCCATTTATTCATTAATTTTGCTCTTTCAGCCACAATTTCATGACATTTGCTAGAGACAGCCCAAAAGAGTAGTTAAGACTTTGGCTCAGGAGGCAGACAAATTCGAATCTCTGCCATTTTCTTAGTTGTGTGGCCATAAGGGAGGTTACTTAGCCTCTCTGGGTATCAGTTTCCTGAGCTGTGAAATGAGGATGGTGACAGATTTTTCCTTGTAAAGTTCTTGTGACAATGAAATTAGCTCATGTACCACAAGGTCCAGCTCAGCAAACTATAGTTGCTGTTAAATCCATGAGCCCTCTCAGACATGTCTACAGCTGGGAAGATCTCTTTGCCTTTATCCCTTCCAGTTACTTTCTATCTTATTCTATAACTTGTCCTGCCCCAACTAGAACAACATGGAAGAAGTACTAGGTTTTCTTTTACTTGATTAGTCATTACGGTTTTTTTTTTTTTTTCTTATCACTCTTGTATCTTCTGTACATCGCTGATAAATGTCCCTGCTTTTGAGATAATAAGTTTTAGCTATTATAAAACAATAAGAAAAGTGTTTTTTCAGTTTACACCCTCAATCTCTACTTTTTTCTTGAAAATAAGTCATTTGGGTAGAACACATTCCAGTTTGCTTGCATGTGTATCTAAACAAGGAGGCTTGAATCCTGAACCCTCCCAGATGGCTTCTAAATACTTGACTGTGTAGGTCATTTTGCTCCAAGGAGCAGATGAAGTTGCTGCTGTAATAAGGGCCACATTTCCTTGAGACAATTTTTCATTTCACATCTTTGAGGACACAGATCATTTTTTTTAGCAATCTGGCTGTGCTTTTTCCTTGAACCGGGATGAATTCTTCTCCGACCCTCATAGCACTTGACACATGGTAACAATACCTACCTCATAACTGGATTGTTTCTCACACGTGTTTCCCAAATGACACCAATAATCTGATGACTACTTTTTCTATCAGTACAACATAATGTCATATTAACTCAGTTACACAATAATGCCTTTATCTGCTATTTCATTATCTTCAGAAATGTCTGAATTGGAAGAGACAAGCTTGGGCTCCTCCCGCTCCATCGAAAGGCAAAGCCTGACATGCTGTCAGCTGCACACTGGGGGCAGGAGGATGGGGAGTGCCCTGCCCCTCCTGCAGGACTCCAGGTGTGAGTGAGCTCAGCCCAGCTGTCCTGGAATTCCAGGCAGAATCAATCCTAGGCTTGGGATCCTTAGTGGAGAGGTATTCCAGATAGAAAGGTGCTACAGCAGTTTCTAGGTATTTTCCAGACAAGTGCCACCACGTTACAGTCAAGTCATTCAGAATCATTCAGTTGGCAACGCTGTTGCCATTAGATTAATGTGCTTTTCACATGTGTTTGAATCAAGCATTGAACACAGTCCCAAAATGCAATAGAAGGCATTTCATTATGTTATTAGGAAAATTTTCTCTGCGCTTTATTCCTCTCTTGTATCTAACTGTTTTTAATTATTTAAAAAAGTTATTTTCTAATCTGAAAACCAAACCATGGTCAAAATGAAAGCCATAAAATAGATTTTCAACATCCAACATCGTTTTCTTTTGGTATTTTCCCTTGGCTCATTCAGTAACCATTCTTGTCAGGAAAAAAATGAAAAATGCATAATCTCTGTCGGAGAGTTTAGGAAATAGTGTCTGGGCCCAACCAAAACCACTTTATTTGATGGTTAGTTTTCATATTTGTGGCCTTTGAAATAAGTGGACAATCTCATTTCATTAACTGTCAACTTGACCAGCTTCTTGCAGAGCTGAGTGATAGGGGTCACAGTTACTGCCACAGAGCAAGGAAATGAACATGTATCAAGAGACCCAGATTCTGGGTCTATTTCTTTCACTTTCTAGGTGAGTGCCCATAAGCAATTCATTTTACCTCTCTGGGGTTATTCCCGCTCTGTTCTAAGCTAAACCACAAGTTCACTTAGTCCACACATTGCAAACTGGCTGGCTGCTGCCAAATATATCCCACATCAGTGTCTTGCTTGGCCCATGGTAAATAGTTCATAAACTGGTAAATATTAAATAAAAAATCCAAATGTCCAACTCCTCTTGAAAAATACAAAAATGGGCAATAGTAAACCAACATTACCACTTGGAAGCTGATAAGACTGCACACCCTAGAGGGGGCATGTGCTTTACAGCCCACCATAGTCCCCTCCTCTCCCTATTGTCTTGCGCCAGCCCCACTTTATCATTTACATAAGCTATTGGGCATAATAGGCCTATGATTTTGCTACCTTGTTTTAGCCATTTGTCTGCTGTAGTTTCCAGGAACTCGCCATTTAGCCAACCTCTTCTGAATCTGCTTTAATTTTTCAAAGTGATTCTTAAAATGCGAATCAAAAACTAAAGTCATTTCTCCAGATGTCCTTAATAGTAAAAGGCCAACATCACATCATTGACTCTTCCTGAGCTTATGAACAAATAAAACCGCAGGTCTCCTTCACAAGAAGCTGACTGCTAAATATGGTCTGCCCTGGTCTGTGATTTTTAAATGAGAATCTATAGTTCTGGCCTGAATTTCTATATTTCTCATGAGAGGTTTGTGATTATCAAACACACCATAGTATGAAATCATCAGAATATTTAAAATGAAGCCCTATGCAAGTATGAAATACCTTATCATTTAAATATATAGACTGTACACTGACAGGATGTCTCTGGCATTAAATGTCTTTTATGATTATCGTTACATGTTTTATTGTTATTGTTACATGTTTTAGTGGGTTTTTTTTTTAACTTTTTAAAAAATATGCCTTTTAAAGTGTGTTAAGGCTGGCTGCAGTGGCTCATGCCTGTAATCCCAGCATTTTTGGAGGCTGAGGCGGGCGCATCACATGAGGTCAGGAGTTCAAGACCAGACTGGCCAACATGGGAAAACCCCGTCTCTACTAAAAATACAAAAACTAACCCGGCTTGGTGGCACACGCCTGTAATCCCAGCTACTTGAGACGCTGAGGCAGGAGAATCACTTGAGCCCAGGAGGCAGAGGTTGCAGAGTTAAGATGGTGCCACTGCACTCCAGCCTGGGCAACAAGAGCGAAATCCATCTCAAAAATAAATAAATAAAGTATGTTAAAACTAAATAATAATGCCAATTGGATATTACCTTGTTGAGGGATACCTTAAAAGAGGTACATTTTAATCAAGAATGACCTATAAAACCATATCATTCACTCTCTTTCTATCTGCTTTATCAACCAAGCTGACACTTTGCCTTTTATCATACCAAAGAAGATACATTTCACTTGTACATGATTTACACATTCTGCCTACAAATGAGAGGATATGAAAAACAAGATCATGCACCCCTGTTCTTCACAAAACATATTTAAATTATATCATTGGTTTTGAATTGTCTCCTAATTTTTTAGATCTTTGCATTTTTTATGTTCTTAGGAATAAATGGCTATGGGTCAATTTTAGGATTTACTGCTTTCCAGAAGTAATCCACAACCATTTATTGCAAATAAAGGAAAGTAAAAAATACAAAAATACAAAAAAAAAAAAATAGGATAGCAGATACAAATTGAAATGGAAAAAAAAAAAAAAAGACAAACATAATCCAAACCACCCCACAGGCTGTTTGTAGGACAGGCAGAAGTAAGTGCTTGTCTGGGCAGTGAGTTGATACCACTGTGCTTTTCTCTCTTTTTTATCTCTCATGCCTTTCTCTCTTTTGTGTTTAAGATCGGAGCACAGTGCTACTTGGAATGTTCAGCTCTGACTCAGAAAGGTCTCAAAGCGGTTTTTGATGAAGCAATCCTCACCATTTTCCACCCCAAGAAAAAGAAGAAACGCTGTTCTGAGGGTCACAGCTGCTGTTCAATTATCTGAGGTTGTCTGGGACCTGCCTCCACCCCATCCAGGGATGAGAATGGCAGCCAATCTCTGTGGCCAAGCTCCAGCCAAAAAGGAGGGCACGACCAGAAAGGAACTCCCTTTGCACGGAGGCTTGCCCCATCACCCTCTGAGCCCTCCCAACACAGCACACTAGTCAGCCCACTGCCACGACCTCCCTGCCAGCCAGAAGCATCCGTACTGCACGCTGTCTGAGAATGCTGGGCCTGGATTGCAGACAGTGCCGCTGCTGATCGCATCAAAAACAAAGTCAAAGGCCATCTCACATTTTACAAATCCCCAGCTCATGAACGTGAAGCTGATAGGAAATCACCCCAGGGAACCCGAAAAAGAAACTTGATTCCTCTATTGCTGGCCTTACTTGATGTCTTTTATAAAACTTGGGACTACAATACTAACCTTTTTTTCTGAATCTGCTGTTCTACCCATGTGTCTCACATTCATTTGTATTATTTCAAGAAATGTACTAATTTCCAGTTCACTCAGGCCTTACTAATCCATACCAAATTAGCCTAAAGACAAGGCATTTTATATTCATTTCTATTTTCAGCATGTTTCTACCAAAGCTATTAGAACCAACACGTACCTCTGAATGCCCGATTATAAGAAGACATGAGAAGACTTTAAAAGTTTTGGAAATTTACAGAGCCATGATTTTTGAACCTAATTGAAAGAAAACCATCTGAATTGTTGCAGGTCCACATTTTTGCCAAAGATACACTCTATAGATGCTTAGTAGTGGCCTGATTTTTTTCCATGTATTGCCACGACAAACTAAAAATGAACTGTGTTTAAGAATGTAGTATTTCTGTTTTTCATCCAAGTTGATTGGGGGAAGAATATGGCAGGATCCATCTTTTACAGTATTTTGTATTCAGTAAAGTGGACATTCCTGCTCCTCCCTTCCCCCATTGCATGCCCTCTTCCTCCCTTGATTTCACTTTCTCTCATGCCCGGATCCTTTTATTCTCCCCAGTTATAACCCAGTTATAAAAGAAAGATCTGAGCATAAAGATACGTGTTTAAAAATAACTAAAAGTAAAGGAAAGTGCCTTAATTTTTCTATTTGCTTCAACTGAAAGTGCTTCTCAGCTCGCCCCATGTAAGTTCTCATTCCATGTAAATGACATTTTCCAGTTACAACTGGTACTGAGATTTTGCCTCTCTCTTTCCTTACTCATCCTCCCAAATGTCTTTGTGGGAGCCATATCAGTGGATACCAAGCTCTGTATCCATTTGTCCCCTGCCCTCCACAATGTGTGACATAGAACAGGGACTTTGGCCCTGGGAAAGCAAAAGCTCCCAGTAAGGAATCCTGTGCCCAATGATGTAAAACAATTCCAAACATCCAGGAATTTTTGTATCATAGAGCGAATTACTTCCTATCTTTTCATTAGAGGCTATGAGGACTTCTAATTAGTCTTAGTTGCTTATAAGTGCCCTGGAATCACCCAGGTAGGCACTTAATTTTTTTTTCAGTTGCATGAGCAAAGTGCTTCTTAGTAGTGTGAAATTACAACAACTTTAAGACTTTCCAGATTCAAGCTCCCACTGTTGGAAAAAGCCAGCCTTTCTAATCTCTTCTGCTACTGGAATAAGCACTTAAGAATTGCGTGATAGCCAGGCACCGTGGCTCATGCCTGTAATCCCAACACTTAGGGAGGCTGAGGTGGGTGGGCCGCTTGAGCTCAGGAGTTCAAGACCAGCCTGGGTAATATAGTGAGATCCTGTGTCTCTATAAAAAAATTAAAAATTAGTCAGTTGTAGTGACACATACCTGTAGTCCCAGCTACTCAGGAGGCTGAGGTGGAAGGATCACTTGAGCCCAGAAGGTAAGGCTGCAGTGAGCTGTGACTGTGCCACTACACTCCAGCCTGAGTGACAGAGAAAGAACCTGTCAAAAAAAAAAAAAAAACAACCTACATTTCAAGTACTATTTCCCTTCTCTCCCATCTAATTGCTAAAGATTTTCTTTCATACGCACACACTCCAGTGACTGGAAAAACGGGAGTTTTCAGTCAAAGCTTGACATTTAGAGAAAACAAGGACTTTCTGCCTTTATAAATGGAAATCAACTGTGTATGAACTATAACTCTGCAGAGGTTATGAATTCATCCTTTACAAACAATAATGAACTTTTAGTCCTGTAATAAATGAAATGTTATTAGGCAGCTTTGTTGCATGATTGCATAGTTATATCTTGCTAACGGGCCACTCATTTCTCACTGATGTGGATGAAAAAATGAGAGCAGTATGTTTCCAGGTGTGTGCACTCAACAGGCAAATAGCTCCCGAGGTCACCACTTCCCTAATGGGCCACAGGAAGTAAGTTGATCTTGATGGGGAGATCACGTCACCCAGAACCAGCAACTGGATAGAGACTGTTGTTAGTGTCTGGGTAGAGCACAGGCTCCCAGGGGTCTTAAGAGCTAATTACTGAATAAAACAATCTAGAACAAAGCAACCTAAATAAGTTGATGTCATTCTGCCAAATTAATCAGTTATTCCTTGTTTCACGGCAAGATCCAGTTTGTTTCACTAAAAAGTGTTTTCTGCTATAAGATTAAACTGTCTTCTGAAACCAAAGATAAGAAGAGACATAGAGGCCCGGCGCAGTGGCTCACGCCTGTAATCCCAGCACTTTGGGAGGCCAAGGCTGGCAGATCACCAGGTCAGGAGATCAAGACCATCCTGGCTAACACAGTGAAACCCCATCTCTACTAAAAATACAGAAAAAATAGCTGGGCGTGGTGGCGGGCACCTGTACTCCCAGCTACTCGGGAGGCTGAGGCAGGAGAATGGCGTGAACCCAGGAGGCGGAGCTTTCAGTGAGCCGAGACCGCACCACTGCACTCCCGCCTGGGCGAAACAGCGAGACTCTATCTCCAAAAAAAAGAAGAGACATAGAAATTTGAAGAAGGATCCTTTAATGGTCTACACCGTCTTCCAAAGTCAAGAAGTGGCAGCTGATATCCATTTGAAAGTAGAATCCTAGCTTTTCAGAGCTAGACAAGGCCTCAGAAACTATAGTTGAATTCCTCATTGTACCAATGAGAAACTCAGGCCTAGATGGGTAAAAAGAGGTGTGTTGTAGCAGTGCTGGGACAGATCTCGGTTTTTCTGCTTCCTATACAATCCTCTTCAACCCAATACTACAATGTATTTATTATCACATATTAAGCTGGAGATTTGTAGCCATGTTATTAGAGTTGCAACTGTTTATCCTATAGATTCCAGCCACATTTTAAACACATAACTTCATGTAGTTAGGCCACTAAAAATAAAGTAATCCATCAAACTAGTAATACACTAGAGAATTTGACCTACATACTAAGATGCCTGAAATCCACAGTATATGGCAATTTAACCCCCATCTAATAGTGGCTCAATCAAGTAGCTAAACATATTTATTTCACTCAGATGGTTGGTTGTTTGGTAGAAGGAATGGACTCCTTGGGCTATTTTGGGAACAAAAAAGGACTAGGACACAAATCAAAGCCACATCCACAGTAAGAAATCCGGGCTGATCTCTGCCAAGAAAAGTTACAAAGAATAATTACTTGATCACGTGGGGAAATTTCGACATAAAAGAAGTAATGGATAAAAAGAAAGAAAAATGAACAATTGCTGAAGACAATAATTATAGCAACCCTAAACCAGAAAGCACTAAGCCAGGAAGTCAAAAACTAAGTCATACACATATGACAAGGTGCGGGGGTTGGTCCTGAGACTTCAGTGAGAATATGTCCGATCAGGATATGCAAAGAACCATTTGGAAGATTTCTAGTTCATAAGGGAAGTACCAAATGAAGTGGATGGGACCATACGCAATTTGCATAGGACCCCCAAGGAGGAAATAGTATGACATGGTAGTAAAAAAGCAATCACGACTACACTCACAATTTTAGGAGAAAATAAAACTAAATCCAGAATTTGAAGCCAACAACAACAAAAAAAGTCATTATTTAGGGTATACGTTCCTGTGGGCAGTACCTTGCAAAGTAGAACATCTTCAAGAAGAAATATTTGACTTGAGGTAAGGCTTTCAAGATTGCCATATTACATTCATAAAGGCAAACTCATCCTTGAGACCAAAGTGACAGAAGATTAGAAATTAAGGCTTTGTTTTAAAGAAATGTTGACATCATACTGGAAATTATTATCCAGCTACTTACACATTCGTTTTTAAATCCATCCCTATGTTTAGCTGCCAAAATGCAAACTGCGCATTCTCTCTCAACGGAGAGCGCCACAGGTCACCAGCTATTATTCTCCCAGGAGTCATTGAGTAGGCTGCCCAAGTACACATAAGGAAACTCAACGAACTATTTTCATTTCAAGGACCATTAGAAACAGAAAGGAAAAGAGAAGGTCAGGGAAACTTAGTTTCTAACAAAGGAAGTGAGGCACTTTGAAAAAGAAAATATTTAGAGAACGGAGAGGAAGCTAAACCCAAACAACCAAAACGCACAGCTGACAATTATTCCGGGAAGTTGGTAACTTCTGCCTGGTCTCTAGAAGCACAGGAAGAAAGGACTGTTAGCGTGAAGAACACTCCAGGGTTCTGGGTATCTAGGCAGAGTCAGTCAACAGGGCTAACCATGTGATAATCCTGGGTAATTCCACCTCACAGTTCACTAAAAAACAAGCGGAACCCTGGGCAAAGCCCTTTGGGGCTTTAATAGCAATGGAGGACATCACCCTGTCACTTTCTCTGCTTCTACACAGCAGGCAATCAAGGAAAACTTGCCAAGAAATATGAGTGAATAAATGATTTTGAAAGTTTCATTGAGCAGGAACATGAAAAGGATGATTTGGGGATAGCTGGAAGGATAGTTACTTGCATGAATAATATTTATTCACCGTCAGTGTGATATTTCTCAATAGAAAGATTGTATTTAAAATGTACAACTACAATAACAGAAAAAAAAATACGAGATAAAGCAACAGTTCACAGTGCCACAACGGTCAACAAAGACCAGAAAGGAAATTAAAGCACAAGTTCTACTCAGCAGCACTTCAGCCATCAGAAGCTCCGCCGTGCTATTTTGAAGATCTCTTTCTGTTAGGGGACGAATGAGTCAAAGCGGGATTGGCTGCTCTGTGAAATGGTGAGATTCAAGTTCAACAATAGTTCTTGGCTTTGAAATTCCACTACCGGAAATTAGAGTAAAATCTGCACCATTAGTCTTGGTCACAATCTATGTTTTTGTCCTTAGAGGATATTATGTCAAAAAACTAGGGTTGCTTCAGTGTGTGCGTGTGTTTTAAATATGTTCTACTTTGATCATTTCATTTTGTTCTATGAGTTCTGCAGTGACTCAGAAGTTCCATGATACTATAACTGGAGTAATTTTGCTGTATTTTTAGCCATGTCCTCCAAGCCTCCCAGTATATGCTGTGATCTTTGCCAAACAGAATCTGATCAGTGTTACAGGGGAAATGATGTGTGAGGCTCTACAAGGAGAGGGTCTCCAGGGCCCACACCTGAGTCATGCCTTGAAGCAACCTCAGCACACTTAGCCTCCCAGTGATTCTGTGCAAGTCTGTCTCAATCTTTTGAGCTTATGTTAGTTCTTTGGGGGAAAAAAAATAGAAACAACTTCTGAATAGGGCAGTATGTTTGGGGCAGCTTTGTGAATACATATCTAAAATTACCTCCATTTGCCATTTTTTAAATCAATTTTTTTTCAAGCAATCAGATTCTTTTCTCCTAGAGGAGCTGTGGGCAAGAAAACTAATGAATTCTACATCCTTCTCATCACCTGGTTTAAATTGTTTTCTGCTCTGAGTAAACAGTAATTACTGTTTAAGTACATCTCAGCAGAATTTTATCCCAATTGCAACAGTTCATGTTCCTCCTAATGTAATCTCTGCAGAGGAAATGATCGTCAAGGGAAGCAGGCTGACCTGCTCACGGGATGGCGTTCTTACAATCTGCATCTTATGTAATGGTGATTCTGTGTGCCTGTGTCATAATTATTGGAATATTATTTTATGCTTTTTTTTTTTTGAGACGGAGTCTCGCTCTGTCGCCCAGGCTGGAGTGCAGTGGCACGATCTCAGCTCACTGCAAGCTCCCCTCCCAGGTTCACGCCATTCTGCCTCAGTCTCCCAAGTAGCTGGGACTACAGGTTCCCGCCACCACGCCCAGCTAATTTTTTTTTGTATTTTTAGTAGAGACGGGGTTTCACCGTATTAGCCAGGATGTTCTCAATCTTCCTGACCTTGTGATCCGCCCGCCTTGGCCTCCCAAAATGCTGGGATTACAGGCGTGAGCCACTGCACCCAGCCTATTCTATGCATTTTTTAACATTACAATTTATTTTGTGCCATGTTCTGACTTTTAAGTCATTAAATCGTCTTTTTTCTGTTCATATTTCTGGGAAATCTGAGGGTGTCTCCATCTGCCATTCCAGAAAATTGCCTTCTCCAGGCCTTTGTTAGAACAAGAAATTGTCCAGCCCCTTGTGACTCAAGATGTGGCCTGGGAACCAGCAGCGTCAGCATTACCTGGGAGCTACCAAGGACTGTGGAATTTCAGGCCCAGCCCAGACCTACTGAATCAGAATCTGCATTTTTAACAGGACCCCCAAGTGATTTGTATACACAGTGAAATAGGGGAAGTACTGGTCTCGGAGACAACCAAGTTCATCATCAGTCTTTATATCCAAACACATAGCTGCCTAATGAAGAACCATCAACTTAGCCTGTCTCTCAGATGCTACCTTTTGAGTGTTCCTTAGGCTAATATTTGAGTTGCTCACATTTACTGGATGAATAAAAGGGCTGTCAGAAGTCTTTTCTTTTTCTTGTCATGTGCTGCCCAGCTGCAGGAAAGGAATATGCATATTTTAGAATCAAAAGCAGAAAAGCAGCATCTGGTTTGCTAGATCTGCTAGATCTAAAGTACTTCTGTTCTGAAAGTCTTTTTCATGTTTATTAGGGTGAGAAAAAAGTGCTCCCCCAAAATTATTTTCCACGAAGACATAAGAAAGATTCAGGGTACATGAAGTTTTATAAACTCACAAAGTAAAGATAAAACAAATTTCTGAGGCATGAAACTTTTGATAGAGTTTCTGTCTTCATTGCTTAAAACACGGAACTCTAGATGACAGAATAAGGGTTGATTACAAACAACCTGTCCTCTAAACAGGACACAGATTCATGCCAGAGACTCATGTTGTTATTGCCTTAAGCACAGACCAGAGTTTTATTAACTTTCTAGACATATTTTTACTAAACATCACTGGGGACCATGCTTTGTTCTCCCTGCCCACACCCCACCCTGTGTACAAGAGCCCTTTAAAAATTGTACACAACCACATACAGCAGCCTATCCACTTATTCAAATCCTATTGTTGCTGATGAAGTCCTGAAGGCAAATCACACCTACCTTCAAACGAATCAAAAAAGAGCACAAGGACCACCTGTGCTCTTGTACCTGCAAATGGCCTAGCTAATTTTTTCATTAGGATGTCAGTGATTCGGTCCCACAATAAGGACCTGATAGCACTGTGCAGGTGCAGTCATTAAAGGCCCACCCCTTCTAGGAAGCACCAACCACCTCCCTCTTCCTGCAGCAGGCTTCACTTTCCACTTGCAGACACACGTCTGACGTTAGGACATTCAATCAGGTGTTCCTCATGCTCCAAGCAACTGGAACCCACCTGTGTTCCAAGATTACCTTTCAACTGAAAAGCTTTTAAAGGCCAGGCACAGTGGCTCACGCCTGTAATCCCAGCACTTTGAGAGGCCAAGGTGGGTAGATCACCTGAGGTGAGGAGTTCCAGACCAGCCTGGCCAACACAGCGAAACCCCATCTCTACTAAAATACAAAAATTAGCTGGGCATGGTGGCATGTGCCTGTAGTCCCAGCTACTTGGGAGGCTGAGACAGGACAGTGCTTGAACCCAGGAGGCAAGGGTTGCAGTGAGCCGAGATCGCACCACTGCACTCCAGCCTGGACGACAGAGTGAGACTCCATCTCAAAAAAAAAAAAAACACGCTTTTAAACTGGGACAGCTGTCACCTCTGGGAGCCACTCAGCTAGCCAAAGCAGCTAACATTCTTGGGTTTCAGCAAATCCCAAAACAGAATCTTACCAAAGATTATTTCTTTTTTTTTTTTTTTGGATGGAGTTTCACTCTTATCGCCCAGGCTGGAGTTCAATGGCGTTATCTCGGCTCACGGCAACCTCCATCTCCTGGGCTCAAGCGATTCTCCTGTCTCAGCCTCCCAAGTAGCTAGGATTACAGGCATGTATCACCACGCCCAGCTAATTTTGTCTTTTTTTAGTAGAGATGAGGTTTCTCCATGTTGGTCAGGCTGGTCTCGAACTCCTGACCTCAGGTGACCTGCCTGCCTCGGCTTCCCAAAGTACTGGGATTACAGATGTAAGCCACCGTGCCCAGCAGATTATTTCTCTTTATTGCAAATGTATCCCTGATTTCTTCCTTGTAACCACTGATGCAAGCAGCCAAAAGGGCTTCTACCACAAGGGCCTGCCTATCTTCCTACAGCCTGCCACAGCATGGCACCCCGCCCCAGCTACTTCCTTTCCCAGGCCACAAAGGAAAGTCTATTTTATCCTCTTCAAAAAAAATGAATGGGAGAAAACTGGTATCAACAATCCATTTGCCTCCAAGAATCCATTTACTTGTAATCTTAAAAATGTTTAATTCCCAGTGCCTTTTCTGTAGTGGTAAAATAAATTCCCCATCCAGGATAACTAAAGCCCTCTCTTCATTTGAATAAAAACATTTCTACTGAATTAGGCACATTGAAATGATCACATCCTGAAGGAGAGAACCCTCCCTGCCCTGCCCTTGCTCAGAACCCACACATTCTCCTTGCCTTGTCTGCAGCGTAGAGGTTGGCATGGGTAAATTTATGGTACATTAGTTCCTTTCGGCTTTGTCCTGAAGTTGGCTCAGATTTTGTTAATGCTGAAATTTGCAGCTGAATTCAGTTGGACTTTGCTTCTCATTAATGAGTTGACATTGCAGTGGGGAGATGTTTCAGCATTTGCTCCTTGAGCTTGCTCAAGCAGGAGCCAAAAGCTGAACAAGATCTTCCTCTTAAAAACATGTCCAACATATTTTAAAATGCTGGATAGTTTAATTCCACTCAGTAAAACTGGTCCCCCAAAATATTTTAATTTTGATATGCAGATTCCAAGAAGAAATGGAAGATGGGAGGTTCAAAACAGTCTGGAAGCTTAGATCGTCTGACTTTGACGGCTCACTCCTCCATGTTGGGTCACCTGAAGAAATTTTTTTTTTTTTAAACAGAGTCTCACCCTGTTGCCCAGGCTGGAGTGCAATGGTGTGATCTCAGTTCACTGCAACCTCTGCCTCCGACGTTCAAGCGATTCTCCTGCCTCACCCTCCCAAGTAGCTGGGACTACAGGCATGTGCCACCACAGCCGGCTAATTTTTGTATTTTTGGTAGAGACAGGGTTTCACCATGTTGGCCAGGCTGATCTTGAACTCCTGATCTCAAGTGATCTGCCTGCCTCGGCCTCCCAAAGTGCTGGGATCACAAGCATGAGCCACCGTGCCAAGCCATCACCTGAATAATCTTTACGTGAGCAACACAGTAAAACCAAGAAAGCATGATCTGTTCATGCATTTCATGTAGAAAGAACTTGCAAACTAACAGGATAAAATTTTTATTTTAAGTGCATAATTCTGTATGTATATACTTCCTCGAGATAATAACTATTAATAGTTCATCAATATCCCTTATTGTGTATGTGTACAGTTTATTTTCAGTGAATAAATGCTCTTTCAAACAATTTTAACTCACATTTGCAACTTGGAGATAGTCACATTTATTCCTTGCTTGTAATTCTTTGAAATTACCAAAAGAAAACTACTATTCTTAGTATTATTGATATTCTTTATTAAAATAAAATGTTTTTTGTCTTTTAGCGAATGTCTGTTTGTTTGGTGTTGTCAGGGGCGTGGATAAGGAGGTGTTTGTATTTTTGGCTTTGCATGACTTTCCAAAGCCCCAGTGGCTCACAATCAAGGTCAAAGCATATAACTAACTGTTCTTGTGTATCAGGAAGCCTTTATTAAAAAAACTCAATTATTTAGTATGCTAAAGAAATTGTACAGCCAGAGGAACTTAGGGTCAAATATAAATCCAAAGAGCTTGGAAAGGTTTACTTTATTTCTGATAATGAGGACCTGGAAAAGAGAATAGAATAATCCCTCTACATTTCTTAACATTGGAGACAAATCCCTGCCTTACATTGCCAATTACAGTGCTTTACACCTGCTCCCCTTATTTTCTCATCCTTCCCTAGTTCTTGTCCCAGATATCACCTGCTCAGAAAGCTTCAGTACCCTCTTCAGACACTCTAGGATCACAACCACAAGCCTCTAAGCCTACTAGACTTCCCTGTATACAATTCCAGACAATCCCATTCATTAAACCAACGGATTGCCTGAGCCTTGAGCCTGGGAAGTCAAGGCTGCATTGAGCCAAGATCGTGCTACTGCACCCCAGCCTTGGTGACAGAGAGAAACACTGTTTCAAAATTAAAAAGCTCCCACTGAAAAATAAAATTCCAGGAAATTCCCCTTTTTACCATTTATTAGCTACAAAGTAACACACTTCTGATTCTAACAGACCCTCTGAATGAAGCGGACTGCTCCTGCAGGACCCAGGAGACCCCCCCAAAACTGTGAGTGCCCCAACTGTGGAAGGGGGAAAGGGAAACCCTCCTCTCCTGAACACACACCTGCACTGGAGAAGATGAAGGTCTGTTTGCTGGAAAAGTTTCCAACTTTACCAGAAGCTGAGTCAATTTGGAAAGCCAAGGGAAATACAGGGGTACAGGAAGAAGCAGAAAGGCCCTGGGAGCTCGCTGGGTCCCCAAGCAGCCCATTCCTGCATGGCACCACAGGGATCCATCAGGAGGGTGGCCAGAGGAGCAGGGGGTAAAACTCCACAGGAAGAAGGAATTGTCTAGCTGAACTTTGTAACAGTTTGGACTCTGTGAGAAGCCTCCTGGCCAGAACTCAGGGGAAGACGCAAATCCGGTGTCCAGACTCCACAGGCCGGGGAAGAACCAAGCCCTTTTCTTTGGAAGCTGGGAGGCAGATAGCCTGGGGCAGGTTTTCAAGCCCAGATTCCCCTCTGCCTGGAAACGGTCTGGGGGGCTGTTGGGTGGGAGGGCACGGTGGGAGTGAGACAGATTGTTTGGTTTGCGTGGGAGCTGCATGAGGCCTGTGACGGCTGACTTTCCCCCACTTCCCTGACAACCGGCAAGACACAGCAGAGGCAGCCATAATCCTCCTGGGTACACAACTCCAGTGGCCTGGGAATCTCACCCCCATCCCCCACAGCAGCAGCAGCAGCAAGACCTGACCAAGAGTCTGAGCTCAGACATGCCTAGCCCTGCCCCCACCTGATGGTCCTTCCCTACCCACCCTGGTAGCAGACGATAAAGGGCATATAATCTTGGGAGTTCTAGGGCCCTGCCCCCCACCAGTCATCCCCATAATACTATAGCTGATGCTCTCTGGAAAGTACCACCTCCTGGCAGGAGGCCGACCAGCACAAAAATAGAACATTAAACCACCAAAGCTAAGAACCTTCATGGAGGCGAGATTTCCTTGAGAGGTGATTCTAGTTAGCTATTGGGGGTGGTGGGGAGAGAGAGAGAGAGAGAGAGAGAGAAAATTTATTCCAGGCAGAAAACACCACATATAGACAAGTAGAAGAAAGAAATTCAGAGCTCAAAGACAAGGTGTTCGAATTAACCCAATCCAACAAAGACAAAGAAAAAAGAATAAGAAAATATGAACAAAGCCTCCAAGATGGCTGGGATTATGTTAAACAACCAAACCTAAGAATAATTGGTATTCCTGAAGAAGAAGGTAATTCTAAAAGCTTGGAAAACATACTTGTGGGAATAATCGATGCAAACTTCCCTGGTCATGCTAGAGACCTAGACATCCAAATACAAGAAGCACAAAGAACATCCAGGAAATTCATAACAAAAAGATCTTCACCTGTAATTCCAGCACTTTGGGAGGCCGAGGCAGGCAGATCATGAGGTCAGGAGATCGAGACCATCCTGGCTAACACAGTGAAACTCCATCTCTAATAAAAATACAAAAGAAAATTAGCCAGGTGTGGTGGCGGGCACCTGTAGTCCCAGCTACTTGGGAGGCTGAGACAGGAGAATGGTGTGAACCCGGGAGGCAGAGCTTGCAGTGAGCCGAGATTGCGCCACTGCACTGCAGCCTGGGCGACAGAGCAAGACTCCATTTCAAAAAAAAAAAAAAAAAAAATCTTCACCTAGGTACATTGCCATCAGGTTATCCAAAGTTAAGACGAAGGAAAAAAATGTTAAGAGCTGTGACACAGAAGCACCTATCAGATTAACAGCAGATTTCTCAGCAGAAACCCTACAAGCTAGAAGAGATTGGGGCCCTATCTTCAGCCTCCTCAAACAAAACAATTATCAGCCAAGGATTTTGTATCCAGCGAAACTAAGCATCATATATGAAGCAAAGATACAGTCATTTTCAGACAAATAAATGCTGAGAGAATTCGCCATTACCAAGCCACCACTACAAGAATTGCTATGCTAAAAGGAGCTCTAAATCTTGAAACAAATCCTGGAAACACATCAAAGCAGAACCTCTTTAAAGCATAAACCACACAAGACCTGTAAAGCAAAAATACAAGTTAAAAAGCAAAAACAAAACAAAAAAAAAAAACAAAGTAGACAGGCAACAAAGAGCATGATGAATGCAACAGTACCTCACATTTCAATACTAACATCGAATGTAAATGGCCTAAATGCTCCATTTAAAAGATATGGAACCACAGAATGGATAAGAACTCACCAACCATCTACTGCCTTCAGGAGACTCACCTAGCACATAAGGACTCACATAAACTTAAAGTAAAGGGGAGGAAAAAGGCATTTCATGAAAATGGACACCAAAAGTGAGCAGGAGTAGCAATTCTTATATCAGAAAAACAAACTTTAAAGCCACAGCAGTTAAAAGAGACAAAGAGGGACATTATATAATGGTAAAAGGCCTTGTCCAACAGGAAAATATCACAATTCTAAACATATATGCACCTAACACTGGAGCTCCCAAATTTATAAGACAATTACTAATGAACTTAAGAAATGAGATAGACAGCAACACAATAATAGTGGGGACTTCAGTACTCTACTAACAGCACTAGACAGGTCATCAAGACAGAAAGTTAACAAAGAAACAATAGATTTAAACTATACCTTGGAACAAATGGACTTCACAGATATATACAGAACATTACCATCCAATAACCACAGAATACGCATTCTATTCAACAGTGCATGGAACTTTCTCCAAGATCGACCATATGATAGGCCATAAAACAAGCCTCAATAAATTTAAGAAAATTGAAATTATATCAAGCACTCTCCCAGACCACAGTGGAATAAAACTGGAAATCAACTCCAAAAGGAAGCTTCAAAACCATGAAAATACATGGAAATTAAATAACCTTCTCCTGAATGAGCGTTGGGTCAAAAACGAAATCAACATTGAAATTTAAAAATTCTTCAAACTGAACGACAATAATGACACAACCTATCAAAACCTCTGGGATACAGCAAAGGCAGTGCTAAGAGGAAAGTTCATAGCCCTAAACGCCTTCATCACAAAGACTGAAACAGCACAAACTGACATTCTAAGGTCACACCTCAAGGAACTAGAGAAACAAGAACAAACCAAACTCAAACCCCGCAGAAGAAAGGAAATAACCAAGGCCAGAGCAGAACTAAATGAAATTGAAACAAAAATAAATACAAAAGATAAATGAAACAAAAAGCAGGTTCTTTGAAAAGATAAATAAAATTGATAGACCATTAGCAAGATTAACCAAGAAGGAAGAGAAAAAATCCAAATAACCTCACTAAGAAACAAAACAGGAGATATTACAACTGACACCACTGAAATACAAAAGATCATTCAAGGCTACTATGAACACCTTTACTCACATAAACTAGAAAACCTAGAAGAGATGGATAAATTCCTGGAAAAATACAACCCTCCTAGGTAAATCACCAAAGAATTAGATACCCTGAACAGACCAACAACAAGCAGCAAGACTGAAATAAATGGTAATCTAAAAATTACCAACAAAAAAAGTACAGGACCAAATGGATTCACAGCAGAATTCTACCAGACATTCAAAAAATTGGTACCAATCCTTTTGACGGTATTCCACAAGATAGAGAAAGAAGGAACCCTCCATAATTCATTCAATGAAGCCAACATCACCCTAATACCAAAACCAAGAAAGGACCTAACCAAAAAACTAAACTACAGACCGATATCCTTGATGAATGTAGATGCTAAGATCCTTAACAAAATACTTGCTAACTGAATCCAACAAAAAGATTATCAAAAAGGTAATCCACAATGATCAAGTGGGTTTCATACGAGGGATGGTTTAATATACACAAGTCAATAAATGTGATACACCACATAAACAGAATTAAAAACAAAAATCACATGATCATCTCAATAGATGCAGAAAAAGCATTCAGCAAAATTCAGAATCACTTTACGATTAAAACTCTCAGCAAAATCAGCATAAAAGGGACATGCCTTAATGTAATAAAAGCCATCTATGACAAACTCACAGCCAACATAATACTGAATGGGGAAAAGTTGAAAGCATTCCCTCTGAGAACTGGAAAAAGACAAGGACGCCCACTCTCACCACTCCTCTTCAACACAGCACTGGAAGTCCTAGCCAGAGCAATCAGACAAGAGAAAAAATAAAGGGCATCCAAATCGGTAAAGAGGAAGTCAAACTGTCACTGTTTGCTGACGATATGATTGTTTACCTTGAAAACCCTAAGTCCTCCTCCAGAAAGTTCCTAGAACTGATAAAAAAAATTCAGCAAAGTTTCCAGATACAAGATTAATGTACACTAGTCAGTAGCTCTTCTATACACCAACAGCGACCAAGTGGAGAATCAAATAAAAAACTCAACCCCTTTTACAATAGCTGCAAAAGAAAGAAAAAAAAAAGGAAACTTAGGAATATACCTAACAAAGGATTCGAAAGACCTCTACAAGGAAAACTACAAAACACTGCTGAAAGAAATCATAGATGACACAAAAAAATGGAAACACATCCCATGCTCATGGATGGGTAGACTCAATAGTGTGAAAATGACCATACTGCCAAAAGCAATCTACAAATTCAATGCAATCCCCATCAAAATACCACCATCACTCTTCACAGAATTAGAAAAAACCATTCTAAAATTCATATGGAACCAAAACAGAGCCCGCATAGCCAAAGCAAGACTAAGCAAAAAGAACAAATCTGGAGGTGTCTGATCTCAACTATCTCACCTAGGTACATTGTCATCAGGTTATCCAAAGTTAAGACGGAGGAAAAAAATCTTAAGAGCTGTGAGACAGAAGCAACTATCTGATCTCAAACTCTACTGTAAGGCCATAGTCACCAAAACAGCGTGGTACTGGTGCAAAAATAGGCACAAAGACCAAGAGGACAGAATAGAGAACCCAGAAATAAACCCAAATACTTACAGCCAACTGACCTTCAACAAAGCAAACAAAAACATAAAGTGGAGAAAGGACACCCTTTTCAACAAATGGTGCTGGGATAATTGGCTAGTCAAATGTAGGAGAATGAGACTGGATCCTCATCTCACACAAAAATCAACTCAAGATGGATTAAGGACTTAAACCTAAGACCTGAAACTATAAAAATTCTACAAGATAACACTGGAAAATCCCATCTAGACATTGGTTTAGGCAAGGATTTCATGACCAAGAACCCAAAAGCAAATGCAATAAAAACAAAGATAAATAGCTGGGACCTAATTAAACTAAAGTGCTTTTCCACAGCAAAAGGAACAGTCAGCAGATTAGGCAGACAACCCACAGAATAGGAGAAAATCTTCACAATCTATACATCTGACAAAGGACTAATCCAGAATCTACAGCGAACTCAAACAAATTAGTAAGAAAAAACAAACAATCCCATCAAAAAGTGGACTAAGGACATGAATAGACAATTCTCAAAAGAAGATATACAATATACAAATGGCCAACAAACATATGAAAAAATGCACAACATGACTAATGATCAGGGAAATGCAAATCAAAACCACAATGTGATACCATCTCACTCCTGCAAGAATGGCCATAATCAAAAAATCAAAAAAACAGTAGATATTGGTGTGGATACAGTGAACAGGGAACACTTCTACACTGCTGGTGGGAATGTAAACTAGTACAGCCTCTATGGAAAACAGTGTGGAGATTATTTAAAGATCTAAAAGTACAACTACCATTGGATCCAGCAATCCTACTGCTGGGTATTTACCCAGAGGAAAAGAAGTCATTATTCAAAAAAGATACTTGCACACGCATTTTTATGGTGGCCCAATTCACAATTGCAAAATCGTGGAACTAACCCAAATGCTCATCAACCAAACAGTGGATAAAGAAGCTGTGATATATATATATATACATATACATATATATATATATACCACATATGTATATATATATGTATATGTATATATGTATATATACATATATATATATACAATGGAATATTACACAGCCATAAAAAGAAATGAATTAACAGCATTTGCAGTGACCTAGATGAGATTGGAGACTATTATTCTAAGTGAAGTAACTCACGAATGGAAAACCAAACATTGTATGTTCTCACTGAAATGTGGGAGCTAAGCTATGAGGATGCAAAAGCAAAAGAATGATGCAATAGACTTTGGGGTCTTTGGGGGAAGAGTGGGAGGGGAGTGAGGGATAGAAGACTACCAATAGGGTGCAGTGTATACTGCTCAGGTGATAGGTGCACCAAAATCTCACAAATCACCACTAAAGAACTTACTCATGTAACCAAATACCACCTGTACCCCAACAACGTATGTTAAAAATAAAAAATAAACACATTTCCAAGAGTAAGGAGTTGCTGAGAGTTAGTTTATGCACCAGAGTCAATTCCCCTGCACCACTCCTCACATGCCTAGGAAACAAGTTTAGAACATACATCCCTCAGTTCCGCAACAGTCTCTTTGAATTTCCCTTCAAGGCTCTGCTTTTTCTCCCTCAGTCTCCTCCATGGTAAGCTTTCATTTAAGCTACAGCAAAACATTATCTTCCTAGAGGTTATACAGCAAACCAGAGAAAACTTCCACTCTCCATAAAACAGCCCAACCTTGCACGGAGCCACCTCCAGGAAAGATGGCAGAAATGCTAATCAATGGTAAGAGATAGTCTGACGATAAACTTAAAGACTTCTCCAAGCAGGAATAACTTGTAAGAAGCATTCCAAAAAGGCACTGTGCTCTAGTGGAAAACGTTTGGTTCTGATTCAAAGAAACCTAGCATGTGCTACTTATTAGCTCTGTGAACTTGGGCAAGTTATTTGACCTCTCTGAGCTTCTATTTCATCATCTGTAAAATGCTAATGGTAAAATGACAATGACAATGCTTACTAGCATAGTTAATACAATAACTAAGAAGTATTAATATAAAGGATTCTGCTTATAGTAAGAGATTCATAAATAGTAACAATACATATTTTTTTATTTTCCAAACACAGTACCTTGCACAAAATTTAAGTTAATAAATATTTGTGGAAAGAAGGAAGGGAGAAAGAAAAAGGGAGACGAAAAAGATTCCAGTTTAGCACAGTATAAATCCTGATAGAGGCTTTCCTCTTTTTCACTAATAAATTCTCTGATTATAACATAGATCTATTGAGGAAATTGTTTGAATACCATGGACTATTAGCACACAGATCCCGCAGATCAGAGCCCTCTGGTGGCCATTGCAGCTTTGCTACCTGTTAGAACAATTTTGCCCACCTTGTCTCTCACAGCTGCATGTCGCCACCTGGTCCCTGTTGTCCTAGATCCCTGTCTCCTACGCTGACACCAGAAGCCCAGTGCCACAGCAGCTTCCCCTGGCATCAACCTCAGCCTAGAAAGGACAGTGACGATCAAGCTTTTCTGAGACGCACCCCTCACTAGTCATTCTTTGTTGGTTTGTAAAAGAAATGGCCACTAAACCCTCCAGATGAACACAGCCAACTGGCGAGTTCTCTGGTCTTATGTAATAAATCCATTCTGGCAGGCCCACCTCTCTGTGCCTTTTGTTCCTCAGTACTCTGCCAGGACAGTTCTGGTATCTTCTTTTCATTAATGCAAGCCACCATTTTCCTCACTCTTGAAGGACACTTCCCAACAGCACACTGGGACCAGATCCAGGTGTCCTTTTGATTACATTACATTCTGATAATGCCTGCATATGGATGAAATCTTCTTATCCAGTCTTATATTCTGGCACCCCACCCCCCATATCCCTGTCTGAACCCCCCGAGATCCATTGCTAAGCACACTCCACCAATTCCTCCTGGAAACTGTCAAATCCTGAAGCTCCTTCAGGGGAGACACTTGTTCCTCCCACCACAGAGCAAGTCCTTTCCCAGCCAGATCATCCTGAGACTTGACTATAATGAACCATCTAGAATAATACGGGATTGTGGGCAGTATTTGAGGAAGGCAAGTATCATCATGTAAAGCATCCTCCTCAGCTTGGTCTCCAGGCAAGGGGAGTCTGCTCTCCACTAGCAAGGAGGGGCCAGGAGGTTCCTCTGCAGGGAAACCTCAAGTCCATCATCCACCTAACTGTTCCCATTCCAGGTCTCTATGTCTCACTTTTTCCCTATTAGGACCTGGACTTAAGTATAGGAGACTTGCCAGAGTGGTAAATTCAGCCCTTTTATTAATTCAGCTGCTTTCTCAATTAGATATTAGGCCTAATTTTCAGCACAGTCTGTCCTTCAGCTGCATTCGAAGACAATCTCTTCAAATCAGCTTTCATATCATGCCTGAGGGCTTTTATTGCACTTAACGACCAACTAATCCCACTGTCCTTATAATTACCATGGTCTTCAATATCTCCCAAATGTTACTGTATTAGCCAGTGCATGCCTTCCCATGTGTATTCCAGATCAATTCACTACAAGGCAGTCAGTACGTGAACTGCACATTTTGGTCAATGGCAGACGGCACATATGATGGTGGTCCCATAAGATTATGTTTTTTCTGTACTTGTTCTATGTTTAGATACACAAATACTTGTATTTTTTGTTTTACAGTTGCCTACAGCATTCAGTATAGTAATCTGCTGTACAGATTCGTAGCCTAGCAGCGATAAGCTATACTACATAGCTTAGCTATGTAGTAGGCTATACTGTCTAGGTTTGTGTAATTACACTATGATGTTCTCACAATGACAAAATTACCTAATGATGCATTTCTCATAACGTACCCTCGTTAAGTGACCCATGACTGTAATTGTGATGCTACAGCATGCTACGTCCTGCATTAAAGCTGAGCTTCCCAAAAGACAGCTAAGCCAGAGTTTATTCATTTGGCCCCTTAAATCCACTCTCTACCTTTCTTCAACTTGCTGCCTAGAAGGCCAACATTTATGGACTGAATCAATGGGTTTTCTCACTCTCTGCTTTCCCATTTGATTCCCACGTGTTTTTGTTTTTTTTTTTAAGAGATGGGGTCTTGCTCTGTCATTCAGGCTGGCGTGCAGTGGCACAATCACAGCTCACTTGCAGCCTTGACCTCCCAGTCTCAAGGGATCCTCCCACCTCAGCGCCCTGAGTAGTTGGGACTACAGCTGCGCACCACCACACCCAGCTAATTTTTTTTATTTTTTGAAGAGACAGGGTCTCACCGTGTTGCCCAGGCTAGTCTCACACGCCTGGCCTCAAGTAATTCTTCCACCTCGGCTTCCCAAAGTGCTGGGATTACAGGCATAAGCCACCACGCCCAGCTTGATTCCCATTTCATTCAACAGAAGACCAGGGGATGGGAGGAGAGTGAGGATGGGTATCTGCTCCCCCACCTCCCTCCCTACCAGGTCTCAGTTTGGGAAGGGCTGCATCCTCCTACCAAAGGCTGCAGCTCCTGTCAAGGATCTCACTCCTACAGTTCTCTCTGGGGTCTGACAATCACTCCCTCCTCTTGTTCCTTCAGCCTAGGGTTGTCCATTGCCGCTGAACCAGATCTGTTTCAACCCCACTTGTTGGTTTCCTTAATTCTGCCCACACATTTGTAAATCGTCTCTTCTGTATCCCACTACAATAGATCACCGGTTTCCTGCCAGGACCTTTATTCATGCTACGGTCATCTTTTCTCAAATCCTGGCAAGCCCTTTGTGCCTCAGAAAATTCTGAGGAGAGTCTTTAGGGGTGGGTTGAAAACACTTGAGTGGCACCACTCAGGATTCATCCCTAATCATCACCCACTGTTCCAGCAGAGACCCCAAGTACTTGCCTTCTTCTTATGCTAGAGTGACTTCCATTCCTACCAACACATCTGCTAAAGGTTGGGTGGATTTTGCTCCTGCCCTTTGTTCCCAGATGTTCACCCCGCAACCCAGTACTTGACTGTCAATCTCAACATTTGCTTTACTGTGTTTTAGGGGGACTCCTTGAGTTCTTATTCAAGAAGGACTCCTGGCTCCCAGGGGTATGTCTGGGCAGTTTGTGCCACCGTTGGGACTCATGCTACCCAGAGTCATCTGTCTGTGTCCCTTACTAAACATGACATGCCACATAAATGCTTAAGTAAAAATAACCTTGTAGTGTATTTGAGGTGTGCTTCTCACTGTTACTCCAAGTATACTAAGAATTAAAAAGACTTTCTTGAATGTTGTCATGAATCCAAAAGACAGAGGACATGCTTTATTGGCATTAATATAGGTTTTCTTGGCACATTATGAAAAAGGAACAAGGTTAAATTCAACCCCAAAAATGCCAGAATTAAAGACATTTGCATAACATTAGAGTTTTGGAGGTTTTTTCCAGCCACAGAATTAGCTACTGTAAGATTTTAGAGAGGCAGGAGCTAGAAAATCACAGGCTTTTTCCTCTGAGCCAGCCATGCAGTTTTACCCCTAAACGCATATAAAATTTCTGAGTTTAGTAAGTTACAACTTAAATTGAAAATATGATAAATGGGGAAGAATACTTGTGATTGGCCATTTTGCCATAGCTTTGGGAGAACATCATACTCTAAAACATGAGTTTAGTTTAATAAGTTTTTAAGGCTAAATGAGATAGCTATTAGTTACATATTTTATTTCTGTTTTTTTTTCTTTTAATCCCAACGTAGCCTCTTTATTAAGACTCTTAAGGGAGCTAGCGAATTTTGCTAGGGAAAAGAATTATCCAAATCCAAACATCTTTTCATTGAAGCTACTCTCTTTGTATATCTGAGCAGTCTTATTTCTTGTGTAGATAATTGCTCAGTTAAAAGGGGAAGGGAGCATTTTCCCTAAAGAAGCTTGCAGCTGGAATTCCTCTGGGGTAAGGAAGACTAGTACATGGGTTTTGTTCATTTCTAGCCCTTTAATCATAAATCCGGTTGGAGATCAGAGGTTAAATAGAACATGAGAATTTAAAGACTTTCCAGCCCCATATCCTAATTACATCCCATGTGTTTAAATCATTAGCATATTATAAGTCCAAATTGGGGGAGGATTGTGATACACAAATTATGTTCCAAGACTCAAGGCAAAGAAAAATTAATTTGCAGGTATGTGAGCTGGAGAAATTATTTTGGTGAAGGCACGAATATTGTTTTGAACTTTTAGCATAAGTAGGCTGCATTTGGGCCTTTTGCCTGAGCTGGACCTAAGGGGCGACAGGTAACCTCCTCCATGGGTGTGGTCGAAATTAAACAGTCTTGCATCCAGGAAGTATAACTGCATGTGCTGCTCACACAGGTGGGTCTGCAGAGAGCAGCTAGCGGCCTCAGATGGTCTCACACTCCGTGGTGGCAGTGGAGCAGGCTCCGCAGTCACAGCGGATGGCCACGGGATAGGTGTAGAAGGGGTCGACTCCCGGGGCACAGTTGGGCAGCTTGACAGTCACCTGTTTGGTCTCGTTGTAGGTACAGACTCGATGATGGGCTTCAATATAGGGGGGTTCCAGAATGGGTTTCTGTCCCCATAGATAGAAAACAGAGAATTCATTAGAACATATGATCTTGTTTCAGTTTTTTAGTATCATTTATCACTATCAGAAATTAACTTGTTATTCGTTGATTTACTTGTTGCTCTGTCGTCTCCCAGTAGAAAACAAACTCCTGAAAGCAAGAAGCTGATTTCACTCAAGACCATATTCTAAGCTCCCAGGAGAGACCATAGCACACAGCAAGTGCTCCATGCATAGTCAGCAAATGAATCATCTTAGTCATTGCAAATACCTTCTAACTGGTCTCCCCTCTTCCATTTTTACTCCCTACAATCTATTTGCAACACAGCGGCCCTGAGTGATCCTGTTTAAACCTAAGTCAGATCATGTCACTCCTCTGCCCAAAGCCCCAGTGATTTCCCATCTCACTCAGAACAAACATCAAAGACCTTATGATCACCTTCAAGACCTACATCACCTTCTCTGCAACTCTACCTTCTGAAATGCCTGCAACCATTCCCACCTCACTGACTTCCTCACTAGGCTCACGGCGGTCTCCTTATTGCTCCTCTGACCCACCAGGAACAGCCCCAGCTCAGGGCCTTTGCACTTACCGTTCCTTCTGCCTGGAACATTCTTCTCCCGTATGATTCACTCTTTCACCAACCTTGGGTTTTTGTTAGAATGTCACCCTCTCAGGGAAGCATTTCCTGACCATCCTATTTAAAATTGCAACATTCCATCTCCATGCCCAGAAACTTCCCATCCCCCATCTTGCTTTATTTTCCACCACAGCACTGATCAATACCACACGACGTAGTCTACCTTTCATTCGTGTGATATTCCTCCCACTCTAGAAAGTAAGCTCTTTTAGGACAGAGATTTTTGCCCACTGTGCCTCAAGTACCCAAAACAGACCCCGGGAGAGTTTCAATAACTATTTGTCATTGAATCAATGAAAGAAAACATTACAAGACAGGTTCCCGAATACTCTGTGCACTGTTCTGATCATCAAAAAGATTCATTTCCTTCCTTCACCTTTTATAAATCTTAAGTTCAAAGACAATTTTGATAAACAGAACACACAGATCAGAAAAAATATCAGCACCTAGCTGGAGTTAAAATCTCGAGCCCTGCAGTCAGAACTAAGGAGCTTGAGTCCCTGTTCTGCCACTTGCTGGAGACCTTGGAAAATCCACTTAACTTCCTGAAGACTCAAGTTTCCTCCTCTGTAAAACAAAATAGCTACCTCCCACCATTGTTTGAGAGATAAGGTAAGATGATATACGCAATGCACAATGTCTAGAACAAAGTAAATGTTCAAAAAATGCAATCCATTTTTTTTTTTTTTGAGACGGAGTCTTGCTGTCTCCCAGGCTGGAGTTCAGTGGCGCAATCTCAGCTCATTGCAATCTCCGCCTCCCGGGTTCACGCCATTCTCCTGCCTCAGCCTCCCGGGACTACAGGCACCCACCACCACGCCTGGCTCATTTTTTGTATTTTTAGTAGAGACAGGGTTTCACCATGTTAGCCAGGATGGTCTCGATTTCCTGACCTCGTGATCTGCCTGCCTCGGCCTCCCAAAGTGCTGGGATTACAGGCGTGAGCCACCACGCCCAGCCAATCCATTGTTCTTATTAGTGCAATTATTATAAGAAAGTAATGTAAATAATAACAAGCTTTCAAATGACAGTACCTTTGCTTTTTGGTTCTTCTTTGTTCTAGGCAAAAAAGAATATATATACATATGTAACTCAAGATGTTCTTGCATGAATGTCATGAAAATAGCAGCCTTACCTTTTTTTTTTCTTTTTTCTTTTTTTTTTTTTTTTGAGATGGAGTCTCACTCTGTCGCCAGGCTGGAGTATAGTGGCATGATCTTGGCTCACTGTAACCTCCACCTCCTGGGTTCAAGCAAGTCTTCTGCCTCAGCCTCCCAAGTAGCTGGGACTACAGGTGCATACCACCATGCCCGGCTAATTTTTGTATTTTTAGTAGAGACAGGGTTTAACTCACCTCTTTACTAAAAACTGGCCAGGCTGGTCTCGAACTCCTGACCTCATTATCCACCCACCACAGCCTCCCAAAGTGCTGAGATTACAGGTGTTAGCCACCACGCCCGGCCAGCCTTGCCTTTGACAAAGACCAGAAGAGCTGAATTTGTCCTGAACTGTTTTCTCCTACCTTCCCGTATTTGCTTTAAGTCCTCTTACCATTAGTACTCTGGGAACCTAGGCAGACCAAACGCCCCGTAAAATTTCATTTTCAGATACATAATTTTTTAGTATAAGTCATCCCAAATACTGTATGAGACAGACAGACTTACGCTAAAAATTTATTTATTATTTATCTTAAATTCCAATTTACCTGGGCTTCCTGGTTTTCTGGTTTTATTTCAGTTTGGGTTTCTGTGGGGAGGGGATTGGTTTTGTTTTATTTTGTTTGTCTGTTTGTTTGTTTGCTAAATCTGGCAACTCTATACCCAGATTATGAGGAATAGCTATTTTCAACAACCTTCAAATGTAAATCCAGCCAGCCTGTCATCATGAACATCCTTATTTTCAGACATGCTTTCAGTTAAGATCCCCCCCACCAAAAAATCAAGTGCTTTATAGCGCAGAAACTTTCAGATTGCTGGGAAAATGAATCTCATTCTTTTATTTATTTTCTATAGGTAACCTCCCTTTTCATAACACAGTCAAGACATGAATGAAAGCTGGCTAACATCAGGGAGAATCTTGTTCTTTAACGGTTTTGGTGTTTCCATCTTTCCAGTGAGAGCACAGTTCCTGACCTCCTATGGGTGACCATGATCCAATTAAAGACATTCATCAGTTTTTAAAAAGAAGAGAAGATGGGCTGAATCGAACGGAAGCAGGAGTTTGAGGATTTGGCACAGAGAGGGCTTCAAATAGCCCAGACACTAGATGCGAACAGGGAGAGGCCCTGCCAGGCCAGTCCCTGAACAGGAGGAGGTGCCAAGTGCCCCAGGTGAATTTGCTGCCAATTGACAGGCAAAGTCTACTTAGCAAAACCCGATTTTCATTGGGCTAGTAGGGCTCAAGCCCCTGAATGAGGCAAAAGAAAACTACTTTGATAGAGTAGTTTCATCCAATTTGGAGATTTCATCACTATGACCCAATTCCATTCACAGGGCCGTAATTGTACCTAAGCAAGAGCAGGTTACCCTCTGGGTCCCCAAAGAGAAGGCTATTTTTCCCAATGGCAGTGTCCACTCACAGTGCAAGTGTGATTCTAAATGGCCTTCCATTAGGCTGGAGGATCTACAGCTCCAGGGGGAGGTCCATCCCAGTCAACCAACAAATGTGTATTGAATGCCTTGTTCATACACGACATCTTGACAAAAGCTGTGAAGGTTATAAGAATGAACCTCTGTCCTGAAAAAATTTAAATCACGCGTGTGGTGGGGGAGGAAGTAAGACGAAAAGTAGAGCATAGTCAAGGGCTTACCTGCAAGTCAAAAAAGGCCCAGAAAGGGAGCTGGCACTGCAGATAGGCATCAGGAATAAATATGATAATGACAGATGGGAAGGAGAAGGGATATGAGGGAAGGAACAAAATGAGATCCATAAGGGCTATTTGATAAAACCTTTGAAAGTCACTTACCAAGGCCAGAGTAAGAAAATGTGCTGTCTCCAGGAAAGCAGGCAGACGCCATATTGCTGAGCACCTTGAAAGTTAGTTATTGAATCTGTAGTAGTGTGTGGACATTCAAGGTTTTTGGGCCAGGGAGTGACAAGATCAGAGACAGCACTTCATTGGTTACCAAGTGGGCAGGCCTCAGGGGGAAGAGCCCACAGTCACTACGTAATGTGATCTGCTGGGGTGCTGAATAGCTCTCTTCCTCTTCATCACTCAAACAGCTCCTCTTAGCCCAATAGGATTTTAACTTTGTTTGAGAGTGTTATCTCCACTTTAAATTAAATGTCTCTAAAAAGGCCAGGTATAATTGAATATGAAGGAACTTAATGGATCCGTCAGTGATAACCCCAGAGGGCTCCCAGAGACTTGAGGAGGAAAAGGGCTGCAGAAGAGGCAGTGAAGGGGTCTCACCCTTCACTGGGACCAACGCTCACCCTTCAGCTCAGGGCCTCTTTCTTGGAAACTGGCTAATTTATCCAAAATGAGGAAACATAGGGAGGAGTTTGGGTCACAAGCTTGAACCACAGATTGATTCCCAGCTTTACACTGACGCTCTACGTGACTTTGCAGCCACTCTCCCTTGAATCCCTCCATGTCATCTGTAAAACGGGTAGAACAGTACATCTTGACCTCCCAGAGATGATTCCCAGATACATAGACACAATGTAAACCAAATTCTTAACCTTATCAATGCTTTGTTAGAGGGGCAACATCATGTTTTTCAAATCACTTTTGGAAGATGCCAATCATAGTTTTGTTTTGGTTTTTTAAGTCCACAGGAAAGGGCAGATGTCCCAGCTCTACCTCATATCATTTAAAAAGTGAACTCTTAAGAATCAGACCCAAGCTGCTGGCCTAGAAGACACTGTCATCTGCACAACTTAGCAACTCACCTCCCAGGTCTCACAGCGACCCCAGCAGGCATCCGTGGTGATCCGAAGGCCCCTGCAGCCTGGCTTCTTGGCCAGGAAAGTAAACTCCCTCACGGCACAGCCCACAAAGGTGCGCAGGTTCCCACTGGAGGCACCGAGGACACAGCCATAGCCAGCCAGAAGGAGGAGGGCCATGGGGCCAAGGAAGAGGAATGCCAGCTTCATGCTGCTCTTCCGGAGAGGGAAAGGACAGAGTTTAACAGATCTGGCTGCCTTCAATGGCACAGCCAACCATGCATTTGTCACTATCAAAGGGACCTTGCTCCTAGCATTTCAGGGAAAATGAGCCCAGAAATTGTAAATGCCCACAAACTCCAACACAGGCATCCAGAGATTCCTGTAACTGGTGCCAGTGTGGATTCCATGGCCCTCTCTAGATGCCCATCCTCCAAGTGCATTCTCAGGCTTTTCCTTATTGTAACTTAACTGCTGCAGTTGACTTGTGTGTTAAAGAAGTTTGTCCCAGTGGTCTTTCCAAAATAAACATAAAATATGAGTAACACCAAAACTAATCCATAATCCAACAGAATACATGAATACATATAAATTATTTTTATTCAGGTCCAGGGTATTTGGGTGCCATGTTACATACTTTGCTCAAAACTATATTTTCAGTGTCATGATGGGGAATGATTTGGAGGGGTTGATAAATATTAATAATAGTATTCCCTATATGCATCGTTACTAAACCAACTCACCACTAAACATGGATATGCAGAAGATATCATGAAACCTATCACCTGAGTTGGTGGCCATTCATAAATGTGTCCTACTCACTGTAAATTGCTTCTGCTCTAGGCTTCCACTGCAACAGCATCTACTTATGATTCAATTTAAATCCAAATGATGGAAAGCATAGGAGTTATTTAAAACATAACCTCAATCCACCGTCAAGTCCACCCTCTCTGGGTCTTGGTCATTCCCCGTGCTCTTTCCGGAGCCAGAATCAACCCCCTTCATGCTTGGCCCACTAGACAGAACTCACGTGGATTTTGAAGTATAAAGGATATGGCATTCATGGACCTTTACCCCCTACTGAATTCATTATTCTCACAGTTCCTACTTCTGACCTTACTGTAGCAAGTTCTCTGGGCTTCCCCTCCTCTGGAATGAGGTTACAAATACGGAGAAGCACTTACCTAATCTTGCAGGAGCCCACTCTTCTTTTAGAGCTGAAACTTGCACTAAGATTTCAGGAAGTCACAATGAATGGTAGAAGTTTGCCCTGGGTAAATGTCTCTACCTTCTGTTACTGGGCTGCTTGATTGCTCAAATATATAGGAAAAGTCTTGTCAATCAAAACAAAAGAGAGGCAGATCCTTACAGGAACTACTAAACACATCAAAGCCATGGAATAGAAAGCCAGTCTCTATTTTCCAAAACTGATTAACTTAAAGGGTGTTGTTTTGTTTCTCAACATCACCTACTGAAATAGAAAGTTACCTTGGTGGGTGGCATAATCCTAAGGAAATAGTCAGAGGTAGTTCCACCTGGTTCTCAGGAGAACAAATGCATTGTGGCAGATGGATTAAATTTTCCTTCATGGTAACCACAAGTTTCCTTTGAAACAGGGGTAAGTGACTAGCAGCTCATGGCAAACCCTTTCCTTTAACCGACAACATGTTTCAATGCACTGAAAAACAACAAAACGATAATTCTTGCTGGAAAGAACACAGGATCACTACCTGAAAAGATGGAAATCACAGTGAGAAGAAACATGTCGAAAGTCTTAAAATTAGCTAAGAATTAGATGATATTAATAACGCCTTAAAATGAATCATTTAGGAAAAAATACCACGATGTTCCAAGTGATTATCTTCCAGCATGGGAATTAAAGAAAACTTTTCATTTCCTTTATATGGTTTTCAGCATTTTTCACATGTTCTACATTGGGCAGACTTTTGTAATAAAGAGTCAGTCAATATCAATGTTTTAAAATTAAAATAAACCAAAAGGTATGCATTTGTTCTGTCTGTAAGGACATTCAGTGCTGCTCTGATAGAGAAGTTTTACAGATTTTTGGTCTTAAATGATTCAAATAAGAACAAAATATTTTTATGAGTATGGGATATAGTTTATATTTCAATCTACAATAACAGCATATGAGTGGATTAAAAATATACTTGTTCATGGCATTTTTCTGGGTGCTCTAAAAAGTAAATGAAGCAGACATCATCTTTGCCCTTAGGAGTTTTGATATCATAGTAAATAATGATGTAGGCAGAGACATTGAAGATGCACACTAACTAACTAGTGAAACAAAGTAAAGAAGTTAAACCATTTCCACTTTCTGCAAAGAAAAGTGTTCTTTAAATAAATGTACTGCTCATTGTAGATTTCATTTTCAAAACAGATAACAATGCCCAGTGAGTCCATCAATTTACCACCCCTCTCTCTAGAGCAGAATTATTATACATGTTTTATAGAATATTGAACTAGGCTTGGAAAAAGGACTTTCTTCAGCGCTTCAGCCTGTGAGTAGCATAACCAGAACTGGAGTACTCTGGGGACGGACTGCTCAGCTGGCCTGATCTTCCTAACTTGCTGGCCAAGAGCTGGCCAGTCGGCAGTGAGCTGCCATCCTGGGCTGTTTCTGAAGACGGCTGCCCAACCCTTTAAGACCTGAAACATACACACTTGTGTCTGCAGAGTCACACAATAAAGACAGATTACAAAGGCCAAGAGCATCTTTCTTTCACAATCCCCAAGTTCTTTATAATGCAGAGATGTGGCATCATGCATTCCACCCTGTCAGCATTAACTTTATAAAAATGACAATTTGGCCGGGCGCGGTGGCTCACGCCTGTAATCCCAGCACTTTGGGAGGCCGAGGCGGGCGGATCACGAGGTCAGGAGATCGAGACCATCCCGGCTAAAACAGTGAAACCCCGTCTCTACTAAAACTACAAAAAATAGCCGGGCGTAGTGGCGGGCGCCTGTAGTCCTAGCTACTTGGGAGGCTGAGGCAGGAGAATGGCGTGAACCCGGGAGGCGGAGCTTGCAGTGAGCCGAGATCCGCCACTGCACTCCAGCCTGGGCGACAGAGCGAGACTCCGTCTCAAAAAAAAAAAAAAAAAAAAAAAAAAAAAAAAAAAAAAACCGACAATTTATAGTCACTAAGCATCTACTATGGTACCATGGAATCTGCTGTGCTCTTACATATGTTATCTCTAGACCTTACAACAATTCTTTATGTCAATTATTATTTTCTCATTTTTACATTGGAAGAAATAGAAACTCAATCGTTTTGTAACCTGCCTACTTCCAAAGCCTTCAACAACACTGGGAAAGGCAAATGGGTCTATTTCATCCCTGTAACCAACTACAGTTAATGGGAAGAGGCTACTTGGAATGTTGTGTTAAAGAAGGCAGCTGAAATCATTCTAAGGGCAAAGGGCAGTGGCCCATCAGCTTCATCCTGGGTGTAGGAAAGGAGAATGGTGTACGGATGCCACCTTTTGCAATCTAGGCCGTGTCGCACCTCTCTGTGGACAGAGTGAGAGTTTGTAGCGTGACTTCAAAGGCTAATTAATGCCCTGCTACCTACGGAATATCTCTGCACCATGGTGTGCATGTGCCTGCCACCTTCCCTTCAATCTACATTGAAGTTCCCACCATTAAAGTCCCTCTCTTGAGGTAGCAAAGAAACATATGAGTAATGACTCCAAGGATAGACTCTGGAGAATCTTCTCTCCTTTTGTTCCATGATCATCTTCACATGGATTTATTGTCACCTTGGAGGGTGAGGCACAAGATATACGTTCATTAGGGGCAGAAAGAAAGGAGAAGTTGTGTATGTGAGCAATCATCTTGAATTCCAGGGGGATCGTGACTCCAGAGGAAGGAGCCAAGTGTTAGTGCCTCAAAGGGGTGACTGAGAAACTGAGACCTGGTCCAGGGAAGGCAGTCCCACGTGGGGAAATCCTGGGGTGCACACTGTGTGCAGGAGATGGAGACACTGACAGAGCCTGGAAACACTCCCTTCCCTCCCGCAGCCATGTTGATTCTCAGTGGCACAATCTCCTTTGGGACTACCTTGAGCAAGTCACTTCTCTGAGCCTCAGTTTCTTCATCTGTAACACAGTGGGGTTGGACCCTGTGACTCCTAAGGCCCTTCCCAGCTCCAGAATTTAAATATTTATAAACTATTTTATGAGCACAAGAAGCTGAGGACAAGTCAGAGAGAGAGTGCGGAAGGTTACACAACCATAAAGTCAGCTACATTGTGCTGAAATCTTGATTCTGACACTCGCCAACTTATGATCTTGCACAAGTCTAGTAGCCCACCTGAGTCTCAGCTTCCTACAAAATTGAAAATGCCTCCATCATAGGGGTCATGTGAGGATTCTACAAAATAATGTCTATAAATTACTTCTCACAGGGCTTGATACATGATGAGCAGGCAATAATTATTGTTTCTCTTTCCTTCCCTGGAAATGCATCACTATCATGTGTACCACTAAGAAATAAAAAGCTGCCAATAAAAAATTACATCACACCAGCAATTGTTAGGCATATCCTGATTTCGAAGATATTAGAGGTGAAAAAAAAAATGTGAGTCTGAGAAGAGAAGAAGCAAAGTCTTTGGGGACTATGAGACCTCACCAGCATTCTGAAACCAGGACATGGGTAAGCACCAACCTTGCTTTCCCAGCCAACATGGGGTGCTTTAATCTGACACTAAAATTAACAACATGTTTTCAGTAGAAGAAAAAATCTAAAGTGTTAGGCTTAATTTTTAAAGTCCAAATCTCATATTTTGAGGGTAAAACTTTATCACAGTTGCAAATTTCAATATATTAATAAATCTTCATAAACACTCAATTTCAGTTCTGACCAAATATGGAGTCAAACCAACTAAGCCAACCAATGCTCACTGAGCACCCACTGTTCTTGCACAGGTATTAAATGAGAGCCCACAGGAACTAAGCTGCTTGCTGCATCACTTAAATCCAACTCTTAAGAGTTTAGAAAAGATGCGCATGCTCTAGTATGTTTTTCCACACTGTGTTCTCAAAATACACAATGCTCTACCCAAGGGTCAAATTAATTAGCATTATGCTTCCCATGGGTGGAAAAAAAGCCACAAATGAAGCTATGAGTTTCAAGGAACTAATAGAATTAATGACAGAAGAAAGGTCAGCCTTGAATTTTATAAAGTGGTATGTTGCTTTTAATACTGCTTATTTTCCGCAGAGGAGAGGGGAGGAATTCCGGGCATATGAATGAAGATGAATAGTGAAGACTTGGAAGAAATTAATTTTATTGAAAAGTCATTTCTTCCTTTCAAAGCACTGGGTATTTGTGGGTCAGCTCCTCATGTTATTGACTTAAAGAGATAACATTTGCCCGAGATGATGGTGCAGTTGCTATGGGAACATTTTTTTAACAAGACTAAAAATAATGACTCCTGTGTCTGATTTACTAGGACAAGTCAAGCCTTTCTCCATAACTGTCTGAAAGAATTATCTGTCAGTCGTCACAGATTTATTTCAAATTAAGGGGTACATGGTTTAGGCGCTGAAGTGAAATGTTTTTATTTCCGCCTGACTCTTCCACTTTTGAATATCATAGCTTTGCAGGGCATGGCAGACACATGCCTAACAGGGAGAAACAGAGCAGAGTTTAATGAGTCACAAAGAGGCATTCTTTATTTCAGGTGCATCCTGTATTCTCATTGGAATGAGTCCACAAAGCTGCTGGGTCCCCAAACTCTTCATTTGTAATTCCCAGGGCAGTCACACAGACAAGGCCAAGGTTTTTGTTAGCTAAGCTTCGAAGCAACAGCACTTCATTTGTTAGCGCTTGACTTTGTTCCAGAAAAGATTCCTAGGCTCCTGGCCACTGACTATGCACACGTGTGTCTGTGTGTGTCCATCTCTACGCTCCAGTGATGGGAGGATGGAGAAGGGGAGAAGAGAGCTGTTCTACTCGCCAGAGTGTTATATCATTTAACTAACAGGTATTAAGCAACTACTGTCTCACACTGGGGTCGCTGGGTTTATTTTAAAAAATTAAAATATAATGATGTTGGGAGGTGGTGGGCGGGGGGAGCGGGGGTGAGCTAACAACTGAGAGTTCTCAAAGATTTCTTTCCTCCTTCCTTTCCTTTTCCTACTCCCTCCGTCCCTCCTTCTCTCTGGGATTCTGTATTTTATTGAGCACATCATCGAGTGTTACCATATGTCAGATACATACAAAGAAAATTTGATGCACATATGAACGAAGCTAACAAGCTGTCCTCAAAGTGTCAATAGTCTAAAGAGGATGATAAATAAATCAACATATATGGACCTAAAAACTGCATCCTTGGTCATTTACCCCAGAGAAATGGAAATTTATATTCACATAAAAACCTACACATGTTCAAAGCAGCTTTATTCATAATAGCCCCAAACTGGAAACAACTCAAGGGCCCCTCAACAGGTGCATGGTTAAACAAACTGTAGTACATCTGTAACACGGAATATTACTCACCAATAAAAGGGAATAAACACACAATTTAGATGGATCTCCAGAGAATTATGCTGAGTGGAAAAAAGCTAATCCTGAAAGGCTATGTACTGTATGATTCCATTTATATAACATTCTTGAAATAACAAAGTTATAGAAATGGAAACTAGACCAGTGGTTGCCAGGGGTTAATAGGGGTCAGGTAAGGGTCAGGGTTGGGGAGGAAGCGTCATGGTTATAAAAAGACAACATGAAGAATTTTTGCACTGATGGAAATGTTCTGTCTCTTTTTTTGTTTGTTTGTTTGTTTGTTTTTTGAGACAGAGTTTCACTCTGTCACCCAGGCTGGAGTGCAGTGGCAGAATCTTGGCTCACTGCAAACTCCGCCTCCCGGGTTCAAGCGACTCTCCTGCCTCAGCCTCCCAACTAGCTAGGATTACGGGTGCACACCACCACGCCTGGCTATTTTTTTGTATTTTCAGTAGAGATGGGGTTTCACCACATTGGCCAGGCTGGTTTTGAACTCCTGACCTCAGGTGATCCACCCACTTCGGCCTCCCAAAGTGCTGGGATTACAGGCATGAGCTACTGCACCCAGTAGGAAATGTTCTGTCTCTTGACTGCAGTGGTGGATACACAAAAGAAAGATAAAATTGCATAGAACTAAACACACAAATACAAGCAAAATGGGAACTCTGAACCAGATCAGTCATTACATCAACGCCAATACCCTCATTGTGATATCGTATAATAGTTTTGCAAGATGTTATCATTGAGGGAGACTGGGAAAAGGGTACAAGGGGTGTCTCTATATTCTTATAACTGCATATGAATCTACAATTTTCTCAAAATAAAAAATTTGACTTTTGAAAATTGACATAACAGTAAATGTGATAAGTCCTATGATAAAAATGACAATAGGAGGCTCTGGGAGCTTAGACTAAGGTGTGGGGGCCGGGCATGGTGGTTCATGCCCGTAATCCCAGCACTTTGGGAGGCTGAGGCGGGCGGATCACCTGAGGTCAGTAGTTCAAGACCAGCCTGGTCAACATGGCGAACCCCGTCTCTATTAAAAATATAAAAATTAGCCAGGCGTGGTGGCATGCACCTGTAATCCCAGCTACTAGGCAGGCTGAGGCAGGAGAATCGCTTGAACCTAGGAAGTGGAGGTTGCAGTGAGCCAAGATCACACCACCACACTCCAGCCTGGGCGACAGAGCAAGACTCTTGTCTCAAAAAAAAAAAAAAAAAAAAAAGGTGTGGGGAGGAGTGTTGTCAGGAGAGACTTCCTTGAGAGGGGATTCCAGTTAGTTATTGAAGGGGTAGTGGGAGAGAGACAGAGAGTGAAAGAAAATGTATTCCAGGCAGAAGATACCACATACAGAGCAAGGGCTTTGTCGGTCTTGTTCACCACTATTTCTCCAATGCCTAGAACACTGCCTGGCTCACAGTTAATTATCAAAAACTGTTGCGTGAATAACTGAACACACGAATGAGGGTGTGATGAGTTTTTCTTTCATCATGATTGAGCATAAAGTATATTCAGGAAGAGCCAGGGCCAAGAATGGTAGCAGAAGGTCGGATGCAGATCGGGCACTCTGAAAGGTCCCCACGGTATAGTAAGGAGAAAGACAGAGCAAACAAACTGGCTGGGGAGGTTACTACAGTGACCTAGGCGAGTACTTTGCCTACAACTTCAGATACTGAAAGCCCTTCATGGTAAGTTCTATGTCTACAGGAGAGGTATCCAATAAAGATAGAAGTCACATATGCAATGTTAAATTTTCTAGTAGTCACATTTAAAAAGGTAAAAAAAAAAAAACTGGTAAATTAATTTAAATAATCAGTAGGTAATAACTGCTAGAAATAAAATAGATTTTATTTAACCCAACATTACCTAAAATGTCCATGTTTCAACATGTAATCAACATAAAAAGTTATTGATGAAATATTTCACACTCTTTTTTTTTTGTTTTTTTTTTTGAGACGGAGTCTCGCTCTGTCGCCCAGGCTCTGGAGTGCAGTGGCACAAACTTGGCTCACTGCAAGCTCTGCCTCCCGGGTTCATTCCATTCTCCTGCCTCAGCCTCCCTAGTAGCTGGGACTACAGGTGCCCACGACCACACCCGGCTAATTCTTTTGTATTTTTAGTAGAGACGGGGTTTCACTGTGTTAGCCAGGATAGTCTCGATCTCCTGACCTCGTGATTTCACACTCTTTTGACATCCTTTATTTTTATATTAAGTCTTTGGAACCTGGTTGGCATTGGCTGGGTGCAGTGGCTTACACCTATAATCCTAGCATTTTGGGAGGCCAAGGCGGGAGGATCGCTTGGGCTCAGGAGTTTGAGACCAGCCTGGGCGACATGGCAAAAACCTATCTCTACAAAAAAAAAAAAAAAATACAAAAATGAGCTGGGCTTGGTGGCTCATGCCTGTAGTCCCAGCTACTTGGGAGGCTGAGGTGGAAGGATCCCTTGAGCCCAGGAGGTCATGGCTGCAGTGAGCTGTAATCATGCCACTGCACTCCTCCGGCCTTGGTGAAAGAAGCCGGTTGGCAATGATAGCACATATAATTGGCCACACATCTCATCCAAAAGGCCACATTTCAAGAGCTACATGTGGTGGCTACCATATTGGACAGTGCCGATGCTTCCCAGTGGCAAGAAGTAATTATTTGAGCTCCTTCTAGACCCTGTTCAAGTAGCATATCTATTAATTCTTACAACAATAACCACCGCAAACCTATGAACTGTTTTATTACCTACCCTTTCTGACAAGTTAAACAAATTAAACATGGCTTTCCAGCTAAGCAGCGATGGAGCTGGGATTCAAATTTGGCTCTGGCTGACTGATTTGCACTGTATCAGGCTGCTTTAGCCACTTTGTTATACTGCTCCCGTGAGAAACCTTGGCCTAAAGTGAGGGGATCATTAGATCACCCTTATAGAAATATCTGAGTCCTCACCAGCTGAGCCCATGCAGCTGATGCGTGTGAAATTTCAAAGCTTAAAGCCGTGAGTCCATAAAAGAGAATGTTTTTTCTGAACTTATCAAAATGCTCATTTACCCAGAACCATGATTTCTGATCTGCTGAACCAAATTACTGGATTTGAACATCTCAATCTTTAGAAATATGCCTGTTTGCCTAACTCAGTCACTGCTTCTTACCTTAACAACACTGAAGAGCCTGCATCGGAGTGATTTATAGATAGAAATTTCTCCTACGCAGAGATGGCCCTGACATTTCATGAACAATGAAGCCAGAATGGTAATCAGGTCCAGAAAAGAAAAACTAATATAATCAAGAAGATGGAGGACTTTTATAATGAAGAATAGGATTGAAAAAAAATGCAACCCAGGCTGGAGGGATGGAAAATACAACATAAGATCTCGAAGCCATCACAACTGTGAGTGTACTGAACAGCAGCATTTTAACAACTAATGTAAGACCCATTTCTGCCTGTGGCTCCTGGGTCCTGAGTGTCCCTTGGAGTCAGTGACCCACCTTTGCAAAATACTGGCCAAAGATTAGAGATATAGTTTGAGACTTAAGAGCTGGGTAATGTATAAGCCTTAAACTCAAGATTCTGGGTTAACAAGCCATGGATAGAAAACAAACTAGACCCAGGACAGAAAGCTGAAACAGCGTGGATATTAAGCACATAAACATCTAACACTATTTATTGATTTCCTCACTATCTACTTGATCTCCTTATTTGGATGTCACAGAAACAGTGCAACCTCATTATGTCCCAAACAAAGTTCATTATCTTTCTCCCCAGGCTCTTTCCCATCCTATTCATCTTGTTTTTCATCTCTGTAAACAATACCACCTGAGATTCATTCTAGATACCTCCCTATCTGATATCCTACCTCCACCACACACACACAGTCCTGTGGTTCTATCTCCCAAATGCCTTGTGACTGACCCAGCCTTCCTAATTCAGAGCCCTTGAAGACACCTCTTACTGATGCCTCTCCTCTGCCTTCACACTTACCCTTTCATCTCCCCAACTCCTGCCTCTGCTTTGCCTCTGCTCATTGTCTAGCACTTGGCTTAGCTGCTGCTTCCTTCTGGAAGCCCGCCCTGATCCTGATCCTCCAAGTCTGAGGTTGGCACCCAGGCCATGTGCTCTCATCAAGTACCTCCCCTACAGCAGTTCCTTTCACACTGCATCATCAGTGATAGTTCATTTGTCTCTAGCCCCTATCAGACCATTAGCTCCAAGTACCTATGCCCGCCATGACTCTCCTGCCCACTCTTACATCCTCCATGCCTGCACACAGTAGCCAATAAACACTTAAGGAAACAACTGACTAAATGATTGTGGAGAACACTAAATACCACTTATTCTCATTTTCTCCTGACTCATATCTTTGTCAGTCTCCGTTAAAGTTTGGCAAATATTTCCAGAACAGCAAATAGTCAATCCAAAAAGACTTCCCTTCCCATATCTAAATGAGAACTCAGTGGGCCAGTGCAGATGCCATCATGAAACACCAAGAGCTTTGTGTTGGTGCAGTGTGGGACCCACACAAGGGGGTGTGAGCTTACCCAAGCAACAAGTGGTCCTGGAAGCATTAGGTTCAGGCAGCTGGGTCAGCACCACTCCCTATTATCTTCTTTCCCATCACAGGACATTAAACCTGATCACTTTCACCCCACACCAATTTGAACCAATTCCTCCTTGTGAAGGGTCAGTGTACACATCTGCTTCTTGGCATTTTGCTCTGTTTGGCTGGGTGTTATGACATTAACTTCAATTACTTCAGGGAGAAAAAAACATTTTCCCTCTCTGCAGCTTGAAATATCTCATCAAAGAAATGTGGAGAGTATGGAAATTAGATTTGATTGACAGCCAGCTATTTGCTTCCATCACTTCTGCCATTCTGTAGCTTTCTTTGGATAAAGGAGTTTGGGCTCTTCTGACAGCCCAGTGGGCAACAACCTCATTTTAATAATCCTCTCCCCTCAGGGGAAAAAGTAAAGACGGAAACTTCATAATGAAATTACTGTGCCTCAAAGATGTAGTAACTAGATTCTTCCTTTTTGCATTGTTCATGTCCGGGGCTCTGGAAACAAGATACACATTTCAGGCATGCCTAACACTTATTAATGCTCTATTTTCTGAACTGCCTTGAAGATAGATAAGGCCTTCAGCAGGCTAGGCCAAGAACATCAAGTTTTAGAAATACTATTGAAACACACACACACACTCAGTTCAACTCCATTCATCACATAAAATTATGGATCTAATTTCTCAGTTGAAAAAATTAAAAGACCCTTTTATTTTTAGACTCCCATGTAATCTTTTTTTCCCCCAGTATTATGATAGGATTGGCTGAGGTCGAGGTGATTATCTTCCATTCTCACTTCTCCGTGGCAGGCAAGACGGAAAAGCCTGGGCAGGATACATGTGGCCTCTGTCTCTCTACTCCACGCTCCCACCCTGAGTCTCTTATCTGAGTGGTGAGATTGGAAAATAAACATGGTGACTCAACATTTTGGAGATTTTAAAATTCAGGAAGATTTATCTCTTAGGATGGTTTTGGCTGCAAGTTACAGGTACAAGCCACTGAGGGGGCATAAACTTACTTTAGTTTAAGTAACAAGAAGCCCAGAGTCAGGGAGATCTGCCATTGGTGTTGCTGCTCTACAATGTCATAAAGGACCCAGATGCTTTCCTTTTTTCTGTTCTGCCATCCTCAGCATGTTGACATGCCTCCCCACCTCCAGCCTTAGTGTCCTGAAACAGCAACAGCTAAAGCAAAAAGGAAGGGAATCAAGAGAGGAAGGTATCTTGTTCCAAGCGTCTCTCTTTCAAAAGAGGAAAAGTCTTATAGAAGTTTCCTGCAGATTTCCTCCTTAATCACATGATCTAGATATCAAGGAAGGCTGAGAATAACGGTATCAGGCATTTTCAGCCTCTATAGTTGGAGACCAGCTCTGCTGGAAAGGGATAAAAGCAAGGAATAGCTGTAGGGTAGATAACCACCAGTGTCTGTCAAATGTGTAGCTTCAATTCAGGGCAAAGGTCATTTGACTACATATCAAGCTATACTCTCATTTAACTTCGTTCAATAAGAAAGCCAATATTTTTATCTCCTCCTGTCAGATTCTTGCATCTTATTTTTCTATTAGTTCCAAGCTCAGAGCAAAGAAAGGAACATAATTACTTATTACCTCTGAACACTAACAATTACTGCCAGGAGCATTGTTGACTGTAGGAAAAGCAACCACCACCCATTTTTGGGCCACAATTTCTTTATCTGAAAAGCAAGGGGGCTGGATGAAAGCATCTTTAACGCCCTTTCCAGCCCTGACGGTTTATGATCCCATGACTGTGCATTCAAATGCCTCCATGCAGTGAATCAAATCATAAGCACCCTTAAAAAATGTTATGAAAGGAAGAAATTTGACTGACATCGACTCGCATTGGCCTTAGGGAATCAAAACTTTGAAGCCAGTGTCAGTTTAATAAAAATATGAACTTACGAATGTGCCCCAGCCATGTTATTGAAAATAGCCATGTAATAGGCTTACAAGACTTTAGGAAAATTGCTGCTACCTTAAGAATGAGTTGTATAAGGCAAGCAGAATGACAAGGCACTAAAATGGATCTCTCCTTCATCAATTTCATTAAGCAATCATTAAGAGACCAACGACCTGTCTTGTAGTGCCACCATCTTCAAGATGTTACCTATAAAACCACGACGGAAGGGAAAAAGGGAGCCTGGAGAATTGTGTAAACCTGAAAGTGGGTACATCATTTTCACCCACACTACACTGGCCGTAACTAAGTCTTATGGCCCTGACCTAACTGCAAGTAAGGCTAGGGAATAAAGTTGTCCTGTCTACCCAAGAAGATGAAATAAATTGGTGAACACACAATTATTGTTCCCACCATAGCTTCTTCACATTTCTATGGAGCAATGCCTTCAAATTCTAATGAAAATGATTTTTATCTCCAAATTCTATACCCAACCAAACCTTCAGTCAAGCATGAGAGTAGAATAAAAAAAAATACAGACATGAGAGATCTCAAAAATTGTATACTCCACACACCCTTTCTCAGGAAGCTACCACATAATGTAAACAAGGAAGTATATAAAAGAAGAAGCAACTATCTAACATAGGAATCAGGGACCCAATGCAGAAAAGAGTTGAAGTCCCGAAATAATAGCTGTATAGTAGGTCTAAAGAGCAGCAAATCTAAACCGGAGCAGCAGGGTAACTGCATTTGAAGGATGGAGAAAGGGGAAATGGGCTGGTGACCTATTCTATCACCAGGTCTTAGCTTATGCTGCTCGCTCATGTTCCATAATAGGAAGTCAACAAATAAAGCCTAAAATTTATAAATTGATAAATAGCAGTACAGGCATATTACTTATAAATGGAGAAGTAAATTCCAAAAGAAACAGCCAAAAAGAGTTGAAAATGGTTGCCCCAGGATAGCTGTACCTGGAGGAGAGGGGAAGGTTGAGCAAGAGAATGCCATTTTTTATTGTAACTCTTGGTATAGTATTTGACTTTTTAACCATGTAATATATTTTTGTGCTAAAAGATTTGACATGTTTTTAAGTAAAGATGAGAGAGGGAGATAGAAGTTTTTATAATCTTGAGAAGAGGGAGGATTGTGGCAGACAGGAGGCAGGACTAGATTGCAGTTCCTACTCAGACAGAGCATCATGTGGAGTCTTGCGTCATAAACTTTTACTCTAGAACTACTGCAGGAATATATCAGGAAAGCTGAGAGAACCCACAGGCCCTCTGAAGGAAGTGTATTGCTCCTGCAGGACCCAAGAGACACCCCAAATACTGTGAGTGTCCAAACTGTGGAAATGGGAAAGGGGGATCGTCCACCCCCAAACACACACCCTCACTGGGGAATCCGAAGGCCTAGATTATGGGAGAAGATTCTGACCTTACCTAGAGCTGAGTCAATTTAGAGAGCCCAGTGAAATACATGGGTAGAGGAAGCAGCGGGAAAAGCCCGGTGAGCTCTCTGGATCCTCTAGGAAGCAATTTCTGCCTTGCCTCACAGGAGTACTTGGGGAGGGCTGCCAGAGGCACTGGGAAAAGGCCACAGGGAGAAGGAAACCTCCACCTGAACTTTGTAGCAATTCCAACCAAACGAGAAGTCTCCTGGCCAGAACTCGGGGGTGGGCTTGAATCCAGGGTACAGACTCCACAGGCAGGGAAGGACGAGAGCCCTACTTGCTTTTGCGCTGGGAGGCGGGTAGCCTGGGGCAAGTTCTCAGCCCTGCTCACCCACTGCCTGGAAACAGACTCCGTGCTGTTGCAAGGGGCACGGTGGGAGTGAGATCGGCCTTTTGGATTGCATGGGAGCTGGGTGAGGCCTGTGGCTGCCATCTTTCCCCAACTTCCCTGACAACCTGCATGACACAGCAGAGGTAGCCATAATCCTCCTGGGAACATAACTCCATTGACCTGGGAACCACACCAGCCTCAGCAAGACCCACCCAAGGAGAGTTTGAGCTCAGACACGCCTAGCCCTGCCCCCACCTGATGGTCCTTCCCTACCCACTCTGGTAGCTGAAGACAAAGGGCATAAATTCTTGGGAGTTTTAGGGCCCTGCCCACCACCTGACCCTCCCCATACTACCACAGCTGATACTCTCTTGAAAGCACCACCTTCTGGCAGGAGGCCAACCAGCACAAAAATAGTGCATCAAACAACCAAAACTAAAGACCCTCACAGAGTCCATTTCATCCCTCTGCCACCTCCACAAGAGCAGGTGCTCATATCCACAGCTGAGAGACCCACAGATGGTTCACATCACAGGGCTCTGTGCAGACAACCCACAGTACCAATCCAGAGCCTAGCAGACATGCTAGTGGCTCAATCCAGAAGAGAGATAGCAATCACTACAGCTTGGCTCTCAGGAAGACACATCCCTAGGAAAACTGGGAGAATACTACATCAAGGGAACACCCTGTAGGACGAAAGAATCTGAACAACAGCCTTCAGCCCTAGACCTTCCCTCTGACAGAGTCTACCCAAATGAGAAGGAACCAGAAAACCAACTCTGGTAACATGACAAAACAAGGTTCTTTAACACCCCCAAAAAATCATGCTAGCTCACCAGCAATGGATCCATACCAAGAAAAAAATCTCTGATTTATCTGAAAAAGAATTCAGAAGGTCAGTTATTAAGCTAATCAAGGAGGCACCAGAGAAAAGTGACACCCAACTTAAGGAAATAAAAAAAAAATGATACATGAGGAGAGAAATCTTCAGTGAAATAGATAGCATAAATAAAAAACAATCAAAACTTCAGGAAACAATAGACGCACTTATAGAAATGCAAAAAAAAAATGCTTTGGAAAGTCTCAGCAATAGAATTGAACAAGCAGAAGAAAGAACCACAGAGCTCAAAGACAAGGTTTTTGAATTAACCCAGTCCAACAAAGACAAAGAAAAATGAACACAAAAATAAGAACAAAGCCTCCAAGAAGTCTGGGATTATGTTAATGACCAAACCTAAGACTAACTGGTGCTCCTTAGGAAGAAGAGAAATCTAAAAGTTTGGAAAACATATTTGGGAGAATAATTGAGGAAAACTTCCCCAGCCTTGCTAGAGACCTAGACACCCAAATACAAGAAGCTCAAAGAACACCTGGGAAATTCATTGCAAAAAGATCATCACCTATGCACATACTCATCAGTTTATCTAAAGTCAAAACAAAGGAAAGAATGTTAAGAGCTGTGGGGCAAAAGCATCAGGTAACCTATAAAGGAAAACCTATCAGATTAACAGCAGATTTCTTAGCAGAAACCCTACAAGCTAGAAGAGACCGGGGACCTATCTTCAGCCTCCTTAAAACAAAACAATTATCAGCCAAAAATCTTGTATGCAGTGAAATTAAGCTTCATAAATGAAAGAAAGATACAGTCTTTTTCAGACAAACAAATGCTGAGAGAATTCCCCACTACCAAGCCATCACTACAAGAATTGCTAAAGGAGCTCTAAATCTTGAAACGAATCCTGGAAACACATCAAAACAGAACCTCTTTAAAGCATAAATCACACAGGACCTATAAAACAAAAATACAATTAAAGAAAAAAAAAGGTATACAGGCAACAAGTAGCATGATGAATGGAATAGTACCTCACATCTCTATACTAACATTGAATGTAAATGGCCTAAATGCTCCACTTAAAAGATGCGGAATGGCAGAATGGATAAGAATTCACCAACCAACTATCTGCTGCTTTTGAGAGACTCACCTAACACATAAGAACTCACATAAACTTAAGGTAAAGGGGTGGAAAAATACATTCCATGCAAATGGACACCAAAAGTGAGCAGGAGTAGCTATTCTTAGATAAAACAAACTTTAAAGCAACAGCAGTTAAAAGAGACAAAGAGGGACGTTATATAATTATAAAAGGACTAGTCCAACTTTGTGAGCCAAGGTGGGCGGATCACGAGGTCAGGAGATTGAGACCATCCTGACTGACACGGTGAAACACTGTCTCTACTAAAAAAAATACAAAAAATTAGCTGGCCATGGTGGTGGGCGCCTGTAGTCCCAGCTACTTGTGAGGCTGAGGCAGGAGAATGGCATGAACCTGGGAGGCAGAGCTTGCAGTGAGCCGAGATCGTGCCACTGCACTCCAGCCTGGGCAACAGAGCAAGACTCTGTCTCAAAAAAAAAAAAAAGAAGGACTAGTCCAACAGGAAAATATTACAATCTTAAATATATATGTACCTAACACTGGAGCTCCCAAATTTATAAAACAATTATTACTAGGCCTAAGAAGTGAGAGAGAGAGCAACACAATAAAGTGGGGGACTTCAATACTCCACTGACAGCACTAGACAGGCCATCAAGACAGAAAGTCAACAAAGAAACAATGGATTTAAACTAAAACCTAAAACAAATTGACTTAACAGATATTTAATATTTACAGAACATTCTACCCAACAACTGCAGAATATACATTCTATTCATCAGTACATGAAACATTCTCCAAGATAGAACAAACAATAGACCACAAAACAAGCCTCAATAAGTTTAAGAAAATTGAAATTATATCAAGCACTCTCTCAGACCTCACAGGAATAAAACTGGAAATCATTTCCAAAAGGAACCTTCAAAACCATGCAAATCCATGGAAATTAAATAACCTGCTCCTGAATGATCAATGAGTGAACAGTGAAATCAAGATGGAAATTTAAAAATTCTTCAAACTGAATGACAATAGTGATACAACCTATCAAAACCTCTGAGATACAGCAAAGGCAGTGCTAAGAGGAAAGTTCAAAGCCCTAAATCCTATATCAAAAAGTCTGAAAGGGCATAAACAGAAAATCTAAGGTCATATGTCAAGGAACTAGAGCAAAAAGAACAAACCAAACCCAAACCCAGCAGAAGAAAGTAAATAACCAAGATCAGAACAGAACTAAATGAAATTTAAACAAAAAAAATACAAACATAAATTTAAAAGCTCATTCTTTGAAAAGATAAATAAAATTGAGAGACAAGATTAACCAAGAAGAGAAGAGAGAAAATCCATATAAGCTCAATTAGAAACAAAATGGGAGATATTACAACTGACACCACAGAAATACAAAAGATCACTCAAGGCTACTATGAACACCTTTATGCACATAAAACTAGATAACCTAGAGAAGATGGATAAATTCCTGGAAAGACACAACCCTCCTGGCTTAAATCAGGAAGAATTAGATACGCTGAACAGACCAATAGCAAGCAGCAAGATTGAAGTGGTAATTTAAAAATGGCCAACAAAAAAATGCCAGGCCAGACAGATTCACAGCAAAATCCTACCAGACATTCAAAGAATAATTGGTACCAAACCTACTGACACTATTCCACAAGATAGAGAAAGAGGGAATCCTCTCTAAATCATTCTATGAAGCCACTATCACCCTAATACCAAAACCAGGAAAGTACATAACCAGAAAAGAAAACTATAAACCAATATCCCTGATGAACATAGATGCAAAAATCCCTAACAAAATACTAGCTAACTGAATCCAACAACATATCAAAAACATAATCTATCATGATCAAGTGGGCTTCATACCGGAGATGTGGGGATGGTTTAATATGCAAGTCAATAAATGTGATACACCACTTAAACATAATTAAAACAAAAATCACATGATTATCTCAATAGATGCGGAAAAAGTATTCAACAAAATCCAGCATCCCTTTATGATTAAAACTCTCAGCATAATCAGCATACAAGGGACATACCTCAATGTAATGAAAGCAATCTATGACAAACCCACAGCCAACATAATACTGAATAGAGAAAAATTGAAAGCATTCCCTCTGAGAACTGGAACAAGACAAGGATACCTACTCTCACCACTTCTCTTCAACACAGCACTGGAATTCCTAGCCAGGGCAGTCAGACAAAATAAAGAAATAAAGGGCATCCAAATCGGTAAAGAGGAAGTCAAGCTGTTGCTATTTGCTGATATGATTGTATATCTAGAAAACCCTAAAGACTTCTCCAAAAAGCTCCTAGAACTGATAAGAGAATTCAGCAAAGTTTCCAGATGCAAAATTAACGTACACAAATCGGTAGCTCTCCTATACACCAACAGCAACCAAGCTGAGAATCAAATCAGAACTCAATCTCTTTTACAATAGCTGCAAAAAAAACAAAAAACAAAAAACAAACAACAAAAAAAAACTTAGGAATATACCTAACCAAGGAGGTGAAAGATGAAAGACCTCTACAAGGAAAACTACAAAACACTGCTGAAAGAAATCATAGATGACACAAACAAATGGAAACACATCCCATGTTCATGGATGGGTAGAATAAATATCATGAAAATCACCATACTGCCAAAAGCAATCTACAAATTCAATGCAATTCCCATCAAAATGCCACCACCATTCTTCACAGAACTAGCAAAACAATCCTAAAATTCATATGGAACCAAAAAAGAGCCCACATAGCTGAAGGAAGACTAAGCAAAAAGAACAAATCTGGAGGCATCATATTACCTGATTTCAAACTATACTATAAGGCCATAGTCACCAAAACAGCATGGTACTGGTACAAAAATAGGTATATACACCAATGGAATAGAATAGAGAACCCAGAAATAAACCCAAATACTTACAGCACCAACTGATCTTTGACAAAGCAAACAAAAACATAAAGTGGGGAAAGGACACCCTATTCAACAAATGGTGCTGGCATAACTGGCAAGCCACATGTAGGAGAATGAAACCAGATCCTCATCTCTCACCTTATACAAAAATCAACACAAGGTAGATATAGGAACTAAACCTAAGACCTGAAACTATAAAAATTCTGGAAGATAACATCAGAAACCCCCTTCTAGATATTGGCTTAGGCAAAGATTTCATGACCAAGAGGCTAAAAGCAAATGCAGTAAAAACAAAGATTAATAGCTGGGACTTATTTAAACTAAAGAGCTTTTGCATGGCAAAAGGAACAGTCAGCAGAGTAAACATACAACCCACAGAGTAGGAGAAAATCTTCACAATCTACACATCTGACAAAGGACTAATCTTCAGAATCTATAATGAACTCAAACCAATTAGCAAGAGAAAAACAAACAATCCCATCAAAAAGTGGGCTAAGGACAGGAATAAGCAATTCTCAAAAGAAGACATACAAATGGCCAACAAACATATGAAAAAATGCTCAACATCACTAATGATCAGGGAAATGCAAATCAAAACCACAATGCGATACCACCTTACTCCTGCAAGAATGGCCATAATCAAAAAATCAAAAAATAACAGATGCTGGCATGGATGCAGTGAACAGGGAACACTTTTACACTGCTGGTGGGAATGTAAACTAATACAATCATTATGGAAAACAGTGTGGAGATTCCTTAAAGAACTAAAAGTAGAACTACCATTGGATCCAGCAATCCCACTACTGGGTATCTACCCAGAGGAAAAGAAGTCATTATGCAAAAAAGATGCTTGCACACACATATTTATAGCAGTACAATTCGCAATTGCAAAAATGTGAAACAAACCCAAATGCACATCAGTCAACAAGTGGATAAACTGTGGTATATATATAAGATGGACTACTACTCAGCCATAAAAAGGAATGAATTAATGGCATTCCTAGCAACCAGGATGAGATTGGAGACTATTCTTCTAAGTGAAGTAACTCAGGAATGGAAAACCAAACATCATATATTCTCACTCATAAGTGGGAGCTAAGCTATGAGGATGCAAGGGCATAAGAATGATGCAATGGACTTTAGGAACTTAGGGAGAAAGGATGGGAAGGGGGTGAGGGATAAAAGACTACAAATTGGGTGCAGTGTATACGCTTGGGTGATGGGTGCACCAAAATCTCACACATCACCGCTAAAGAACTTATGTAACCAAATACCACCTGGTCCCCTATAACCTATGGAAATAAAAAATTTAAAAATAAGTAAATAAATAAGTTTTTATAATCTTTTCCTTTATTGTACCCAAAGGTCTCACCTAGGCCCTTATCATGTCCTCAGAAGGTCAAGGAGAGAAAAAGGAAACAAAGTAAATGTGCACATATATAACACCTTTTTTGAACCCCAAGCAGAATATTTTCTCCTTCATCCAATTAAAAAAAAAAAAAAAAAAAAACAAAACTTGCCAATGGCCCCCCTTCCTGAAGAATTTCAAGGGGAAAAGGGAAAGGGCTGGTCACAATAGATCTGGCCTGAATTTGTCTGTTCTCATACTGATATAAAGAAATACCTAAGTCCGGGTAATTCATAAAGAAAAGAGGTTTAATTGGCTCATGGTTCCACAGGCTGTACAGGAAGCATGGCTGGGGAGGACTTAGGAAACTTACAATCATGGTAGAAGGTGAAGGGGAAGCAGGCACATCTTACATGGCTGGAGCAAGAGGAAGAGAGAGAGGAGGGAAGTGTCTCACACTTTTAAACAACCAGATATCATGAGAACTCTATCACAAGAATAGCACCTGGGGGCCGGACACGGTGGCTCACACCTGTAATCCCAGCACTTTGGGAGGCCAAGGTGGGCAGATCACCTGAGGTCGGGAGTTCGAGATCAACCTGACCAACATGGAGAAACCTCATGTCTACTAAAAATACAAAATTAGCTGGGCACGGTGGCGCATGCCTGTAATCCCAGCTACTTGGGAGGCTGAGGCTGGATAATTGCTTGAATCTGGGAGGCGGAGGTTGTGGTGAACCGAGATGGCGCCATTGCACTCCAGCCTGGGTGACGAGTGAAACTCTGTTTCAAAAAAAAAGAATAGCACCTGTGGGAAAATCCACCCCCATGATCCGATTACCTCCCACCAGGTCCAACTTCCAACATAGGGGATTACAATTCGACATGAGATTTGGGTGGGGACACAAATCCAAACCATATCAGGGCCACAGACAGAGCCCCTGGAGTATCAGTAGTGACCCCATGTACGTTGGCCCTCTCCTCCATTGTGCCAAAAAAAGATATAAGGTATTTTACACATTTTTCTGAAATCAAGAGGCACTATATCCTTATCTAATGGCTTCATAAACCTCTCAAAAAATTTTTTTTGTTCCAGCACAGTGGCTAATACTTGTAATCCCAGCCCTTTGGGAGGCCAAGGTGGGAGCATCACTTCAGCCCAGGGGTTTAAGACCAGCCTAAGCAACATAGTGAGACCTTATCTCTACAAAAGATTAAAACATTAGGTAGTGCATGCCTGTGGTCCCAGCCTACTAGGAAGGCTGTGATGGGAGGATCACTTGTGCCTGGGAGGTTGAGGCCACAGTGAACTGTGATCACACCACTGCACTCCAGTCTGGGTGACAGGGCAAAACTCTGTCTCTTTTTTTTTTTTTTTTTTTTTAGTTTGACATGATGTTTTGGTGAGCTCATGTTGACTGCCAATGAATATTGCCTTCCTAAGTAATATATACCTTTCAGGCTTACCTTTGTAATTTCAACAACTCATCTTCTGATTTTTTTTTTAATTTGGGCAACATTCATTGATCTCTTGGCACTACTGCTGCCCTCCATGATTTTGAAAGTTCACAAAAATAGTTTTGTTGTCATTTCTATAAGATCTATTAGAATATAATTTGCTAGGTCCTAGATTCTTGACCATATTCATTGAATGAGGGTTTAATTGCCTCTTTCAGCAACATTCATCCTATAGTCATCTGTCGAGCACCATTCCAGGTTCTGGGATAGAGATGTAAAACATACTAAAAGTCCCTATCATTCAGTAGCTCTTTGTCTAAAGAAACAGCTGAAAAATAAGCCAACAATTACAACAATTTTAAATGCCATAACAGAGATTTGTGTAGGGAGCTACGGGTTAGAAGGGCACTTAAACAAGCCTGGAGGGGGCAGAGAAAGCTTTCCGGGATGAAATGTCCTCTGAGCATGTGAAGAGCTGGGAAGTAAATATGCCAAGAGAAAGAAAAGGGCATTCTGCACACACTTAAAGGCTCAGAATTAAGGGATAACTCAGAAAGTTCAGGAACTGAAAGTCATTTGGCCACAGGGAGAAGTAATAGGAGAGGAAGGGCACATCAAAGGTGAGCAGGGTCCGGTTCTGCTGGGAAGACACTAAGGATCTTATTCAGAGGAGTGAAATGATCAGATAGGAGTTTTATTTATTTATTTATTTATTTATTTATTTAGAGACAGAGTCTCACACTGTTGCCCAGGCTGGAGTGCAATGGCGTGATCTCGGCTCACTGCAACTTCTGCCTCCTGGGTTCAAGTGATTCTCCTGCCTCAGCCTCCCGAATAGCTAGGATTACAGGTGCCTGCCACCATGCCTGGCTTATTTTTTGTATTTTTAGTAGAGACTGGGTTTCACTATGTTGGCCAGGCTGGTCTTGAACTCCTGACCTCATGATCCACCTGCCTCGGCCTCCCAAAGTGCTGGGATTACAGGCATGAGCCACTGCACCTGGCCTTCAGATAGGAGTTTTAAACAAATCCTTCCAATCCTGAAAACTAAAGTGTGTGTGTGATAGGAATCAGAAGGTGAGATTCAGACTCAGTGACCAGACATGAGACCACTGAGTTAATGAGGGGAGAAATCCTGAGAAGACAATGGAACTGTGGATAAAAGAGGAGAGAGACCAGACACCGCGACTCAGGCCTATAATCCCAGCACTTTGGGAGGCTGAGGCAGGTGGACTGCATGAGCCCAGGAGTTCAAGACCAGCCTGGGCAACATAGTGAGACCCCATCTCTACAAAAAATACAAAAATTAGTCAGGTATGGTGGCACATGCCTGTAGTCCCAGCTACTTGGGAAGCTGAGGCAGAGGTGAGAGGACTGCTTGAGCCCAGGAGTTTGAGGCTGTAGTGAGTCATGACCATGCCACTGCATTCCAGCCTGGGCAACATAGCGAGACCCTGTCTCAAAAAAAAAAAAAAAAAAAAAAAGGAGAAAGAGCAATCAAAATCTATCTGGGAGGTTGACACTTGACAGGATCTAGTTACAAAAGGATGATGGAGGAGGACACATCTCCAGTGGCTTGTCTGGCTTTGCTGATGGGATAGACGGTTGTACTATTGACCAGCAGGGGAGTTTGGGGGAAGAGGTTTGGGAGCAGGTGAGTGCACTCTGTTGACTTTGAAAGATTTGCCGGACAGTACAGCAGAGATTACTCACAGGTAGAAAAGTAGGTCTGCACTCCAAAAAGAGGTTGGGGCAAGAAAGAAAACAACTGTTTTGTTTGCACACTGGGGTGGTAGAAATGGTTTGGGATGAACAAGATCTTCCAGGAATTATGTGGAGTAAAGAAAAGGGGCAAAAAGTCGAATACAGAGCCTTGTAGCTTAGTACCTACTAATTTAGACCCAAGTGTTTATCTCCTCAGGGATCCCACAGCGCCTTGACCTAACAATCACCATTTTTAAGTTCATGAAATTTTTTTTTCACATTAAACACAATTAACTTAAAGCTAGGGACAGAATCTTGATTTAGTATTCCCAGGATCAAATACACAACTAAGAATGTCTACATGTTCAATAAATATTTATTAAACAATGGTATATTCATATACAAGAGGGAGAGAAATAGCAACTCTGACATGCTTCTGTTTCAAAAAATTACCAGTTTTTAGCATGTCACTCAAAACCAACTTTTATCTAAGAACCCACTCCTTTCCCCTCTCTGTCCCCTCTTTCACTTTACTCACTTCAGAGCACAAATCTGGTTTCCAGACTCTACCACTTGCTTCCTTGCCTCACTATGAAGAGTATTTTATATTTCTGAATGTCCCCAGTTCACTTTTAAAACTAAAAACCATAGAAATAGTCTTGACTGACTTCTGCTTTCCAATTATCCTTCTCCGAGTCCCTGGCAAGGCGGGTGAGATCAGCCTCCTGGCTGGAGACGCCACCAATGTGAGCATCGCAGCTTGAGAAAAAGAGAGCTCGATTATTCTATGGGAGGCTTTTGCAATCAGAACCTCTCCCTGGGGACAGTTTATTGACATTGGAAATTCGTCATGGTTACAAAGCACTTTGATTTCACAAAAATAAGACTGTCTTCTCTGCTAAGGTGGCAAGTCGTGTTTTGCTTTTTATGAATTAACTAGGCAAGAACCACAAGTGCAATGCTGAAGAGCCAAGATTTCTCTCCCCTCCCTAAGCCAGCTACCTAAATACTCAGAAGACAGTGATCTGTGTACATAGTCACAAAATCAGGAGAGTCAGTGAGGAAGTAAAGATGGAAAGCATTTTATCTTTAAAAGGTAGCTCTTTCATCTTTAAAAGGGCAGGCTCTTGCCTATAGAATCTCATGTTCCCAGCCATTGTGTCTTGCTTGGTAACAAACTGGAAGCAAATACAGTTAAGGCACTGTGCTTAGTCTATTATAAGAACTCAATCAACATTAACTAAAGAGCAAAACAAAAACAAAAGGTGACAACGTCTGAGTTCTGGGAGTTAGCTTTAGTTAGTACAACGCAGCCAATAGTTGGGAGTGGGAACCCATTCAGAGCTCAGGCCTAACTCTTTCTACACCTGGGAAATGAGAGTAACAAAATCAACTCCCTAGGCTCAACGGGATGGGCAGCATTTAAAGGAAAGTTCTCCTCTTCCTTTCCCCACCCTTGAGACGGGACTAGAAGATGTTTATGGTGCCATTTTATACCTAATAACAGAAAAATATATTAAAATAACACCCAATACTGACAATGATGTTATGCAAATAATGTACCCAAATTCTACAACCCACGCAAATTGACACAAATCTTATGGAAAATACTTTGCCCATATGTGTCAAAGGTCATAGAAAGTTTTCTACCTTCCCATTCCTGGCAATTTATCTTAAAGGAAAAGAATTTAAATGAGAATACAATATATGCAAAATATATTTACTACAGCATTATTTTATAAAAATAGCAACAGAAAACATCCTACTCACACAAGGATAGGAAAATATTAAAGTATGCTCCATCTACACAATGGAATAATACCTATCCATTAAAATTATTATAAAGACTACAGCATGTGGAAAAACATTTGACATTAGGTTAAGGAGGAAAATCAGAATACAGAACTATACATAATAAATGCTAGAGCTACACCTGTTTAACAATTATGCAAGCCTATGGACATAACTGGAAAGTCATAAATTATAATTAATTTTTTAAGGTGAGTGGATTGTGTTTGCCATTAAAACTTAATTATTTCAAACCTTCAAGGAAAGAAAATCATGACACTATTTAAACAATCCCAGAGAGGAAAACATCCCAATTCTTTTTACAAAGACACTAATGCAACGACAAAAATAAATTAAGAGAACATCAGAAAAGAAACCTATATTATTTCTCTTATAAGTACCTATGTAAAAATGCTAAAGAAAATGTCAGCAAGTTGAATTCAGCAACATATTAAACAAATAACATACCATGACCAAGTTGGGCTTATTCCAGAAATGCAAGGATGATTCAGTAACAGGAAATCTGTTCATATAATTCTCCATATTAATAGACCCAAGGAGGAAAAACACATGATATCATCTCAACAGAGGCTGCAAAAGCATATGATAAAATAGATGCAACATTTATTTTTGACTTAAAATAATACTTAATTTCTTAGTCCAAAAGGAAAAAATGGGTACTTTCTCAATATCATATGTATATACATACATATATATATGTGTATAGTTATACTGAATTTTGATTATTCAAAACTATAAAAACTCAGCAACAGATGCTTAGTCTGATGAGTCCCTTGGAGACTAAATGGGCACAATGACCATTCAAAGGCTCAAAGCAGGCCCTGCTATTAGAGAGTGGTCTTCCCAGATTCTATCTTCAGCCCGAGTTACTTTACCTCTGTGCTCATTAAGATGCTTTGTGCTACAAACAATACCCATTCTCAACTTTCTCCAGTAGTTAAACAGACAATTCCTAGTCCCTACCCTGGCCTCCAGGGACTCTTATGTTCCCACCACTGCCGCCCTCTTATCACCAGTCTCCACCCGACTCAGCTCTATCAGCCTCCTGGTTTTTCCTAAAATGCACCAAGCACATTCCTGCCTTCGGACTTCTGAATTTGTTTCCCCTGCCAGGAAAGTTCTTTCCTCAGATATTTTAATGGCTCACTCTCTCACTTTATTCACTTCTTTTACCACATTGCCTCAAATAGCATGCCTCTCACACACAGGACCCCCGGCAACACTCCCCATCCCCTTACCCTGCTTTATTCCCTGGCGCTATAGTATAGGTTTATCTGTGTGTTGTTTTCTCTGCTACCATAAAGCCAGCTTCATGAAGGTAAACACTCTGACCATATTGTTCCCTGCTGCATACCTAGTATCTACGCCAGTGCCTGGCACATAGCGGACATATGCTGAATACGTTGTTGAAGCAAGAGAAAGCCTGACTCATATAGGTTTCAAAATTAGGAAATTTGTTGTTTTACATAGCAAAATTTCAGAGGTAGAATAGGCTCAAGGAGAGAGCAAAGCTTGGTCTCTTTCTCCCTGAGATTTTCTCTGTTCCTCCCTCTTTAGCATATCAGCTTTGTCCTCACATGGAGGCACCCTCATGGTCACAACATGGCTGCAGCAGCAACTGGAGCAAGGTACTTTGTCTTTCATGTCCACTGAGAAAGAGCAAAACTCTGACAAGTCATTCCTTTCAGTCTGATTGGTCCCCTTTAGTTCATGTGCCCACCTCTGAACCAATCACTGACGAGCAGGAGGGAATTCCATGACTGGTTCACATGAATCAGGACCCACCTGTAGAGAAGGCTGGTGTCAGCCTCCGCAGCTTCAAGTCATTGCATGAGGAAGGGGCGGGAGGAAGCCTGAAGAAAATCAAAATTGTATGTGGAAGTGAGAAGTAGAGAAAATGGATCCTGGATAGACAATGAACCATGACCACTAAAATCTCTGACTCCAAAGGAACTCCTCAAGCCTAGGGAACTCTTTCTCATGGAGTAACTGGCATCCTGGGATCTTGGAACACAATCCTTGACTTGGGATATTTTTTGAATTAAATACCACTCTTAGATTGGGAGCTGCCTCAGCACCTTTCCTCCTGGGAAAGCCTGAGCTCTGAGAAAAAGAGATAAATACAACTCTTTCTTGAAAGGGAAAAGGAGATAGAAACAATAATAATTCAAAATACATTTCACAGAGAGCAGTTTTTCCAAACTGATATCAAAATACAAAGCATCTACATAGTAAAATATTCCTCCACAGAAATTAAAGGTCATTTAATTCATATTCAGGCAGTGTGAATAAAGGCAGCAATTCAGAGCAGGAGAAAATATTTTGTCAGCACAATGAGCAAGGCTGTAAATTACCGAAAACGTCACCAGCCAGACACTCTAAAGTGTTAAACAAACAGTTTGACTAACAAGTTGCTCTGGGTACATCTCTTGCATTAGGGTGATTTACTAGAGAATAGAGGACAAGGAGACATTCACCAAAAAGCATCTGAAGTCTTGCCTACCCTTTGAACCACGATGCAATATCCTATTTCACCTGCTGCAAAACCACAGACTGACATCTAGTATGTCATTCCTGAAAGGGGTTCAATCATATTGTTACATTGTGACTCCTTCCCTAAAATCCCTACATGACTCTTTCTTTTTAATTATCTGTTGAGGCCTCACTTACTGTACTGAGACATTTTAGGGTGGATATTTCACATGCCTTGAAAATGCTGCTTTTCTCAACGTTAGATACACCTAAACCGGTATATGTTGGCCCCCTTCCCCCAGCCCTCAATGCTGGAGGCTGCATACAACATGTAGCAAAGCAAGCCTTTGGTTTCCAACACAGAAAAGGTAACACTTTGAGCATAACTTTCTTGCTTCTTTCTAATTGTCTTCTTCAAAGGGCTTCTGGTATTCATGTGACATGAGCCCCGACATTATCCAGAATTTATAAGAACTTTCATTAAAAATATCTACCGATTTTGCGATGAATGAGAGGGAATGGTAGGAGATTTGAAGAGGCATGTTATTGTATTACTAACCAAGAAAGTCAATGCAAGTTGCTCCAGAATACACAACCAGCAAGGAACAGAGCTAGGAGCAGATTGTAGGTGCAAGACGCCCAGCCCAGGGATCCTTTTGCTACAACAATGCCCTGAGTAGGTGGCCAACTCCCTTTCTGGTGTGTCTTGCTATAGACCCAGTTGGCGCCCACTCTTATGCTGTGTAGTAAAGCACAGATTTAACTCTGAGGTTCCTTTCATCCAAAGGAAAGTTCTGGTGAAGACTTAAATATCCATAAAGAGATATAAATTAGAGTAAATAGGCCAGGGATAGTGGCTCATGCCTATAATCCCAGCACGTTGGGAGGCCAAGGCAGATGGATCACTTGAGCTCATGAGTTTGAGGCCAGCCTGGGCAACATGGGGAAACCCCATCTCTACAAAAAATACAAAAACTTGCCAGGGATGGAGGCATGCACCCCTGTAATCCCAGCTACTTGGGAGGCTGAGATGGGAGGATCACTTGAGCCACGGAGGTCTAGGCTGCAGTGATCCATGATGGTGCCACTGGACTCGAGCCTGGGTGACAGAGTGAGACCAAGAAAAGAAGAGAAGAGAGAAAATATGGAAGGAAGGAAGGAAGGAAGGAAGGAAGGAAGGAAGGAAGGAAGGAAGGAGGCTAGAGTAAATATAGGTAGAAATACATATGAAATAGTTGCTCCAAAAAAATCACAGCAACTCCTGGTTCTGAGACTTGTGAGAACTTTCACCCACTGTCCCTCACTAAGCATGTGATATAATGAACAGTGGTACCCACACCATCTCCATAGACAGTATCAGATCAAGTTTAGGCTGTCTCAAGTTGCTTCTTATTGAAGGTAAATGGCCTAGTACCAAAACAAGGTTCAGTAAAAGAGCAGATGAGTTTGCCAGAGAGGGACCAAAAAGAAGTTTAGGAAGTATACATCTCTCTAAAATGGAAAGCAAGCCAGAGAGAGGAAAAAAAAATGGACTGGGGGTCTACAGAAGACAAGCAAATGTTTAAAACAGTCACTGAGTGGAATGGAGACAGAGGGGTTTGAGCTGAGTAAATAGGCAGCCAGGCTGCAATAAGGGGTCAGATGAGATGAAATGACACATCTGCAGAGACACCAATTGCCAGGTCTACATGACTTTATTCAGGAGCATCCAGCACCCCAGGCAAGCAAGGGTGCAGAAAGGCAGAAAGCAAAGTAAATTGAGCCAAGATCTCCAGGCCAGCTGAAAGGCAAGAGGCTTGAGAACTCTGTGTCGCCAAAAAGGTGGGTGAGAGAATGAGGCAGGGGTCTGAGCTAAATAGATGAGGAAGGGAGAGAGGAACAGGGAGGGTAGACAGCGCATGGGGTTCTTGCAGCAAGAGCCATGTCACATTTTGAATCTCCAGCACCCAGAATAGTAGATGCCCAATGTATACTGAGTTTATGAATGAATGCGTGAAATGGATAAATGAATTCACACACAATCCTGAATGTATACACACACACACACACACACAGAGAGAGAGAGAGAGAGAGAGAGAGAGAGCCTTATATACTACACTAGAAGACCAGGGTCACCATCAGACAGAGTTCACCATTATTGTTAAATCTGTTCATCCTTGTTACCTCATTTGGGTTCTTCATTGCTTCCCTTGCTACACCTTTCAAGATCTAAAATTTTGACTCAGGCTCTGCATTTTGGGGAACTCAAGCAAAGACAGGGAAGTCTCCTGGGAGACGTCTACAAAAGAATTTCCTCTCCAGTGGAAAGAGATCTGTAAGGAGAAATTCTTCTTCCTCCTTCTTGATGTACTGATATGAGGGCATGGTGCCCGGAGCTGTGGCAGCCATCTTGCAAGCAGGAGGATACAAGCCTGTGAATGAAAATCAGTGCGACGAGGACAGCAGAGTGGTGACAGTAAAGTCCCTGGCCCTTTGGGTATAAAAAATTAATCATCAGACTTATTATGTGAGTTTATAAATGTTTTCATTCCATAAGCCATTGTTATTCCTAATTTCTATTAGTTGCAGCTCCATCCTGCCTGACACAATGACACCAAAACAGTGTCCCTCACCTGCAGGTTTTTGTTATACAAGGCTGCTGCAACAGGGGAGATGGCGTTGAACTCACTAACCTGAAATATTCATGAATTTAGGTTAGGAAGTTCAGAAGCATAATTACTTAGGGTTGGTCCATGGGTATATTGATGATGATATTTCTGACCAATTAATTCAAGAGAGACTGATGGAAACAGATAAAATCTAAGCCTCGTATCAGCCAATAATTTGACCTCCCCCTTCCTCTCAATTAGCAAAACAAATTCAAATAAAATAGTTTACAATTCATATTTGTGGATCTTACTATGTACCAGGCACTATGTTGAGCACTTCATACAAATTATCCCTTTTAATCCTTGGGACAATCCTATGAAGTAGAGAATATTATCATTTCCATTTTAGAAATGAGGGAAGTCAAGCTGAAAGTAACCATCAGACTCCCATCTTGCGGCAAGTTTCTTCTCTGTTATAATCCTTACCCTTTGGTATTAATGTTAATAAGTAATATAATATGCAATTGTCAGGAAATGAGAGAAAGAACACCAAAATGCAAGAGACCCCAGTAATCAAGTGTTAACAATAAACCTAATCAGTGTGTAGGCAAATAAAGCCAACTTATTCAGAATTTAGAATAAGATAATTTGGAAAAGTTAACTTTTACATATCTCTTCCAATTCCATTATCCAATTTCTCTTTAATGGGCTCTAAGTGGATTTCTACCTCACTCCTTCCATGACTAGATCTGGGGAAAGTTTCTTTCAGAAAGGATACCCACATATTACTGAAACATTCTCCAGCCATTTTCAAAGTTTCTCCTAGATAATTAATCTTCTTTTCATGTTCATAAGCCACCAATTACATGTCACCAATGGTAATGAAAGCCATATCATTAAAATATAAAACTTTTAAAAACACATCTTACAAAGAAACCACAAAGAAAACAAAGATATATGTTGGTTTACTTTAGAGTAACATAGTAACTCCATGCCATTTAGACAACTCTCCAAGTAAACCACAATTTCTATTATTTATAACCATGACATTTGATCAAAGAAGAATACATGTGGCTTATTTCTCCATACTTTTTTCCCTGGTAGTTAAGCCAAACACAAATTTCATTATCTGGTTTCTAGTCACAAGAATGACTGTGATTGTTCTCAAATCTCAGACATCACAGCCAAAAATTTTTGAGAGGGATTGTAGGTAAATCTGAAGAAACAGAAAATAGCAGTAATGGTAATGCTTTTTAGAAATAGTCTGTCAAATGGAGGAAAAAGGTTGTAAGTAGACATTTTTTTTTAGTGCACTAAAGGAAATCTGTAATCTCTTCTCTTTGGAACTTGTCACTCAAATTCATTGAGGTTCCAGGATAGCTTTAGGATAAAGTGGTGTCATACTGGGTTTTCTAGCTCTCTGTAAGTATTCTGTAGCAGACTTCAGCTTTTTCTTTGAAGAAAAGCAACAACAATTGTTACTCAGAGGTTACTATTTGCACTCACTCTCCTCATGAAGAAAAATATCTAAACTACTCCTTGTATAAAACTTCCATTTGGCGATGAGGGAGAAATCTATAGAAATATATATACCACACAGAAATGTGCTAGTAAAGCTGCCAGAGAGAAATGTACCACTCAGGTAATTCCACATATTAAAGCATATTTATAAATGTACTAAGAAAAGAAAAAAAACATTGAGAAACCAGTAGAATTGTGTCATGCATTTTACATGTATTATCTAATCCAGCAACCACCCTATGAGTTTGGTGATATTAACCCCATTTTACAGGAAAAGAGAATAATAAACTATCAAAAGTGATGTTTAAAACTTGTTGACTCAATCATTCCCTGTCCTACACATGTATTTGTATGTGTTTCACTTCAACAGAGAATTTAGAAATAAAAACTTTAGGCTGAGCCCAGCAGCCCATGCTTATAATCCCAGCACTTTGGGAGGCTGAGGCAGGAGGACCGTTTGAGGCCAAGAGTTTGAGGTTACATAAACTATGACACACCATTGGATTCCAGACTGGGTGACACAGCGAGACCCCATCTATAAAGAAAATTTAAAAATTAGCCAGACACGGTCGTGCCTACCTGTAGTCCTAGCTACTCAGGAGGCTGAAGCAGGGGGGATTGCTTGAGCCCAGGAGCTCAAGGCTGTAATGAGCCAAGACTGCACCACTGCACTCCAGCCTTGGCGACAGAGCAAGACCTGTCTCTTTAAAAAAAATTTTTAAACAAAAAAGACTTAATCACATGAAATCATTGAACACAAGAGTAATACTGGATGTACATATGAATAGACAAAAGCTTTGTCTAGATCACTGGTTCCCAAACTTGTTGGTCTCAAGATCCCTTTATTTTCTTAAAGATTATTGAGGTCCCCCAAGAGCTTTTGTTTATGTTGGTTCTATCCGTCAATATCTACCACAGTAAAAATTAAAACTCAGTAATTTTTAAAAATCTACCTATTAATTTTAAAATAACAATAATAAACTCATTGCATTTTAACATAAATGCCACATTTTGTGGAAAAAATAACCATGTTGTCAAAAAATACTAAGGAACACTGCTTTCTTTCAGACATTTACAAATCACTTTAATGTCTGACATATAGAAACATCTAGATTCTCATGGGTATATTTATATTCAATCTATTGTGGTTTTTTTTAGCTGATTTATGAAGAAAATCTAGCCTCACAATGATACATAGTCAGAAACAAGAGGAATCTTTTAATACTCTTTTTAGATAACTGTGGATACTCTTTGATACTAAACCAAAACTCAACCAAAACTTACATTTCAATATGCAGCAGAAGTGCATTAAGCATTCTTATATCATCATCCCAGATATTAAACTGATTCAAGTACTGAAATTTAGTAAAATTAATACTTTTTGCTGCTTTATCAAAGACATTCTTAAGTGAAACTAGTACTATATATATATTTTTTTTTGAGACGGAGTTTCACTCTTGTTGCCCAGGCTGGAGTGCAATGACATGATCTCGGCTCACTACAACCTCCGCCTCCTGGGTTCCAGCGATTCTCCTGCCTCAGCCTCCCGAGTAGCTGGGATTACAGGCATGCATCGCCACACCCGGCTAATTTTGTATTTTTAGTAGAGACGGGGTTTCTCCATGTTGGTCAAGCTGGTCTCGAACTCCTGACCTCAGGTGATCTGCCCGCCTCGGCCTCCCAAAGTGCTGGGATTACAGGCGTGAGCCACCACGGCCAGTCAACTAGTACTATTTTTTAACTGAGAATGTGTGGTGGTAAAAATTTTAATGACCACTTTTCTCAGGTGGTAGTTTCTTAAAGGTTAGTGGTAATGTAGAATCTGAAACCATTATCAATAAACTTTTTATACTGAATTAGCTTAAAATCTGTTGGTCTATCTTGCACTTTGAATGGATCTCTTACCCAGGCAGGAGTTTGTAATATCCTGCATCAATCACTTAGAAAACATTAGTTCACTGACTTGGGCAAACCTTCCAAGTGTTCTCATATTTTCTCATACAAAATTAAAAAGAAATACATTAATTAATATTACCAGCATTCTCATCAGAAAAGTCTTGAAGTTTTTGGAAGCTGTCAAGCTCACAGTAGCAGAAATATGTTTTCCAAAATTCTAATTTTGTCCTTGAAATGTCCAATTGTATTGTTGACAATAAATACTGTCAGTTATTTTCCTTGAAGTGACAGGTCACTTGCTTCATTTTCTAGAAGATATCTGCCAAGTATCCAATTCTAAATAATCACAATTTGTCTGTCATTCTTTCAAGTAAAAATGGTGTTCCATGGAGGGGTGGTAAAGTCAGTTAATCCAGCTCTCAATCACGCAAACACTTTTCCTCAAGACAATATAGTTCAAAATGCAGCACACTCACATTATGTAAACCTCTCATAGCATCATCACACAAAGTATTAAGATGATTCAAGGATGGAATCCTTGAATCATCCTTTCCAAGGATGGAAATTTAGTAAAATTAATACTTTTTACTGCTTTATCAAGAATTTTCTTAAGTGAAAGTAGCATTTTTTTTTTTAACTGAGAATGTGTGGTGGTAATTTTTTTTTTCCTTTGAGACAGAGTCTCACTCTGTTGCCCAGGCTGAAGTGCAGTGGTGTGACTGTGGCTCACTGCAACCTCTGCCTCCCAGGCTCAAGGTGATTCTCCTGAGCCTCAGGAGAATCAGCCTCCTGACTAGCTGGGATTACAGGCGTGCACAACCACACTCGGCTAGTTTTTGTATTTTTAGTAGAGACAGGGTTTTCACCATGTTGGCCAGGCTGTTCTCGAACTCCTGACCTCAGGTGATCCACCCGCCTTGGCCTCCCAAAGTGCTGGGATTCCAGGCATGAGCCACTGCACCCAACCATGTGGTGGTAAAAATTTTAATGACTACTTTTACTGTTTGGTGTTGCTGCCTTAATTCACGCTAAAGCACCAGCACTTTTGTCCTCCACTGCTTTTATGCCACCAGAGCAAATGTCAACACATCTAAAAGAATAAATGACATCTTAATATTATTCCTTAAACAGTTTTTACCTTGCAAACCTCCTGAAAAAGTCCCAGGGTCTGAAGACCACACTTTAAGAACCATGGCCCTACAGAAGATATAGACTAAAACTAGAAAGAGAGAAAGGGGAAGAGAGGGAGAGAAAGAGAGGGAGAGATGATTTTTTGCTCATTTGTTTCTAGAATTCACTGGGTTTTTTTTTAACCTAACCTTACTCATGGTAGAACTAAAACAAATAAAATCTCAATACATTTTCCAAAAGGTAATCGCCAACTTCGACTAATAGTCATGAGGTTAGCAACCCATTGACTCGCACTGATTACCAAAGATTTCAAAATCAAATTCCTATGGTTTTTAGGAAAAGCTGCTTTAATCAGAGAAGGGCCTTTATATTAGACAATTAATCCATTAACAAAGTTGAATTTCAGATATGGTATTGGGAGTTGCAAACAACTTACACTTCCTCTATGTAAGTGAAATGACCAAAAAATTGAGCAGCAAAAAGTCAATATATGGAAATTGGACTCAGTTCTTCCCCCGTTTAAGCCCTTTCAGTAACTTTAGATTGCTCTTGGGATAAAATCCAAACCCTATGTCATGACCTTGGAAGTCGTGTGTGATCTAGCCCCTGCCTGCTTCTCCAGCCTGGCTCCTGCTCTCTCTCCACTCGGAACATCTGTCTTCTCAAGGCCTTCACTCCAAGCAAAAGACTAAATATCACGCTGAATTTTTAAAATTCTAGTTAGATAAATGACAGAAAGAAGAAAGAGATAGATTTTACGTATAGTATATATCACTTAACACGTTATGTTTAGAGAAACGAAATCTTATAAATCCTTTTCTTAAAAAGATATATTTACATGACTTTTAAAGCAACCAATATTAACAGTCCTGCTACCACTCTGACCCCTTTTATCCTGTTCTGCCCTCAGACAACATGTATATTAATTTCTTACTTATGTTTCCAGTGTTTTCTTAGGCAAATACAAGGAAATAACAAAAAAACCTTATATTTGCCTCTTTTTTTTTTTTACAAAAAAATGCATACTCTAAACTCTTCAGAAATTTTTTTTTTCACAAAATGATACCTCTTTGAGATCTCACCTTACCAGTTCATAGAGAGCTCCTCATACTTTATTTTTTGCTACATGCTATGGCAAAGGATATTTCATCAGTTCCCTATTGCTTCATTGTCTCTAATGTTCTGCTACCACAAACCATGCTACAATGAATAACTGAACACATTATGACTGTTTTTTAAACCTAGTCTTTCACCTCCTCATCAGGAGGAAAGTATAAGCATGCTTGTATTCTAATCCCTCAGCCAGCCCCTTGATCCTGTTAGCTTCCAATTTTTCATTCTAGAGCTCCAAAGAGCTTCATTTTAAACAGAATTCCAGAAAGCTTAATTTAAATTACACAACTGTGCAAACAAGAGAAACCAACTCTAGTGAACTTAAAATAAATAAGAAAAGGCCAGGCGCAGTGGCTCACACCTGTAATCCCAGCATTTTGGGAGGCTAAAGCGGGCAGATCACTTGAGGTCAGGAGTTCGAGACCAGCCTGGCCAACACAGTGAGACCTCATCTCTACTAAAAAATATTAAAAAATTAGCTGGGTGTGGTGACGCATGCCTGTAATCCCAGCTACTCAAGAGGCTGAGGCACGAGAATCACTTGAACCAGGAGGTAGAGGTTGCAGTGAGCTGAGATTGCACCACTGCACTCCAGCCTGGGTGACAGAGCAAGATTCCGTCTAAAAAAAAAGAAAAAAGAAATGAGAAAAAAGTCTGGAGAACAGGCTCAGACATTAGCACGGCAGGACTGCCCCAGTCAGGCTGACATGGGGTGGCCCTGGACAGTACAAGCCGTCACTGGTACTCCCGCCCTCTGGCACTAAACAGTTCTGCTGTGCCTCCCCTACCAGACATCGGAGGCTTCCAGTCGAACTCTCCTCATGACACAATGAAGTGACGCCTCTTTTAGAGGCATTACTCTAGATTCTACAACTCCGAAATGGAGTGGGAGATGAGCTCTGGATTTTCTCAAGAGTAGGAAAGAGATTCAGGTGTTTGGCAGTTGAAAACCCAAAAAAATGAGTACCAAATTAGTAGCACAGCTGCAACTGGAACCCACATCTCATGGTCATGAGTCTGGCCTCTCTCCCCTCTGCTTTAGTAAGTTGTTCTATCTCAATGAAGACAAGGCTAGAACTGGCTAGAACTCAGATCCTCCGGCTCCTCCACCGGCTGCAATGCTGTCATTCATGAAAGTCCATAGATTTGCCATTATGGCTGATCAAGAATGGAGAACAGCCAATTATTTCCCTCTTCTCTATTTAGATTATTTCCAATTATTGTTACCCTGTAGGAATCTAGATGTGCCAGCATTTGTAGAGATGCCTGGCTGATAAAATGTCAAATAAACCAGCTTTCAACTTCTATCCATAAAGTTGTAGCAACTCAGGGCTAGAAGGGACTCTGCCAAGGCATCAGGGCAATGTTTCTTAATCCAAATATACTCAGAATGGGCCTGGGTACCTCTTTTGTGACTCTTGATAGTACTGGCCTAGAAGGGGACAATCTGTAGACATCTCCTTATGCTTGAGGAGTGCTAGGCTGACCTGCAGCTCCTCAACATGTCAGACCACAAAGGGCAAATCCTTGCTTGGGAAGTAGGTGATGTCCCCTGTTCCCTGCACACACACACACACACACACACACACACACACACACACACACATACACACATAGAACCTCTCATTCCCAACTGGTGTCCTCTCACCCTCCAGGAAACTCCACTCCTCACCACATGAAAAATGAGGCTGTAGCTTCTGCCCTTATTCATATCTGGCAATGTCTAGCACCTGCATAAGCCAGATGCGAATGAACATTTTCCTAAGCACAGATTTTTTATGGCTCCAAAGGGAGAAGGGTGTTCTGCTGAGTGACAGGAAAATGAGTTTCCAATTCCAATTCAGTCTCTTCACTGGCAATGGCTGTGGTCATTTTCCTCTAAAATTCTTTGCATGCAAATAAATCCTGTCCAAGTAAGTGTTAATTTTCCAGCTAGAAAGCATGGGCTGGTCTGATATGACAGAAGTACACTCTTCTGAGCTATTCCTTCAGCCAAATACCTGGTGTGATTGAGCCAAAGTAGCCTCTACCCCGTCTTGGCCTCCTTTGGTTTTGAAGACCTTGCAGTAGCCATCCTAGACCCTTGACACCAGCTCCAAATAACTTCCTCTGATGCTTAGCTCTTTCTCTTGAAGATAATACAGATTATCCCCCATACCAGATAATGCTGCAAGCAGTAATGTCTCATATTTCTGCCACATCCCTTATTCATTAGCATCCTAGGTGCTGCAATAAATCACCACCAAGTGGTAACTTACTCTTTCACCCTTCTCATGGCCAGAAGTCCAAAAGCAAGGTGTGGGCAGGGTTGGTTCCTTCTGAAAGCCCTGAGAGAGAGCCCATTCCATCCCTCTCTCCTAGCTTCTGAGGGCTGCCAGCAGTCCTTGGCTTGGGGCTACATAACTGCAATCTTTGCCTCTGTCTTTATATTACCTTCTCCTCTGTGTGTCTGTGTTTCTGTCTCTCTCTTTTATAGGGGCACCTGTCATTGGGTTTAGGGCCCACCCTAAATCCAGAATGATCACATCTCAAGATCATTAACTTGATTATATTTGCAAAGACCCCATTCCAAGTAAGGTCACATTCATAGTTCCTGGTGGACGTATCTTTTGGAGGGGCACTATTCAACTCACTACACTCAAGAGAAGAGAATATAGGAAAGCCCACCTGCTCTTAAGAGGAGACAGGCAGGGGTGGAGAAATGGTAAGGAGGCTCTACTCAGCCAGCCTGTCCTCCGTCTCTGGACAGGTCACACTCCAGGCTTGATGGCAAGACATAATGTGACACAACTTGACGTAAATTGGAAACTACTTTTTAAGAGTTAATAAGAATTATCTTTTTTTAAAGAATTAGCATTTTCTACTTAGCAAGAGACTCTAAAACTGCCTATATATCACATCAACTAAAATGATCATTACCTATATGACCTGTCCTTGGGAGCCCCATCTCCATCCAAAAAGGGAAACAGACTGTGAGTTTTTTGTTGTTTTTTTTTTGTTTTGTTTTGCTTGAGACAGAGTCTCACCCTGTTGCCCAGGCTGGAGTGCAGTGGCACAATCTTGGCTCACTGCAACCTCCGCCTCCCGGGTTCAAGCGATTCTCCTGCCTCAGTCTCCCAAGTAGCTGGGACTACAGGCGCCTGCCACCAGGCCTGGCTAATTTTTTTACTTTTAGTAGAGATGGGGTTTCACCATGTTAGCCAGGATGGTCAGATTGTGAGTTTTAATTAAAGTTGGTTGGGAAGTTGGACAAACACTATCAGGGGTAAATATAAGGTAGGGCCAGCCACCATCGAAGGAGCCTTCCTAATAGTGAGGGGTAAAAATGAATCTTCCAAAAGAGAAAGATAATATATTTACATAAACGTAGAGAATAGGATCCTCACTAGGACTAAGGATTACATCAATCTGGATGAAATGGAAACATCTGTAAGGATGCTGCTGCTCATGCAGTAGCAGTTTGCCATGCAGAAGAATGATGTACTTGGTCAACCGTGATGTAAGGACGCCGATGGAAGGACATGTCCATGACATTCAAGACATCATGCTGAATTAAGCTCATGAGATACATACCAAGTTAGACAGGCATGATCCTTAGGGCACTCAAATGTCTGGAGATTTGTCACTTTGATCTGCTACAGAGAAACATTCGAGATTAGTAGGGACCAACCATCAACGCCAAGCAGCACTCCTGAGCCGCGGGAGGCCCCCAGCTGGTATCCCAAGGCTCACCTTCAGGGTGTATCCCCAGGAGTGGACATCAGCCATGGCGTGCCATGACAACTTGGCTTGTTAGAAGCAGAATATGGGTTTTCCAGCCTGAAGCCTTTTTATCATGTGTCAGGAAGCTTGAGGTGCCCTGACTGCCACTCGAGGGGACAGTCATCATGAGAGCTGCTCATCCTACTCGAAGGTCAGTCTGCTGGAGGAAGTATGTGGGCAGTGACCCAAGGGCCTGCCGGGTAGTCCATGTCTTTTCAGGTGGATTAAGAATCACAAAGCGCAAAGCCATCTCCAAATGTCCCATCCCTAATTCCCCTTTAAGCCACTCTCACCCAGTTGTGTCCTCCTTGATGCTAATATTTCCCAAGAACCCCAGAATCTATACCAATAACTTAGCTTCAAGAGAATTTGTCCTACTCACGAAGCACAGAGATAGTGAACCCTAAAGGCATATAAATGTGCAGAGAAAATAAATCTGTCTATGATGATGAAATAACAGGGCCAGGACAACAGTATCATCCTTGCCCAAAAAACCTAACTGTCATCCAATAGCTTTTCTTATATCTATAACCCTGCTGGAAGAATGGTAAACCTTGCTCAGCACTTCTGGAATGCAAGTGAATCAACTGTCAACCTCCTTTAACTCTGCTTGATGAAAGGCTTACACAAAGCATATCAATAGAAATTTTGACACATGGAAGTGGGGTGATACTGTGACAAATACCTAAAAATGTAAAAGTGGCTTTGGAATTGGGCAGAGATTGGACGAATGGTAGAGAAAACATAAATTGGCTCAAATAGGCTATAAGTAGATGGGATTTTGAGGATGGCTGCTGATGAAGGTGCAGAAGGAAATAACATGTTATTAGAAACCAGAGGAAGGGAGATGCTTGGAGTGGCAGAAAGCTGAGCAAAGTTGTTTCCTGTGGTATATGGAAAGCAAAACATTAAGGAATGACCTTGGTTATGTAACTAAAGGGATTTCCAAGCAAGATGAGGAAAGAACTACCTGGCTGCTTCTTGCTGCTTATAGTAAATTGCACAAGGATACAGATAAACTGAAGGAAAACCGTTAAACAACAAAGAACCAGGACTTAATCATTTGGAAAAGTATTAGATTTCCTAGATAGCAAAATATGTTAAAATTAAGAGATCGCTTCTTAGCACTGTCAGGAAAATATGGCATGGAGAAAAGGCCAAGAGTGTGACTATACAGCCTTTTATTAGAATCTAAGACAGATCAGAGGATCAGAGTAGTTTTCAGTTACTCAAAGGGCTCTTTCAACACATTAAAGGTATACCTCACAGATGCTTTAATCAAATCAGAGGGACCTGGGGAGCTTAAAACTCTTCTCCCTCAGTCTTCTCAGCAAGAGGCCAAGGTAGAGAAGGGCTATCTCAAAAAGATCTGTAAGTGTGGCTTTTGTTGAATGACACGAACCCCATTGAAATCTGTGGAAGACCTGCAAAGTTTTCAAGGAAGTTATTTCAGCAAAACCACTGCCAAATTGGACTGAAAGGAATAGAGATAGTACAAAATGTAGAGATGCATTTGGACTCCCAAAATCCTACTTACAGAAAACAAGCTGGCCGGACGTGGTGGCTCACACCTGTAATCCCAGCACTTTGGGAGGCCAAGGCAGGTGGATCACAAGGTCAGGGGTTAGAGACCAGCCTGGTCAACATGGTGAGACCCCGTCTCTACTAAAAATACAAAAATTAGCCAGGCGTGGTGGCGGGCACCTGTAATCCCAGCTACTCAGGAGGCTGAGGCAGGGGAATCGCTTGAAACCAGAAGGCAGAGGTTGCAGTGAGCCGAGATCATGCCACTGCACTCCAGCCTGGGTGACAGAGCGAAACTCCATCTCAAAAAAAAAAAAAAAAAGAAAAAGAAAACAAGCTGATACAACTAAGCTGCAAATGCATGCTATCTTCCACTTTAAAAAAGGATGGATGATTCAGAGGGTGGAAGCAAGAACTCAAAGGACAAAGTCAAGAGCCAAAGAGGATTATTCCCAGGACTCCTTTGTACCTCCCATTTTCCCCTTTTAGACAGAAATATCTTAGCTATTATCCTATTCCTATTCCACAACTGTTTGTTGTGTGCAGGGTGATAACTTGTTTCTCTAGTTTTAAAAACTGACAGATCTAGGGGAAATTTACCCAGAGAGTGAAGTTTCTGACTTAGATGGTGAGATTCTAGACTTTGAACAGATGCCATAATAGGATGAGACTCTTCGCCCCTTGGGAGAAGATGAATGTATTTCGCATGTGAAGGGACATGTGGGAGAGGGCAAATCATTGAGAATCAGATAGCAAACTGTAGTGGACAGATTCTGAGATGGCCTTATTGATCCCCACTTCTTAGCATTCACACTCTTGTGTAATCCTCTCTCCTGAGTGTGGCCTGTGCTCATGACTTGTTTTTAATCAATAGAATATGGCAAAGGTGATGACATGCCACTTCTGTGATCACGTTACATAAGGCTGTAATGCCCATTTTGCTAGAAGACTCCTTGCTGTCTTTGTGTAGCAAGCAGCCATGGTGAGGAGGTCCACAGGGTAAGGAACTGAGGATCGTCTCTTGTCAACAGCCAGTTAGAAACTGAGGGTAGCACCCAGCCAAAGGCCAGCCAGAGACAGGTTCTCAGTTTTATAATTGCAAGGAACTGCATTCTGCCAACAACCATGTGAGCTTGGAAGCAGATCCTTCCCCAGTCAGTCCTTAATAATAGATCATAATTCTGGACTATACCTCAACTACAGCCTCGTGAGAGATCTCAGCAGAAGACCCAGCTAAGCCACACCCAGATACCTAATCCACAGAAACTCTCAGATAATACATGTGTGTTGTTTTACATTGCTGTTTGTAATAAATTGTTATGCAGCAACAGATAACTGATAAAAATTTTAGCAAACTAGCCTGGGCTTTCCAGGAGTCTCTATGTAGAGCACAGCACTCAGACTTCTATGCTCAAGGCCCTGTGGGGGCTTCCCATGGAGAAAAAAAAATGGGCTCACTCTGCAAATATTTAGGCTAGTAGATATGTTTATTATGCATATTATCCATTCACTTACTTATCCAACACATGCTTACTAAGTACCAACGATGTGCAAGGCACTTTTATTTTAGGAGCTGGGCTACTGCTATGAGTGAGACAGACAAAGCCTTTGCCATGATAGAGCTGACATTCTAGAAAGGGAGGTAGTCAACAGGTAAGTAAACAAATTAAGTCAAAGGTAATTTCGAATGGCAGTCAGCTATTCAGTAAATAAATAAGATGATGAGATGGGATTGATTTTGGAGAAGGGACCCTGTTTTAGGTAGACCAGTTAAAAGAGTCCACTGACGAGTTGACATCTAAGCAAAGAGGGTGAAAAGCAGCCAACCATACAAAGTGCTAGGGGCAGAGGAAACAGCAAGTGCAAAGGCCCTGAGGCATGGCCAAGGACAGGACAGTGGCCAGTGGGGTTAGGATGAATGAGAAAAGGAGAGGAGTAGCGGGAAAGAGGATGAGAGTTAGGTAGCATCACCTTGAAAGCCGTGGTCAGGAGTCTAGTTTTTATCCCTTGCGTATCAGGTAGTTTTGGAAAGGTTCTAGAAAGAGGAGTGACATCAATCCATTGCCCTTTCTTCAAGCTTTCTGTCATTTATCTGAATCAGTGATGAATCACGGGATGGAAACAAACTATGAGTTTCCTGGGAAAAAAACACAGCAAGATCTTTGTATTTATTCCCTTAGGTGATCATAGTCCTGTTTCTTTTATAATCTAAACCTGGAGACGTACTGCCCTCCCAGGTGTTGCTGAGTACAGCCATGCAGTTGGCCAGGACCACCGTGGTTGTGGGCACCCTCACAGGAAGTCGCACCTGAGGAAATCATCACTGGTCCTTCTAGAAGTGGAGACACAGCCACACCTGGTCACCAGATATACACTGGAGCACCACAGCCTCTTGTCACTAGATGGTGACAGAGCAGAATACAGTCTCTCCCAACCTATCTTCTGTCTCTCACTCCAGTTTCTTGTTTTTGTCTTTAAAAAGAAACCAGTAAAAATTCAGCAAGCCACTCATGTATGAAACACGCACTTTTCTGCAAGGATATTACACTTTGATAAACAGTAAAAATGAAAGGATGCATGTAATTTCTTCATGAAAATAAAGCCTCCCATTGATGTGTTTTTTATTCATAAGCCTTTAAAATGATTCTCCCCAGCACGTCCCTTCTCCCCTCCATCTGCTGTAATTTAGCTAAATTGTCCTTTCAGCCAGCATTTATGGATCTTCAGAGGTTTCTCTCTGTGATAATTCCTCATCAAATTACCAATAAGAAGGATATGAAACTACAGCCCCCACAAGGATGCCTGGTGACCTTCGGCCCTGAGATTTACAGTCTGCGGAAGCAATAAAGTTCCTCTCCCTCTCTTGCCGATGGCCTTCTCTCAGGTCCCTCCGTGTGGCCCCTTCCCAGCCAGCCAGACCTCCTGTAGCCAGCACTGGGCTTTCTAAAGAGACAATGTTGTTCCGGAGTTCTCACAAAGAAATTGGCCTTCCTTTGCAAATCCACAGCTTGATTTGTTCAGTCATCATCACTTGACACTTCAGATTGCTCATTATGTGAATTCGCTATTGTCTGAGACGCTCCAGGTGCTGAAGTGCAATGGGGAACAGTGATAATATCCTTTTTGTGTCAGTGAAATAGCCTGTAAACGCCTAACTCATTAACACCATCTGATGTTCACATTTCCTCATTCAAGCAAACTAGAAGGCTATTTGTGCCAGGTTTCTTTCTAATCTGGGATACAATAAACAGTGGCACAAATCAATTCCTGACCCCTGCATTCTCAAAAGCTAAAAAAAAAAAAAAAAATGTATCTGGGGAGGTATCAGGCAACCTGTTCCTTCCTAACGCTTGATGTGGATCTGCTTTATCTTTATATATGTAATCACACTGGCCTCAAAGAAAGCCCCTTTATACCAATAGGCCTGTCTCAATCTGCTGAGGCTGTCTCAGGTTTGTGACACTGAGCTTTTGAAAAAAGAATGCAGGCTATTTATTTGACCCATTTTTCAGGCACTGAGACTTTAGTAAAACATGGTTATGCCTCCTGCATGAACACTCTCTTCTCTCCTTTTTTGACTACTTTTAACTAATTTTCACTTCTTAAACTGTCAGTAATTGCTTCCACATTTCCAGTTGGCTTATACTGCTCTTTCTTTTTTTAGCAACTCTACAGACATTAAGGATTCAGCTCTCTTGTTTCCACCTATACCTCTTCGCTCCCACCCTAATAGTTATAGCATCATTATTAATTAAATCAATAATCAAAGCTTGTGACTAATATGACTGTAAATATTCTCTGCCAGCCCAGTAATATACTATGATTACTTTTCCTCTTAGAAAGCTTTTTCCCATACAGTCTCTAATTGCCTATCTTATTCTCTTATCCTGTCTGCCATTTACATTTCATTAATCCTTTCCAATTATTGTATCAGTTTTTCTACAAAGTCCTTCCTTCAACCCTCCCCTGCCCCTTTTTTTGTTGCTTGCAGTCTTTCATCCCCATGCTTCAATCTACAATGGTTGCTTTCTAGGCCTGCTGTATAACTATCGTATTTCCCATTGGTGCCCCCCTAGGAGGGATCCACTGTTTCCTGGATCCTGTCTTCTGCCTTCTTGTTTTACTCTCTTTGTTTTGCTGGAGTACATCCTCAAGTAGTTTTGAACCTAAGTAAAATGCATGAGACGTAAATTTTCTGGATACAGCATGTCTAAAACCTCAACCCTCACAATTGAGTGGCTGCATATGGAAGTCTAGGTTGAAAATCACTTTTCCTTAAAAATTTAAAAGCATTGTCCCATTGTCTTTTTCACCCAGTGATACTTTTGAGGAGATCCATCATTCTGATTCTTGATTCTCTAAATGTTTTCCCCCTATTGGGAGCTTTTAGGATCTGTCTACTCTTTATTCTTCATATGTTGCGAAAATTTCAGAAGTATGTACCTTGACGAGAGTCTTTTTCACTCATTTTGATGGGCACCCAGTGGACCCTATAAATCTGAATCTGGGTAATCCTAGGTATATACCAAAGAGAAATGAAAACTTGTTATCAAACGCCTGCACACAAATGATTATAGTAACTTTATTCAAAATTATTTACCAAAAATTGGAAACAACCCAGACTTCCTTTAACTGGCAAGTAGACAAAGAAACAATGGAACATATTCAGCAATAAAGGAATAAACTATTGATTCACACAACATGGATGAATCTTAAATGCATTTTGCTAAGTGAAATAAGATAGGTCCATTTGTATGGCTACATATTGTATGATCCCATTTATATGGCACTCTGGAAAGGCAAAACTATAGGGAGGAAAATAGATTAGTGGTTCCTATGACTTGGGCTGACAAGAGGAATTGCCTGTAAAGGAGGAGCATGAGGAAGTTTTGAGGGGCAATGGAACTCTTCCACCTGGAACTGTGGTAGTAGATACCAGGTTCTATGCATTTGTCCAAACCATAGGACTGTATAAAACAAAGAAATAAATTGTGCTATATTTAAATTTTTTTTAAATCAACCAAGATGTGGAGGAAAAGATGAAAAGGAGATTATGACAAATGACTAACTTTATTACAAATTAATTATAATAACCACACTGAAGTGGATGGGGAAGGAGTTGACCTAAATTGCTGTGGAAAGCAGTGCTTTAAATGAATACTGTGAAGCTAAAGACAAAAAGAACTGTATACAAATGCTGTACTATAGTTGGTAAATTTGTTTCTTATTATAGGTGTTGGTTAAGAACTCTGAAACTACCTTACTTGTATATTAAAGTTGAACAAATAAGTAAATATATTACAGATCATATTACCAGTTTTATCACTGTTGGAGAAGGGAGTTACTAATAAGGAAAGGGAGAGGCTAGAATGAATTCTGTGGTGCTGGATTAGAGTTGGAGGTTTTAACAATGTATTCATGTTTTTAAAAATATAGGCAGATAAATATGGAAACACAGATGTGTGTATGCAGTAGTGTACAAACATAAATATCCTAGAAATCTCTACTGGGAGGGGCTAGAAACAGCAGCAATGAACACATCTAGCATCCAGATCTTGGTTTCTAAATACCATTCTCTAATAAAAGAAAGCAAGATTCACTAGAGAACTGGTTGTTCCTGGGGCTAGGGCAGGAAAAATATAAAATAAACCTGAAGCATGTGATGGTGCCAGAAAGAAAGAAAGTGCTTTAAAAAAGAGGGGTGTGTGTATGGGGTGGGGTGCACATATCAAAAGGTCATGGGAGCCAACCTGAAAAAGCTCCCAATGGAACAACTTAAACAAAATAATAGTACTGGATTATAACCCAAAGGATAAAATTAAATCCACAAGTCCACATAGATATAAATATGTGAAGAAATAGATAAACGGGGAAGAAGCAACTACTCTTCCTTACAGAAGAATTTCAATTCGTAAATTTATTAGGAATGAGAGAAAATAGAAAACTGCCATTAGAACACTGTATTAAAAATTAGCAGACAAGAGTTTAAGCAGAAATAGACATTTACATAGTCTCTAAGTATTTCCTCCAAAGTATTTAGTAATTATAAAAAGAAAAATAGTAATTTTATGGTGCAAAGTCCTTCTAAACAGAACCATAGCCAAATGATCAAGGTTAACATCACCAGCAATACACACTGACAACATGTACCCCTGATATCATGCACTGAAAGAGGCATATCATCTCCGAAATGCCTTTCCAAACAATGTATTCACTGCAATCTAATCATGAGAAGATATCAGAAAAACCCAAATTGAGGGACTTTCTGAGAAGCAACTGGAGAAGTACAAAAGTATCAGTTGTGGAATTTAGGGAAAGACTGTGGAACTGTCACAGATTGGAAAAGACCAAGGAGACATAACAATTCAATATAATGTGGAGTCTGGATTGAATTCTGAAAGACAAAAAGGGAATTAAAAGAAAGACTGGTGAAACTGGAATAAGTTCTGTATTTTAGTTAATAGTACTGTATCTAAGACAATTGTACCAAGGATAAATGTTCTACGGTTATAGAAGATGTTAACACAAGGGGAAGCTGAGGAGAAAGTAGGGTACTCAGGAATTTCTGGTACTATTTTTCAACACTTCCCTAAGTCAAAAATTATCTAAAAATAAAAAGTTTCAAAAACAAATTTGAATTAAAATGAGTCATTTTAAATAAGCTAAGTTACAAGTATAACAGCACAGAACAACATGAACCATTGAACAACATGGGTTTGAATAGCACTTATACACGGATTTACTTCTGCCCCTGCCACCCCTGAGACAGCAAGACCAACCCCTCCTCTTCCTCCTCCTCCTCAGCCTACTCAACGTGAAGATGACAAAGATGAAGGCCTTTATGCTAATCCATTTCTACTTAGTGAACAGTAAACATATTCTCCTTATGATTTTCTAAATAACATTTTCTTTTCTATAGCTTAAGAATACAATATATAATACATATAACATACAAAACATGCAAACATACAACATATGTTAGCTGACTTTTTATGTTACTGGTAAAGCTTCTGGTCAGTAGGCTATTAGCAGTTAAGCTCTTGGGGAGTCAAAAGATTTTCGACTGTGAAGGGAGTCAGTGCCCCTAACACCCATGTTGTTGAAGAGTCAACTGTGTATGGCAAAATTCGTGACAGTGATATGTAAATGGCTGATGTGTGGGAACCTATAATAATCTTGACTTAGCACGATGCCTGATATGCAGAATAGATATGTGTCAGGGGAAAAAACTATGGTTCTTCATAACATAACCTTTGAGGGAAGATCTGCTTTCAGAATATCTGATTAAAATCCTAATAAACCTCCTCTTGCAGATAAACACGATAAAATCTAGCCAAAATACGAAGAACAAAGTGCAAAATACAAAGGAAGGAAGGCAACTAGAAAGCCCTGAAAAGCATATTCTGGAGGGAAGTCAACTCGGGAAGAAAAGGATGATACTGGGTAAGCTTTCCATGTTTATGAGTTTGAGGCTGAGAGTTAGCACTACGTGAGGTAGAACACCAACAGAAAAACTGTCTTTCTGGCCTGAAGAACCAGAGGAGAGAGTTCGGAGCAACCACAGACACTGGGAGTGAGGGTATACCCCACAAAAGAGAGAATCAGAAAAGAGCAAACGAAATCCTGCATATAACTCAGCCCAAATCTATGGCTAACCCCGCCCTTGCAAGCCTGGAACAAACTCCAGGAAAGGACAAAATAATTGAACTGAGATTTGAGCTTCAGCTGCTGCCCCAGAGGAGGTGGCAGTTTGAGTTCTTCCAAGTTAATTGTTTGCTAAAACAAAATAATCAAAACTCTTCAGAGGAATACTACAGAATACAAAGTTCCCATAACATAATATTCAAAATAGCCAGGACAGGATCCAACATTGCTTGACCTATGAAAAACCAGGAAAATGTGACAAATTCTCAAGAAAAAGACTTAAAAACAGATCCTGAGATGACCCTGATGTTGGAATTTGCAAACAAGAAATTTATGACAAATATTCTAATTATGCTCAGTGATGTTAAGAAATAGTGAATGATGAGATAGGCAATCTCAACAGAGAAAGAGAAACTATAAAAATGAACCAAGTAGAAATTCTAAGGTAAAAAATGCAATATCTAAAAGAAAAAATATACTGTATGGGCTTAACAGCAAATAAAGATGACAGGAAACAACCAGTGAACTTAAAGATAAATCAACAAGTTATCCAATTTAAAGAGCACTGAAAAAAAAAAGACACTCTTTAAAAAAGAACATGGCACACTCACTAAGATGACAACAACAACAATAATAATGAGAAAATGAGTCCTGGCATGGATGTGGAGCAATTAGAACCCTCTGCTGGCAAGAATGTAAAATAGTGCAGCTGCTGTGAAAAAGTTTGACAGTTTCTCAAAAAGTGAAACAGCAATTCTACAATTACCAATATACCCAAAAGAATTAAAAATAGGTATTCAAACAATAACTTAAAATTAATGTTCCTAGAAGCACTATTTATAAGAGCCATAGAGTAAAAATAACCTAAATGCACATAAACTGATAAATGAATAAATAGATGGTATATCCATGACAGAATATGGTATATCCATGACAGAATATTATTCAGCCATTAAAAAGAATGAAGTACTCATATATGCTACAACATAAATGAACCTCAAAAACATGCTAAGTGAAAGAAGTCAGACACAAAAGGTCACATACTGTATGATTCCATTGATATGAAATATCCAGAATAGGTAAATCCATAAAGGCAGAAAGCATATTAGTGGTTGCCAGGGGCTGAGGCAAGAATAGGAAGTGACTGCTTCACGGGTACTATGTTTCCTTTTAGGGGGAAGAAAATATTTTGAACTAGAAAGAAATGATGGTTGCACAATATTGTGAATATATCAAATGTCAATAAATCATACACCATAACATGGCTACTTTTACTATTTACTATTGTGAATCTCATCTCAATTAAAACAAATTTTTAATCAACAGTACCTCTGTGACCTATAGTACAATACCAAAAAGTTAATACATAATTAGTGTCACAGAAGAAGGCAATAGAAAGAATGGGGCAGAGAGAATATTTGAAAAATAATTATTTCAAATATTTGACTAGAAACTTACCAAAAACATCATGAAAGATTATAAATTTAGAGATTTAAGTTCAATGATACACACACACACACACACACACGCACACACAGAGAGATCTAGATTCCTTTCTTACAACCTACACAGATGTTTATCCCAGAAATTTAATGTAATTAAGCACAATAAAACAATCATATCATTTTAATATATTTAATAAGTATTTAACAAATAACATTCTTCATTATAAAAACTCTCAGCAAACTAGAAATAAAAAGGTACCTCCTCAATCTGATAAAAGGCATCTAGGAAAAACCTATGGCTAACAACACATTTAATTAAGATTAAATAAATGAAGAGCAATACCATGTTTATGGATTATGTCTTAGTCCATTTTGTGCTGTTGTAACAGAATACCAGGGACTAGGTAACTTACAAAGAAAAGAATCTCACAGTTCTGGAGGCTGGGAAGTCCAATATCAAGGTGCTGGCATCTGGCAAGGACCTTCCTGCTTGTCATCCCAAGATGGAAGGCAAGATGTGGAGGTAAAAGGGGGAGGACTGGAGAGGGAGGGAGGGAGGGAGCAAGAGAGAGGGAGAAAGAGAGAGAGACAGAACCAAACTCACCCTTTTATTAAATAAAATGAACCCACTCCCTGTAATAACAAACCCACCCCCAGTCTCCCAGTAATGGCATCAATACATTCATGAGAGCACAGCACTCATGTAACCCCAATCATAATCCCACCCAGGCTTTTTTTTTCCCTTTGGTAGACATGCTGCTTCTAAATTTTATGCAGAAATGCAAAGGACTTAGAATACCGAAAGCAATTTTGAAAAATACAAAACTGAAAGACAACTTGATTCAAGACTATTATAAAGCTACAGCAATCATGACAGTGTGGTTCTGGCATAAGGATAAAAATATCAACCATTAGAACAGAAAAGAGAACCCAGACTTAGATATACACTTTTAATATATCTTATCTTTCTGATAAGAAAGCAGTTCTTTGGGGAGACTTTTCAACAATTGGCCCCACAATAACTGAATATCCACATGGAAAAACTGGACCTAGATTCCTATTTTACAACCTACACATAATAATCCAAGATGAATCACAGACCTCAATATAAAAGCTGAACTTATAAAGCTCTTACAGAAAAACGTGAGAGAATATTTTTTGGCCTGGGATAGGAAAATGGGGGAAGAACCGTTTCTTAGGTCACAAAAAACAATCATAAAAGCAAATAATTCTGCCTTTCCGAGAATGTGTATTGTATAATGAACACGCATCATAGAAGAATCAATCATGTACATTTAGACCCATTATTTAATTTGTGAGTCTCAATTTCCCCATGTGTTTAATAAGGCTAATAATCTCATTGATTTTTTTTTGTAATAATAAAATTGAGAATCTATCCAGAGGTTCTCTCATTTGGCTGATAGGCAATAAATGTTTATCTACTCTTGTTTCCAGTGGTCCACAAAAAGTATGTGCCTAATAACAAAAAAGCAATACTTTCTCCAAAAAAAATCATTAAAAAAAAGTCAAACTAATTCCCCTTTAACAATCACATACTTTGGTCTCCCTTAAAAAACTTTAAAAGTATAATGTAAACTTTAACAGAAACATTACTTATCTAATAGACATACTACTTATACAAAAATCTGTATCTTTAGTGTACATTTACTTTGCATCCATTCTTGTAAATATTTACTTATAGACAGGAAGCAACATTATGCAAAGAATTAAATATTTTCTTAAAATCATCTCTTAAGTCTCTTGAACCCTAAAATTTTCTGTTACAAGTTTCTTATTTCTAACTTACCAAGAGGTTGATCTTCAGGTGCTACAAGTGGTTATGCTTTGAAATACAAAATTGCTGACATATACAAGGGCTTTTCCCTTCCAAACCCAGATTAATTTTAATATGAAATATTAATTGGTTAATTCCACATGGTTCCAATTTGATGTAATTTAATTAGCTAAGGGCGTAGATCACACCTAAATCAAATACTTTACAAAAAAAAAAAAAAACTATCCCATGGTAGCTTAAAGATAACTGCAAATCACTGAAAATACTTCTCATTGATTCACAGTGAGGACTATGCCCCCTCCACTTGAATCTGAGCAGGTTCTGTGACCGCCTGACCAATAGAATATGATGGAGGTGATGCCATGATAGTTTCTGGGCCCAGGCCTCAAAGAAGAGGCAGTTTCCACTTCCTGCCTCCTAGAACCCAGCTGCCATGCTGTGAGGAAGCCCAAGAAGAAAGTACTGTGAGGAAGAACTGAGACCCCTGGTTTAACTCCAAGCCAAATGTCAGCACTAACTTGTCAACCATGTAAGTGAGCCATGTTGAAAGTGAAGTTTCCTGCCCCACCTGTGACACCCTGGTTGACACTCGAGGATCAGAGACACGATGTTCTTGCCAAGTCCTTCCCAAACTATAGATTTGTGATGAGAATAAATTGTTGTTTTTCTAAGCCTCTACTTTTGGAGTAGTATGTTATACAGCAACCGATACTGGACCATTTCCCAATATTACATACTCATAATCATAAACTGACTTCTCAAAATGAAAGCCTGAACATACCAACCCCACTGCCTCAAAGCTAAGTTAATCAAATCTAATATTTGTATGGTTCAAAAGGCCACGGAGTTCAGAAACAAACAAACAAAAACAGCCAGGCACCTGAAAACTCTTCACTGCTTCTTTATTATGATGCACCCACAGTACAGAACCTCTCACACATCTGTGAAAGGGGAAGGTTACATTTCTTTTTGGGGAGCACCTTCATTTTTGTTTCTGTTACCACTTTGAAGAAAGCAAATCATTTCCAAAGAAAAACATTTTAAATTCCAAGTGTTTAAGACTCAGCTTGTATTTTGTGGTGTTTGAAAAGGAAGTAGCATGTTTTAGCCAGAGGTGGAAGATTGTTTTGTGGCATTTTAAGTTTGATGTGGATCAGAAGTCTTCACTGTCTGGTTGAACCAGTCTATAATTTTCATATGCAACTTTTCATATCAAAAATGTTTCATTTTTACCTCTACTCACAAAGAGATGCTGTTTAAAAAAACACACACACAGCTAAATTTAAAACCGATCATGAACCACAGCATTACTAACAGGGAAAATGAACTTTTGCTGCCCTCTCCTGCTAAAACAATGAAATACTAAAATACCAAAAGATTTATGAAGCTAAAGCGAAGTCCTCAAACCAAAAGCAACAGACATGTCATTCTCATTATACTTCAATCAAAAATCAGACAACAACCAGAAAATGCATTGGTAATATTTATATTTGAAAATTCCCCATTGATACATGAGGTTTGGATTACAACTTATTTACAATAAGTGATTTCAAAAAAAGTAAAGAAAGAGGAAGGGAAGAGGGAAGGAGGAAAAGAGAAGCTGAGAGAGAAAAAAAAAAGAGAAAGGTGGGGGAAGGAGGGAGGGAAGGAAGAAAAGGAAACCTATATTCATAGACATCATAATATGGGATGTTTATTTCCAAGAGAGATACTACTGCTGCTATCGTGCACAAGAAGCAGCACAAATTAACATTCCGCTAGATCACAATTTGCTCAACTTTCTCTCAAGATGCACAATCCTTCTTTTAGGTTTTCAAAATTAAATATAGAGGAATATAAAATGCAATGCCAATATACCTACTACAAAAATCTTTGTGGCTCATTCCTTAACTCCACTCAGAGAAGCAGCTGAGCCAGAATACAAAAATAAAAATATTGATGTGCAAATAAAACATCAGTGATCATGTCTGGTGCCACCTTTTTGTTACAGGTGACTGTCACTTTATGATAACATTGGTAATAGCATCAAAAGAGAATCTCTTCATTTCCTGGGCCAGGTCAGTGCATCCAATTAAAAGGAAAAAAGGAAAACAAGGAAAAAAAACCACCCCAAACCCCAAAAAACTCTAAACACTTAAAAATGCCAATAACATCCATACATCCCTTTCCCATCCCACCCTCATCCCCACAAAAAAATAAAAAAGCTTTTAAAGCTCTAAATATACTTTTTTTGTTTCTTTCCATAGTGTGATTGAGCCTAGGGCTATACATTTAAGTATAGCAGGTGCAATTACAAGCAAGTCCTGGCTCTGCACCCTGGACTATCCCACGCATAGGAGGTACAAAATAAATTAAACCCTTTCATTTAGGCAAACAAGCCCAAGATGAAGGAGCATAACCCTGCTTGTGAGTATCCAGTGGCATCGAGGGTATTATTTATTTCTTTTTTTTTCTTTTCTTTTATAAAAAACAGTCAAATGTTAGGGAGAGCAAAATATAATAAAATTTAAAAGGACAAAAACTCAACACTGAAGGAAAACAACTGGGGATACTTCACAATGAGAAACAGGAATGCATGCTTGATTCAAAGTATGAGATGGGTGAATTCACTCACATAGTTGTTCTAGGCCCACAGCCTAAGGCCTCAGCGTCATTCTAAACCACAGGGTTGTGTGTATTTTTCTCTTCCAAAGACACTCTTAATCCTATCCCTGAAACCAATATGGTAAGGATAAGGTTGGAGTGATCATCACTCACTAACTACAATATTTGCTATTTAAAAAATATATTTATATATAGTTCTGGAAATTATGAAGCAAACAAAATATAACACAAAGATGCATTTGTCACAATTAACTCAAGTTGCAGCAACAGCAGAATTGTGGGAAGGGACAGAGAGAGAGGGCTGCTGCAAATGCAGCAAGTACGTCCTGAAATATGTCACATAGTGCAACAGTCAGATTACCTCAGTTACTCTGCGTCACCGCACACAACATGACTAATGTCACATTGTCACTTTCCATTAAAAAAGAAAAAGACGGTGTTTCTTCTCAGAAGTTGCCCTACGAATTTTAGACATATAGCTTTAATTGATTCTATAAATATGTCTAAAATGTGGCTTTATTCTTCTCAGTTTGGAATGATCAACATACAAAATTGACATCAAGGAGGAGAGCTGTAAGTGTTCACCTTTACTCTTGAAGACAGGGTAAGGTACAAAAAAGGATCCTGGCCTTTCTCATTTCAAATGACTGCATTTCATTCCAATGAGCAGAGATTCTTCATAAACCTGTGATTTTAATGTCTTCTACCTAAAAAGATGAATTAATGGCAAACAAAAGTTTACACTATATAAACTAAATATAATGCAGAGTTGAAACTAAAGGGCTAAAATGACAAGGGCTAAAAAGGAGAAGATTTGTTACAAATTTATTTTTTATCACATTGTTCCAGCATTTTTAAAGTCAGTTGTTTCGTCTTTGGCAGCCTCTGCCAACTTTACAGTGAATCCCCATCAATGTTCTTTAAAAAAAAAAAAAAAAAAACTATTAATTCCATTAAACCATGTTGCGTCTGGTGTTGCATATGACTTTTTTTTTTTACTGCTTTTTTTTTTCTTTTTGGAATTAACAATGCCAGTTTTGTTTGTTTTTTTACAAAGTTACCGAGATGACAATATCCATAATTAGCTGACTCTTACGTACACACTGTGACCTGATCATCCTGAAAAACTTTATGGGGGAGAAAGGTCAGCAGCTTCTCTTTCTTTTTCTTGAAAATAATAAAACTGCGTATTCTACTTTATATTTAAATGTAAGGAAGAAAATATACAAGCCCATATTTATATTGTATTTCTATTAAGAGCAACAATAGTTCATATGTTCATGTTTGCTACTATCACAATTCAACATATGAACACAGATCAGCTCTATACCATGAATACTGCTGGAAGTGATGGTTTAGGATTACCAACTCACTGCTGCCATGACCAAAACAAGCAAATGCATCCTGGAAATAAACCTCCAAACACATATCTTTCAGTACGTAATAATGCAACTGCATTAGGTAAGTACATACTGTACACAAATTTTATCAGCAGTTTACCTACCCAAGATGTAAGATTCTTCATTTAAATACAAAGCAGAGAGCCAATAAGATATATATATATATATATATATATATATATATATAAAATACAGCCCTAGATTTTGTTTTTTTTGTTTTTTTTTCTTAAACAATTTGGTCACGATGCACCTTTGATATAAAAGCATTTTTAAACTTTATTATTAATACTCAGGACATTAGGAATTTCCAGATTTTTTTCAGTAGCATTTGTAGAACCACTTTTGGTAACAAATACAGTAGTTAGGAATATGCATCCAATTCAGAATGCATAATAATGTTTATCCTGAATCCTTTCCGGCTAAAAACAGGGCTGGCGCTGTGATGAGATATAGAACGAGAATCTACAAAAAACACTGTAACATGTTTGTTTTTTCCCAGAGGCTACATCCTCTTTTGCTGGAATACTTTATAAATACATATTAAAAAGTAAGGCAACAACTCCAAACAGTCCAAGCTGTTTGCTCAACTCTTTTCCCAATTAGATTTGCAATCCCGGTGATCAATTTCATGGTTGTATTGTTTAGTGTTTGTCTTTCTTATTTCAAATGGTCCAAAAGGATGTTTTTCTCACATTTCTAAAACATCTCTGGTATGTGTGTTCAATGATATATGCAACTAATACTGGTCAGGTACTGAAGCCTGTGATGTCCCAGTGCCTGTTTTCAAAGGATTCAAGACATTGATTTGGATTCACCATAAACTGATGCATGAATCCGATATTCCCTTCCCTACTATGTTTATCACCTCTTCTCTCTTAACTCCTAATTTTAAAACTAAAGGAGTACCAGGACTACCTGGTTACTGGAAAGATGTTCACCCCAGTAAACAAAACTTTTATCAGGGACTTTTATAATTCATGACCCCATTCCACGTGGACATTCAACTCAGGAAGATGTGCAAAAGAAAAAGATGTTAAATTACAGTCAAGTTATCCAGAGGAGGATGTTACACAAACTTATAAGGAAATGACAGTCTTTTTTTCTTCCTTTACTATAAATACATTTAACAGCTTAGCAGAAAGACAAGCTAAATTTAAGATTGTTCACATTTGAAAATTGTATCATACTCTCTGCTAGTGATAAATAAGGAACTCCCGATAATGGAATTTTAACATAGCAATTTCATCAACAGATCTTTGAAGACCGATTTTTTTTTTTAAAAGAGGGTGAGAACAATGATTATGTTTGCAAAGTTCTGAGAAGTCCATCTACTGTCCAAACTTTGGATTGAAGTCCTTATTTTGTTTTTTCCTTTACTTAGAGACAGGTATATACAGTGCTGCTGTAATAATGAAACAAAGGTGAAATCTACTGTAAAGTTGCACAATACAGAAAACTGTTGCTCCATCTTCTACTACATAAACGTGTGACTCCACAGGTTAGTAATGTTGTTGTCATTGTTTTTGTTAAGTTGGAATTATTCCATCACGTCTAAGACCTCTCTTTAACTCCAGATCCTCCAATTTTTTCCACAATTCTTCACGCTCCTTTTCTTTCTTTTTCTCACTGAGGAAGAAACAGAATACAATGTAAACAGCTGAGGTTTAATGAGATTATGCAACAATGAATATTTTACAATTTCACCTTAACACTCCTTTATACTTAGCTTAATTGAGAAAATTAACTTTAAAATTACTAAGAAACAAAAATGGGAATGACTTATATGCATCAGTTATTGTAAAATCAAGGGCATATTAGTGATTTTCACTTGCAGCTTAGTAAGAATCTTAATTTTTCTTTATCTCCAAATAGTTTCTCAAAAAGGATGCTGGAGATGACACTGATACAGAGAATATAGTAGGTCAAGAAAATATATCTGCTCCTTTATTCCTATTTTTCCCACCTCATGCATATTTAAATTCTTCAGTAGTTTAGAAGAAACTGAAAACTTGTGATTTCACTTTTAATGATCTGAAAAGAACTTGGTTGATATTATTAAGTATTAAATTTTAATGCATCAAGCCTTCAAATTGGGTTCAATATCAATTTCACTGATTTTAAATTTAGTGATTTTCAGACTTTGAGATTTCACTATTTGGTAAAACTTCCCCCAAAAATTAGATGTCCAAATTAGAATCGACAAACTTTATATTTTGCCAAGGACATTTTAAAATTACATTTTTACAAAAAAAGGATTTTTAACATCAACCAAGTAGGAAGTACATGATGCAGGAATATAAGACTATATTGTAAGTTATATAAATTCACATTTACTAAAAATAATTCACTACACTGTCTCTGGTTTTTTTCCATGTTGCAGCGAACCAATAAAAAGCAGACCCAGGCTGGGCGCAGTGGCTCACGCCTGTAATCCTAGCACTTTGGGAGGCCGAGGCGGGTGGATCATCAGTGAGACCCCGTCTCTACTAAAAATACAAAAATTAGCCGGGCATGGTGGCGTATGCCTAGAGTCCCAGCTACTTGGGAGGCTGAGTCAGGAGAATCGCTTGAACCCGGGGGGCGGAGATTGTGGTGGACGGAGATTGCAGCGAGCCGAGATCACACCACTGCACTCCAGTCTGGGGGACAGAGCAAGACTCCGTCTCCAAAAAAAAATAAAAAAAAAAAAATGCTGATCCAGATTAACATTCATAAATCCAGGAATTCAGATAATTCCTGAAAATGGGGGCTCCACCATCTCAGGCATGGGGATGTAATCCATGCACTACCCCACTTAGCAAGGATTAAAACTTCAGCCACAGTACAATTTCTACGCAGGGAAATCCACATGGGTTGAGTGAAATTTGTATGTAATTCCAATGCCTCATTTTTTTTAAAACATTATAACCAATGTTTTTTAAAAGTTATATTAATATCTAGAGCAATAGAGATTAATCTTCATCCCCTCCAACTCCCAAAAAACTCAAGAAAAACCTAAGTAATTTTATATTCTTATTCCACTAGAGACTTGAGGAAATGTTGAATTATAATGCCATAATAGTCTGGTATTAACCAGAAATGTTTAAGACCATATGGGAGCACAAACCAGTGGAACTCTTTACAATAAATGTTTATGGCTTAGTAAAGCCATATGGTAATTAATATCATGATCTAATAGGTAATATTTTCATAACTTAGGCCTTGTTTACCATAATTAGTTTCAGCTATCTCAAATACAAATCTGCACAATATAAATTTCAGTAAGCAGACTAGTTTTCATAAAATTACCTATTTGTTAATTTTGACCCTGAAAAAATTGCACTTATAGGACAATAAGGGCAAGATTAGATAATCCTCCAATCTTCTTCTGGCTTTTTTGTTTTTGCTTTTGTTCTTTTCTTAGAGTCAGGGTCTCATTCTGTTGCTCAGGCTAAAGTGCAGTGGCACAATCATAGCTCACTGTAGCCTCAATCACCTGGGCTCAAGCAATCCTCTTGCCTCAGCCTCCTGAGTGGCTGGGACTACAGGTGTGCACCACCACTCCTGGTGCATTCCAGATTCTAAACATAATCAAGCTGTTTGACAAATTATCACTTTTTGTTTCTCAGTACAGTCTGGGAATAATTATGAGGTCTAAATCAATGTTAGCAAAAAACACAATTTGGGTATATATAAATCAATTGTATAGATCCTGCTGACTTTCGATGAATATGACCTTTTTATTTGGAGAGATAAGGGGATGGTAAGCAAGGGCTTGGAATTTTACTCAACTAAAAAACATTTCAATGTATTTCAGGTTCACATTGCCCTAATTTGCAGTTTTAACCCATTTATGCCAGAGGTTGTAAAACTTTCTTGTGAAAAATCAGACCTTGACGATGACCTTGAGCAGTGGGATAGAAATAACTCCCACAAGCTTAGCGTTCCAATAATGGAACACTAGGCATAAATTGGTTAATTAAGTGTTGACATCATTAAAACATTCATCATCTTGTTACTAAAGTGTTTCATGTTTTTGATCAAATATGGCACTCAATGCAATTTATCCTGTTGGGCTTTTCCTCCAACTGAGCATTATGCTCAGTTATCACACGGCTTTCATACTGACAACTCTATCTTTAAAAATCCTAAATATTGCTGACACAGTTATTGTCACCCCCAATCTTTCCCACTTTTCTCTCTCCCTGTAGGTGGAAATTTTAACGCTTAACCACACTGTCATGCAGGGGATATTGTCAAATTCTCTTCTAATTTCAATTTTACATAGCACTAATGTTGGCATATGTATCTAACAGTGTTAAGTACTTATTCCACCCACCATTTTCAGATTTGTAATACTTCAAAATTTGATCTGAACTGAAACCATTAACTTCTTGCCATCCTGAAGTAAAATTGTCCATTCAGTTATTCTCTGACAGTACCAACTAAATTTCTTCATTCCCTTGTCCTATTCCCACACCTATGGAGAAACCAATGTTTCCATCTGTCAGTACACCCTTCTATTGCTCATTTGACAAATTATTATTCTTGCTTTTAAAAACCCATTTTCTTTTTTTTTTTTTTCGAGACGGAGTCTCGCTCTGTCGCCCAGGCTGGAGTGCAGTGGTGTAATCTCGGCTCACTGCAAGCTCTGCCTCCTGGGTTCACGCCATTCTCCTGCCTCACCCTCCCGAGTAGCTGGGACTACAGGCACCCGCCACCACGCCCTGCTAATTTTTTGTAGTTTTAGTAGAGACGGGGTTTCACCATGTTAGCCAGGATGGTCTCGATCTCCTAACCTCGTGATCCGCCCGCCTCGGCCTCCCAAAGAGCTGGGATTCCTCTTGTTGCCCAGGCTGGAGTACAATGATGCAATCTCTGCTCATGGCAACCTCCCCTTCCCGGGTTCAAGTGATTCTCCTGCCTCAGCCTCCTGAGTAGCTGGGATTACAGGCATGTGCCTCCACGCCCGGCTAATTTTGTATTTTTTAGTAGAGATGGAGTTTCTCCATGTTGGTCAGGCTGGTCGCAAATTCCCAACCTCAGGTGATCCGCCTGCCTTGGCCTCCCAAAGTGCTGCGATTACAGGCGTGAGCCACTACGCCTGGCCCCCATTTTCTCATTAAGAAAGTACACTCATTATAAATAACTGTAATATGCCAGAATATCATAATCAACCTCAACCAGGAATAGATAAAATAATAGTTTTATCTATTCCTGGTCCCCTTAGTTAATTCTCATCTTTTTCAAGGGTTTAGTCTATTTAGTTTAGATAATAACCAGAAAATAGTTTTATTATTGAAGTTCACTAAATACAAACCAAATAATTTGAGTGGAAATAAGTTGTTCTTCAATATTCTCTCTCTTTTTTTTTTTTTTTTTTTTTTTTTTGAGACAGAGTCTCACTCCAATGTCCAAGCTGGAGTACAGTGGCATGATCTTAGCTCACTGCAACCTCCACCTCCCGGGTTCAACTGACCCTCCCAACTCAGTCTCCCTAGTAGCTGGGACCACAAGCGCATGCCACCGTGCCTGGCTAATTTTCATACTTTTAGTAGAGACAGGGTTTCACCATTCGGCCAGGATGGTCTCGAACTCCTGACCTCAGATGACCCGCCCGCCTCAGCCTCCCAAAGTGATGGGATTACAGGCGTGAGCTACCGTGCCCAGCCAAGTTCTTCAATATTCTTGATGAGATTCTACGGATTTAATCCTGGTTCAACTAGGATAATAATAATGTGCTTTCAGAGAAGATGTTATGCACAAAGCACCTTTAACGATGCAACACAGTATTAAAATGTACCCTTGGCCGTTTTTTTAAGTAACATCCTTTAAAGATTTTAAGTTTGGGGCAAGGAGGGTTATCATAAATTTATAATTTGCAACAATCGCTAATATACTGAATTAAAAGTTGTTTAGGGCTGGGCGCGGTGGCTTACGCCTGTAATCCCAGCACTTTGGGAGGCCGAGGCAGGTGGATCATGAGGTCAGGAGATCGAGACCATCCTGACTAGCACAGTGAAACCCTGTCTCTAGTAAAAATACAAAAAATTAGCCAGGCGTGGTGGCGGGTGCTTGTAGTCCCAGCTACTTAGGAGGCTGAGGCAGGAGAATGGCATGAACCTGGGAGGCGGAGCTTGCAGTGAGCTGAGATCGCGCCACTGCACTCCAGCCTGGGCAACAGAGCAAGACTCCATCTCAAAAAACAAAAAAAAAAAAGTTGTTTAAACTGTGAGTATGGAATAACATATCCCATAATTGATAATAATCCCAATATTCTGGGTAAAAAATCCCAGCCTCTTCTGAGATTCTCAGCTAAATACTCACCACATTCCATAATTAAGTTGGTTTTCATAAACCACATCCCTGGTAACTTAAAACAAAAAAATCATTGCAATGGTCCCTCTGCCATCAAACCTTTCCCCTCATTGCTCTTTTTATCAATAAAATGCAAGTTGACAGACTAAAAATGAGACAAAGCAAAGCACCAAGGGAACCAGAGAGGTTCAGCAAGACCCTGGGTATGAACACTCGCACACATCTCTGGGTCCTCTAAGGTCCATAGCTTTATGATATACAAAGCTGACATCTGCTTATGGATGATCAAAGCCAAACCACAGGCGCAACTACTAAGAGCTCTCTAGACTTCTATAATCTCCCCAAGTACATCTTTTGGAAAGTAGAATGCATTGGACAAGATTTTTACTAAGCCATAAGCATTTATTGCAAAGAGTTCCACTGGTTTGTTCTCCCATATGGTCTCAAACATTTCTGGTTAATACCAGACTATTAACCTTCATGTTCTTTTCACTGATCTTTAAATTGTAATAAATTTGTTGGGTTCTAGTAAGTCCTGGGCCCAAGAGCTAGATAAATGGTGCCTCATTCCCCCTGCTATTGGAGTGAAGTACAAGATCTGCCCAATTATACTTCAAGTAAGTTCAGAGTGGGAGTGAATCCCAGAGAGCAAACTACCTGATGGTCCCTTTAAGTGAACCTAAAATACCAGTTAAATGCTGGGCTCTTAACCCTGAGGCAGAAGTGAAATATTATTAAAGAAAGGAAAGAAAGCGGGCTTTATCAAAATGAGTGTCAGGAAGCTTTGTTACTCAGTGGCACAGTAATAAATAAATAAAGACACAGTTAATAAGTGTGCAAAAATGAATATATAAATACAGTCATGTGCCAAATAACAACATTTCGGTCAACACAGACCACATATACCACGGTGGTCCCATAAAATTTTAACAGGGTTGAAAAAGGCCTACTGCCTAGTGATTTGTGTTACAATTGGCTACGGTATTCACCACAGGTTTGTAGCCTGGGAAGAACAGGCAATACTACATAGTTCAGGTGTGTCATAGTAGGCTACACCATCTAGGTTTGTGTAATTACTGTATACTTATGATGTTCACACAATACAATTGCCTAAGGATGCATTTCTCAGAACATATACTGGTTGTTAAGTAATGCATGACTGTAAACAAAATTGTGCTGCTTAAGATTTGGGGTACAATTAGGCAACTTCAGCAAAGAGCAAGGAAAAAACTCAATAGCTTTATGCACAGCTGACAAAAAAGCTTTAAAAAGTTACCGCTGACGATCTGACTTGTATGTGGCTGTCAGCTCGTCAAACATGGTGCTGTTCATTTCCATAAATGCCTTCAACACATTGTACACCAACGCCACAATAGCCCTGGAAAGCACAGAAAAAAAGGAGTGTGTTAGTTAGTCTTATAAAATGGGATACTGAATGAAGAAAGCAAAAGCACAACTTTTGTCTGAATGATTTCTCGTACTGCACACTGTCTGTATCCTTTTTTAGTTGGAACAACTGAAAATGACCTACAGTTCATTTCCACATCAAGAGATTTCAAGGCAAGATAATTTTCTGAGGGGTGGTAGAACTAGAAAAAAAATCTAACTTTGCCCTTCTAATTTCTTTTTTTTTTTTTTTGCAACGGAGTTTCGCTCTTGTTGCCCAGGCTGGAGTGCAATGGCACCATCTTGGCTCACCGCAACCTCCGCCTCTTGGGTTCAAGCAATTCTCCTGCCTCAGTCTCCTGGGTAGCTGGGATTACAGAAGCGAGCCACCACACCTGGCTAATTTTGTATTTTTAGTAGAGACGAGGTTTCTCCATGTTGGTCAGGCTGGTCTCGAACTCCCAACCTCAGGTGATCTGCCTGCCTCGGCCTCCCAAAGTGCTGGGATTATAGGCGTGAGCCACCACACCTGGCCTGCCCTTCTAATTATTGGCACCCAGAATAGAGCTGCCTGTGGGCATTTGATAATTTCATTTAATAAAAAGGCAAGTATAATAGTAAAGCAATTTCACCCTAAAATAAGGATCTGTGATAGCACTAACCTTAGACATCTGAATTTGCATAGAATTCTATTTTCTAAATAACACATAATTCATCAAAATCAGAAGCTACTTCCCTAGAAACAAATGTTATATATATATGTGTATATATATAAATTATTCTTATCCAAAGAAATGAAATCAAGCCCTCATGTAGGTTGGGTGGTTCAATATGAATTATCTGTCTAGCTCTGATCTGCACCAGTCCTGCTGACCCAAAATATATGCTGATAACTGGCAAGCTGGGATGGTTGCTATTAGCTATGGGACACTATACAGCTAAACAGCCAAAATGGTAGCCCATACTTAACAAGAATTAGCTCTTGGGCAATGTGAGGACAAGGTTATGATGGGCTTGATAGCTTCAGACTAGAGTCTAAATAGCTTTTCCTTTTGCAAAAATATCCGTTGCTTCCGTTTTGCAACAAACATGCTCCTAATACCACTGAAAAATGCATTGGTAAAAATTAGCCATATATTAAATAAACCATGAGTCTGATGTTTCCAAAACATTTACAAGAAAGTACACTTGCTGTGTAGCTTCTGCCTTGTGCCATTAAAAGGAAAATTTAAGTTCTTTTCTGTTAAGGTTCCAGAATGACCTTCCTCCCAAGGGCAGTGATGGGAAAGCACCAAATGTAGTATACTGAGTAGTTACAGACACTTGCTAGAACCGTTCTCTAGGTCCTCAAGAGACTATCTGTATAAAGGGACTTAACTGTTTATCAGCTCCTTATTTTTACAAGTTCTATTAATATAATTAGGCAAATTTGAAAAATTAGAAATGTGATATTTTATAATTACATGCAAAATTTTTAAAGATAAACATATTATGAATATACTGAATTGTATCTCCCAATTTTTAAATACCACATTAAATTTTCCTTCTATTCCACAGAGAAAAATGTAAAGGCATTCAAATTCAGAATGCTTTAACTTTCATAGGGCTGGATGTTAAACTTCCCTTGATGATTTTAAACTCCTTCCTTTCCAAGAGATACATATAGCGACTGAGTTGGCTGTTAAATAGATCACACTAAAATGAAAACCTAGTCAGACCACTTCCCCACTTAACAACCCTTCAGTACTTCCTCATCATCTACTTGGTGAAGGCTCACACGAGTCCCACAGTCTTTTCTAGCCACATCCTCTAGCACCCTCCCCAAAAGACCTTGTGCCTCAGCCCTCCCAAACTCACAGGTCTCAGAAACTGACAGCTGCTTTTTACATCTTTGTGCCTTTTAACATGATGGATGGACCCACTGTCTGAAAGGGCTCTCCCCATGCCATCCACCTGCCAAATTCCTTTCAGATTCAGTCTAAGCATGGCCATGCTGTCAGTATCTACACACCTCTCCTCTCAGCTGCAGTGCCTCCCCAAAAGATCTGCTACCTTCATAGACAGATCAAGAAGCCTGTCTAGTAAACAGATACTTTAACCGGTATTTTGTTAAAGTATCTGTTTATTTTCTCCAGTCAGTGAATCCCCAGAAGGTAAGGATTTTATCTTTTCACATACGTCTTCAGCAACAAGGACAGCATCTGGCACATAATAAGGCTGAAGGGAAAGAAAGAGAGGAAGGGAGGAAGAGAACGGAGGAAAGAAACTGAAAACCTACGGATTCCAATGTTCTTTTGAAATCCTATAAAGGCTGGAAAACATGATGGGAAGGATGACGTTAGAGTTTTCTTCTATCAAACTCATGATGTATTCATTATTCCAATAATAGAGTGCTCTTTCTGCCACCTTTGGGAAAAGAAAAATAAAATGTTAAGAGAGAGAAAAAGACAAAGATAAAACAAAATTATAAATCTTTCCAAACAAAAGTATTTCAAAAGGCTATTTGTAAATCATTCAATTAGAGGTAAAATTAAATATTAATCACATTTTAATATATATATATTTTTTGAGATGGGAGTCTCGCTAGTGGCGCGATCTCGGCTCTCTGCAACCTCCGCCTCTCGGGTTCAAGCGATTCTCCTGCCTCAGCCTCCCGAGTAACTGGGATTACAGGCACATGCCACTATGCCTAGCTAATGTTTGTATTTTTAGTAGAGGCGGGGTTTCACCACATTGGCCAGGATGGTCTCGATCTCCTGACCTCGTGATCCGCCCACCTCAGCCTCCCAAAAGTGTTGGGATTACAGGCGTGAACCACCGTGCCTGGCCCACATTTTAAATGTTTGTGGATTTTTAATCTCTTGGAAAATTCCAAAGTGGGCCAGGCACGGTGGCTCACACCTGTAATCCCAGCACTTTGGGAGGCCAAGGCAGGCAGATCACTTGAGCCCAAGAGTCTGAGACCAGCCTGGGCAACATGGGGAGACCTCGCCTCTACAAAAACACAAAAATTAGCCGGGATTGGTGGCATGTGCCTATAGTCCCACCTACTTGGGAGGCTGAGGTGGGAGGACTGCTTGAGCCTGGGAGGCGGAGGTTGCAGTGAGTGGAGATCATGCCACTGAACTCCAGCTTGGGTGACAGAGCAAGACCGTGTCTTCTCCTCCCACCAAAAAAAAAGTCCAGAGTGGTTCAAGTGGTTCATCGACTCAGGGAAGGAAAAGAAGTTTTCCTGTTAATTTATATTCTTCTCTAATTCTGCCCATGTCATCTGATTCCACACTTTCCTGACATCACTTTAGCACATCTCACTGGTCCCCTTTCTTATGTTTTTCATCACACACACTTAGATCGAACCCAGGGCCCAGCATATGGTTAGCATTCAGTCACAGCTACTGAGGAACACCCACAGTTGCTCATCCCTGTAGAGCGGCCAATATTTACTAAGTACCTCCTATGGGCAGGCACTGTGCCTACACAGCAAGTAGAATGTATCATCCTTACCACCATCCCAGAAGGAGATACCATTGTGCTCATTTTACAGGTGAGGACACAGAGACTCAGGGAGACTGAGTAATGTAGGCAAGGTTACACTGACAATATGGTAAAGACTGGGGCCTCATTTCTAGGGCTTCTTCCAGAGTTTGTTTCTGGTCCCTTCCTGTGCAAGCCAGGAGATGTCTGCTCAGTTTCTGGTCTCAGGGACACTGGCTGCACCTACCCTCTCTGCTCTCTTAGATCCCTTTTCTCTGCCCACCATGCTATCAACTGGCTCTAATTTGGTCTGCTGGGCCTGATTGGCTCATCTTGGATTTCATGAATTCAAAAGAACATCTCAAAAACAAAACCTAAAATCTCTAAAAAGGGTAGTTACAGGGGAAAAGGGAAAAAGGGGTGGCTTCCTTCATTTATACAGATTAAGAAGCCCTGTTTTAGAAGAGAACAAAATGGTATAAGATGTATCTACCGAAAGACACTGAGAAAACAGAATTTTTCCATTTACATTATTCAGCTTGGTTCAAAAAACAAAACAAAACCCTGAGACTCATTAGGCACCAGACCCTGAGAGTACAAAGAAAACAATCATTACTGCATGTTCACTATATGCCAGGCACTGTGCTAAGTGTCCCACATATATAATATCTCATTTCCTCACAACCAACAGAGTTGGTACCATTACTTTTCTATTTTGTGGATGAAGAATCTGAGACTCAGAGAAGCCATTGGCTCAAGGTCACATGGCTAGTAAGTGGCAGATTCCAAAGTCTCTATTCTTAACCTCTTTACTCTGTTATCCCTAAAGAGTTCGCACACTGGTGGGAGAAGGGGCATCTACAAGCCTATCCAATGTAAACTGTGACAGATGCTATATCAGATATATGAATAAAGTGTCAGGGGAAGGAGGGGAAAAGAGCAGAATCAACAATCCAGATGACTTGGGAAACAGAAGGGTGGCAGAAATGTAACATAGGTGGGGCTGGGTGTGGTGGCTCATGCCTGTAATCTCAGCACTTTGGGAGGCCAAGGTGGGTGGATCATTTGAGGTCAGGAGTTCGAGACCAGTCTGGCCAACATGGTAAAACCCCCATCTCTACTAAAAACATAAAAATTAGCTGGGCATGGTGGGGCATGCCTGTGGTCCCAGCTACTCGGGAGGCTGAGGCACAAGAATCGCTTGAACCCGGGAGGCAGATGCTGCAGTGAACTGTGACTGTACCACTGCACTGCAGCCTGGGCAACACAGCAAGACTCCATCTCAAAAAAAAAAAAAAGAAGAAAGAAATGTAACATAGGCAAGTGGCATTTAAGCTCGGCTTCGAAGGATGAAGGAAAGGGCATTCCAGGTAGAGGGCATTAAGGAAAGGAGGACAGAGGCATGGACGAGGACAATGTGTTTGGGAATCATCAAAGCAAATGACGTAACTGACACAGATAAAGCAGGAGGCAAGGAGAGGGAGAAAAAAAGGAGTAAGAATGAGGCTGTTCTGAACATTCTAACTGGTTAGAGGAAAATCCTAGGTGCCTCCTTCTTTACTGGCATCCTCCCGTGGTCTCTTTGGACATTCCTCCAGAATCCAATATTTACCTGCCATTTAACTCTAACAACTTCCTTAATCTCTTATATATCCATTTTAATATGTAAACCCACTAATAAAAGTATGTATCCAGCCCCTTAAAGAGGAAAGGTATTGTTTATGCAAAGTTAAAAATTACTGTGTCTGACAACAGGACAGAGCCACTACTTTCCTGGGATCCACTGTCCTTCTGCACACACAGAGGCAGTGTCACCAGCGTGCAGACCTCAGATCTTAATGCCATACCTGAAGCAAGCAATGATAAGTGTCTGGCTACATAAGGCGGCCACTCAATAAATGGATGAACCAGCAAATTCATTAATAAATGTTTGTGGATGAACCAGCAAACATTTATTAATGAACACTTAATAAATAAGAGCCTCTTCCCTTTGTTCTCAATTTTACTTCTGCCAAATAATTTAAAATCCTTTTTTCTTTCTTCGACAAATTGAATTGTGTCCCCTCCACAATTCATATGTTGAAGTCCTAATCCCCAACGTGACTATATTTGGACACAAGACTTTTAGGAGGTAATTAAGGTTACATGAGCTCATAAGGGTGGGGTCCTAACCAGATAATACAGGGGCCTTATAAGAAGAGGAAGAGAGTGAGATTGCCTCTCTCTGTATGCACATGCCAGGAAAGGCCACGTGAGCATACAGCAAGAAGAAGGCCATCTGCATGCCAGAAAGCAGGATCTCACCAGAAACCAACCATGCTGTCATCCTGATCTCAAACTTCTGGCCTCCAGGGCTGTGAGAAAATAAATGTCGTTTAAGTCGCCAGTCTTGTTATGGCAGCCCAAGCTGACAAAGACATGGCCTCTCTTTTCTAAGCTTCTGAGTAACGCTTAGGCCTTTCTGGTGATGCTCTTTTTTTTTTTTTCTCCTTTCTTTTTTCTTTCTTTTTTTGTTTTTTAGATGGAGTTTCGCTCTTGTTGCCCAGGCTGGAGTACAATGGCATGATCTCAGCTCACTGCAATCTCTGCCTTCCAGTTTCAAGCGATTCTCCTGCCTCAGCTTCCCGAGTAGTTGGGATTACAGGCGCCCGCCACCACGTCCAGCTAATTTTTGTATTTTTAATAGAGACAGGGTTTCACCATGGTGGCCAGGCTGGTCGCAAACTCCTGACCTCATGATCCACCCGCCTCAGCCTCCCAAAGTGCTGGGATCACAGGCATGAGCCACTGCGCCCAGCCGATGATGCTCATTTTTAAAAAAATACTTGTTCCTTGACCTCCATAATGCCAAACATCCTGCTGAAAACTGAAAAAAATAAGGTAAACAATCCAGATGTGTGAGCACTAAAGGCCCTGAGTGGTATCAAAATATCTATATACTGTTCTGTAATTTTTCCATTTTTATTCAGGCTTGTCATGATTTCTATCTTCTTTTTTCTTGCTTTGCGGTACAACTGCTAGACTGCCATAAAGTCACTGCTTTAACATATTAACATGTCTTTTGGTCAGAAATCAAAACAACAGCAGCAGCTAGTGTCTCTAACTATACAGCATAGTTGACAGCTTAGGGAAAAAGTCCGCCATCAAATGACACCGTTAGAGGTCTGGTTCTGCGCTAAGAACCACAGTCTGAACAATCTCTTCCAATCAATAGGCACAGTCTAGGTTTATGAAACGGGCCTTAGGTGAGACAGCCAAAGAATCAAACCTAACGTGTGCTCCCCCAGTTTACCCTTCTTCCCTCCTGTGTGGGTTCCACAGCACTGCAGCCATGGCCCCAAGAAAGAAAAGTGTTGCCCCGAGTGGCCACGAGGAGGCAGAGCAGTGCTATGGGAAGGTCACCGGCTTTAGCAAGCAGCTACACCAAAGATCAAAATTTGACTCTACTCTCTATTAACTTGGGACCTATAGTAAATTGTTCTCCAAGCCTCATTTTTTTTTTTTTTTCATCTAGAAAAGCTTCAGAGGATAATGGGACATTTATAAATAATGTACCTAAAGTATCTAGCATAGTAAGGAATATTAGGTTTTCTCCTTTTCCTCTTAAACATTATTTAGCATTCTCTCTTACACACTAGAGAAACCTCACCAGCCCACTTATTTAGAAATTATCTGAAATACTTTTGACCACTTTGAGCTTCAGTGTTCACATCTGTATGTCTTTAAAAAAAAAACATAATGCCCTCCTTGCAGGGTGTTAGGAGAATTAAAGTTACTGGAGAGAAAGCACCATTACTGTGGCTGTTAGGCAGCAAGTGCTCAAGATAAGCTGGCCACTATTAAAATTATCATCATGTGAGGGGATAGCAAATAAACAATAGGTAGCTAGGGTCCATTACATTGCTTTTGAAACAAATAAAATTTAACCAAAATAACTCATGCTCCCTGGCTCATGTCCTCTTTACTACTAACCTGAAAATGGGGGCTAGATACACACTTGGCGATTTGTTTAAACAAAGGTTCTTGGATTTTAACAAATTGTGAAGGTTCAATCACATCCAATATTTCTTCCAGTTCCCCAAGGAACATGACCTGTAAGTACAAGCAAAATACAAGATGTGAGGCACATCATGAAAAAAAATCCATAAGAACAAGGAGGATTAATGAGAGTTTGGATTATTTTAAGAAAAATTTACACATAAAACCAAACATACATGAACCAGTCATTATCCCATGTTAGAAGATGTTCGTTCCACAAAGAATTCACCATAGGGTACTTGGAAAAATTCTACGTACTTGGAAAAAATACTCTACTTGGTATATATATTACATAGAACGAGGGACACTCACACACTGCACCGGCCCCTGAGAAGCAAAACTGACCCCGTAGGGCCTTCCTCTCTATTATTAGTAATCCAGCTCTCTTTCCACAACACTTTTTTTTTTAAAAAAAACAATGAGAAGGTGGCCCTCCTAAATGGAAGAGGCAAAAGTTCAAATGTGGTTATTTGCCAAATACGTACAGCCCCTGCTACATGCTCAATGCTCTAGAACGCACTCATTAATACAACAAAAAGTTCAAGAAACACAAATGAGCAGACTCACTCACATGCAGGTGCCACTTCAAACCCATAAGCATGCACTGACGCATTCTCGACACACACACACACACACACACACACACACACACACACACGCTTGCTCTCTACAAAGCACAGTGAATCTTGTGAACTCAGCACCGGGTGCCGCAAGAAACAGAGTTTTTAGATCACAATATGGAGCCAAATCTGCAGTAGAGTCAATTGTTTTAAATATAATGGGAAAATGACAGATAAATAAAAACCAGTTTACGTATTTAGCTATGAAAAAATAATTACTTTGAAAAAATAAAGTGAGCAATCAAAATATGAAAAATAACAATGCCTTCATATTTTGAGATGTATCTGGGTAGCAATGCACAGTTCAATTTTATCTAACAGATTTTAAGAAATTAAATGACTTTCTGAAATTAAAATAGAGTTTGGAGAATTGAAGCTGATTTGAGAAGGAAGGCGTTTCTGCTAAAAGTAAAATATAGTAGACCCTTGCCATTTGTTAATATGTATATGGAATTTCTCCCAAAGTTTTAACCAAATATAAAACTAACAGCTGATCTTTTTTTCTGAGCCATTTTCCACATGGTTGCTAACCTTCCAGAAGAATGGCTGCAGATCTGGTGCTCAGTTAGGCTCAACTCCAGCTAAGAAACTCATGCACTACCCCATAACAACCTCACAAAGTAGCACATGCCTGGTGAATTCTCAGCAAAGGTACAAATGATTGTAGGCCTGAACCCCCCAGGGTCATTTGTGAATGGCTGAAACTAAAGGTCTGTTGTCTATTCTAAGATGACACAGCAAGATCCACCTATACCATGCTTTAAAATGAGTATTTGGGCAGGCTGCTCTAGCGTCTATGTACAGTGACAGCAAAACCTTCATATTATGAAGGGGGCCACTCGGAAGGGAACATCAACAAAGCTAGACAACTGGACACCTGATTGGGGCCTGGCCTGGGCTTAGCGAGGCTGAAGAGCACAGTGAATAAAAAGACAGGGTTTAGGAGTCAAGGAGGCGAGTTCTGGCCTAATCATCTGTACTTACTTAGTGTACTGGGGCAGGCTATTTAACCTCTCTACAGTTTCATAACTAGTAAAACAAGAGTTCTGACAGCCCTGCCTTATAGAGTTACAATGAGGTTTAAATGAGATGATGCAGTTTTGCTTTGTTTTGTTTTGTTTTGTTTTGTTTTGTTTTGTTTTTGAGACAGAGTTCACTCTTGTTGCCCAGGCTGGAGTGCAATGGCACCATCTCGGCTCACTGCAAACTTCTGCCTCCCGGGTTCAAGCGATTCTCCTGCCTCAGCCTCCCGGGTAGCTGGGACTACAGGCATGCGCCACCACGCCTGGCTAATTTTGTATTTTTAGTAGAGATAGGGTTTCTCCATGTTGGTCAGGCTGGTCTCGAACTCCCGACCTCAGGTGATCTGCCCGCCTCGGCCTCCCAAAGTGCTGGGATTACAGGCATGAGCCACTGCGCCCAGCCCTGATGATGCGGTTTTATACATGCTTAGCCCAATCCTTGGCACTCAGCAAAATATTCAGTAAGCTATGAACACTCTCTGACAGTAAGCACTTACCTCTTTTTGACTACATGTTTTAGGCCAAAATTTCATTAACCCCCTAATAACCTAAAATGAAAAGGAGAAAAACAAATGGCATTTAACTTTTTCATATATACTTCTGGGAAAGGTAATTTTTCTTAAGTTTTTGAAATTATGGAAAAAAGACTTACTGGTTCTGTGAGTGAAGGATCTTTCTCCAGAAACTGTACTATACAATATGCCAGCTGAGTAAAAAATAAAATAAAAGGCAAAATTTTAAATTCTATACAGTAAGGGCTCAAAAGATACACTATTAAAACTTCCTAAAAGGTTTCCAGACTGCTTTTAATAACTTCACATTCAATTCATTTTAATTATCATAAAATCTATATAAAGTAAAATAAGAAACTACTTTTTCAAGCCAAAGACTAATATTAACAAGGCTCCAGGGAACTTTTCTTTAAAAAAGAGTATTAGGACATGAAATATGCAGCTAATGAAAAGCAGAGGTGAGACATCACATTCAGCATATTGTGGAATTATCTCACCTACATACACTTTGAGCTACATCTCAGGGGCTTCCTTTCTCTCTTTGCTAATATCAACAGTACTGAGTTTTACTGTAGTTCCACAAGAGTCCTCTATGGGAAGTAAGCACTTAATAAAAACTTTGCCAATTGCCTGAAATGGCACATGCAAACTAAAGCAGTTTCACGAGGAGATAAAAGGTTGTACCTGCCAGTCAGAACCTGGAGAAATGTAAGAATAGTTCTACATCTGGTACTAACACATCTAAGTAAGATTGTTTAAAATAATAATCATGAAATATGATATCCCATTTCAAAAATCAAAGGCAAGATTTGTAAAAGGGCTTGTAAAGATTCTTGGACAAGAAAACCACCCTCGCAAAAGAACATTTTGATGGTGTTCTAAATTAGAAACATATGGATTAATTTTTCCTCGAAATAGAGAATTTCACATTTAAAGAGGAACAGTGCTTAGAAAAATGTGTCACGTTTTTATGCAAACTCAAAACCTTCCCAATGGGGGGAAGAGGGAGTCAGAGTCTGGCAGTATTTAAAATCTTCCTATCCAAAATTTAAAATACTACCCAATAACTTATCTACCCCCAGTGACATGGTGACCATGCAAGGCAGTGTTAGCACAAAAATTAGAATGGGGACAAGACAGGGTATGCTTTTTAAAGTGATGAAGGCTTAAAGGAAAAAAAAAATGTGAAAATACTGATTGATTTGTTTACTTGTGAGAGTGCTTGTGTGTAGAAAGTGATAAAGACATGGTGAGTGACCTAGAACAGGAGGCAAAAAGGGCAACTGATAGACTAACGCAAAGTAGGATGGAACAAAATATTCAAGAACATTAAAACATGATTACATAGTCCAAAGATCTACATCTGCTAAGCTCCTGTGCATTTTATTATATGTAATAGGTTCAGTATGTTATTGTGTGCACTTGGGAAAGTCATATAAGTTCTCTGTAAAATAAAATGACCAAACAAGGGTTCCTCCCACTTTAAAAATATTTCCATGATTCTACTGTGCATAGAAAAAAAATGCATACATTTTTATTTCCCTCGGGGAGTATTTTAAACTTAAGTAAGTCTCTTTCCTTTGGGAATGAAGGCGATAGGCCCGGCGCCGTGGCTCACACCTCTGTAATCCCAGCACTTTGGGAGGCCAAGGTGGGCGGATCATGAGGTCAGAAGACCCAGACCATCTTGGCCAACATGGTAAAACCCCGTCTCTACTAAAAATACAAAAATTAGCTGGGCATGGTGGCGTGCGCTTGTAGTCACAGCTACTCGGGAGGCTGAGGCAGAAGAATTGCTTGAACCCGGGAGGTGGAGGCTGCAGTGAGCCAAGACTGTCCCACTGCACTCCAGCCTGGGCGGCAGAGCAAGACTCCGTCTCAAAAAACAAAAACCAAAAAAACAAAATGAAGGTTATATCAATATCAAAAAAACGAGTTTGCAAACTTTTTATTTTGCTTCTAAAAGTAGTTGTACAAAATCCTCCTACCTGTGCATGGAAGAGTGATAAGCTCCTGACAGTGTGTAAAGGGATCAATACTTTCACCAGAAACTGTTTGTGTTCTGCCTTAAGAGGTAAAGCAAAGCCATTGATAATACTAGGGAGAAAAAAGAGACACAAATTAGCAATGTTACCACAAGTTGAACTGAGACAAACTGTTCTTGTGATATTAATTAAACTTAATCAGTTTGTTTGTACAAAACAACATAATACCCACCCCAGTGGCATTCAGAATTTCCTTTTTTTTTTTTTTTTTTTTTTTTTTGAGACAGAGTCATCTTGCTCTATTGCCCAGGCTGGAGTGCAGTGGCCCAATCTCAGCTCACTGCAACCTTCGCCTCCGGGATTCAAGCTATTCCTATGCCTCAGGCCTCCCAAGTAGCTGGGATTACAGGCACCCACCACCATGCCTGGCTAATTTTTTTGTATTTTTAGTAGAGAAGGAGTTTCACCATATTGTCCAGACTGGTCTAGAACTCTTAACTGCAAATGATCTGCCCACCTTGGCCTCCCAAAGTGCTGGGATAATAGGCGTGAGCCACCACACCCAGCCAGGATTTCTTAATGACTTCAAGGAATACAAAAAGTTGGAAGGAAATTTAAGAGAAGAAAATTTGCTTCTGGTCACCCAACAAAGGCTCCTGTGCTCCTAAAATTAGTCAGATGGTTTCCAAAAGCTCTTTATCAAAACCCTTTATTTTCCCTCCCTTTTCCTTCTCCAAATAATGGCCCGCCTTGCTTGCTTCCGCCTTAAATATGACCTTTTCCATTTCCAGACATCATTCCTTCTCATTCCTGAAACCTCTGCCCAGCCTAGGGAAATCACTGAGAGAAAGCCATGTGACTCCACCTTCTTTTTCTCTTCATATTAGGAGAAAAGATTAAGTAATCATATTGTCCAGCTACATTATCCTCCCTTGTGTGTAGAAACTTACACCACAGCTCTTTCCAATTCATTCCACTACTCCAGGCTGCAGCTGTTCAAGGACTATACCTGGATACACAACTCCTTTGAAAATGGCAATCTTTCCAATTTATTATAAACTTGCTTTCAACAGATAAGGCAAAGGACCAGATAGCCTAAAAACTAATGAGAATAAGATGTTTTGGAGTAACTAGCCTGACCACAATTAGATGTACCATCTTTCTAGTAATGAATGAACTGTCAGCTCTTTCAGTCATTCCAGTGGAAATGGCAATGCATACTTGTGGAACAAGGGGAACAGGAAATTGTGTCTTGTAGAGTCAGCTGGAAAATATGCTAATAGGCACAAATGAGAGAGACCCAATGTACATACAGCAAGAGAACTAGGTGAGCATCTCTTGGTGCCACCTGAACCTAATTTTTAAAATAATATTCATCTGAGATTAGCAATTAGAAAAACCGTGCTCACCTTCCTAATATTTCCAGCAGTTCAGCTACACCATTGAAGTGTTCTGTTTCATAAACAAACCTGAGAGAAGAGGAGAAAAGGGAGGAGAAAGGAGGAGAGGAGGAGGAGAAGGAAGGGATAAAAAGAGGAGGAGGAGGAGGAGAAGGGGGAGGAGGAGGAGAAGAGGAGGAGGAGGAGGAGAGCGGGGAAGAGAGGAGGAGAGGGAGGACAAGGGGGAAGAGAGAAGGAGGAGGAGGAGGGGGGAAGAGAGGAGGAGGAGAGGAGGGGGGAAGAGAGGAGGAGGAGAGGAGGGAAGAGAGGAGGAGGAGAGGAGGGAAGAGAGGAGGAGAGGAGGGAAGAGAGGAGGAGAGGAGGGAAGAGAGGAGGAGAGAGGGGAAGAGAGGAGATGGGGGAGAGATGGGGGAAGAGAGGAGAGGGAGGAGAAGATGGGGAGAGAGGGGGAGGAGAGGAGGGAAGAGCGGAGGAGAGAGGGGAGAAGAGGGGGGAGGAGAGGGTGGAAGGGAGGAGGAGCAGAGGGAAAAGGGAGGAGGAGGGGGGAAGAGAGGAGGAGACGGGGGAGAGATGGGGGGAAGAGAGGAGGAGAGGGAGGAGGAGAGGAGGAGGAGGGGGAGGGGGAGAAAAGGAGGGAAGAGAGGAGTCGGGGAGGAGAGGAGAAGGGGGGAAGAGAGGAGGGGAGCGGGAAGATGGGGGAGGGAGAGGTGGGGGAAGAGAGGAGGACAGGGAGGAGAAGAGGAGGAGAAGGGGGAGGGGGAGAAAAGGAGGGAAGAGACGGGGGAGGAGAGGAGAAGGGGGGAAGAGAGGGGAGGGGGAAGATGGGGGAGGGAGAGGTGGGGGAAGAGAGGAGGAGAGGGAGGAAAAGAGGAGAAGGGGGAGGGGGCAGGAGAGGAGGAGAGCGGGGAGGAGAGGAGGAGAGGGAGGGAGAAAGGAGGAGGACAGGGGATAGAGGAGGAGGAGGAGAGAGGAGAGGAAAAGAGGAGAGGAGGAGGAGATGGGGGAGGAGGAGAAGGGGGAGGAGAAAAGCAGGGGAGAGGGAAGAGGAGGGGGAAAGTAGGGGGAGAGGAGGGATAGAGAAGAAGCAGTGGGGGGAGGAGGGAGAGGAAGAGGAAAAGAGGAGGAAGAGGAGGGTGGGAGGAGAAGATGGGGGAGGAGAGGAGAAGATGGGGGAGGAGAGGAGAAGATGGGGGAGGAGAGGAGGGGGAGGGGGTAGAGGAAGAGGCAGGAGAGTCAGTAGAATGAAGGAAGGCAGGCAGAAAGGGAGAAAGAGAAGTCAGTACACCGTTTTCAGATATTTGAGATTTACTTAATACTCATAAAAACACCAACTTTGCTTCTCCTTCTTCCCCCATCACACTCCACTTACCTTAGAAAAATATTGTTAATCTGTTTTCGGATAAATGCTCTAAGACCAAGAAACTTGCCATAAATTCTGTGTAAGACTGTTTTTAAGTAGTCCCGTTCCCGAGGGTCTTCGCTGTCAAATAGCTCCAGAAGCTGTTGTAAATGAAAGACATTATAGCTGTCAAAGGCGGTTTCAGAAAAGGATTTAGGAATTCTATTATTTAAAATCCCCTTCTTCCTTCCTCAAAAAATGTGTTGAATATCTATTATGTGCCAAGCACAGTGCTAGTCTTTGGGCATATCATGATAAACAAGTCAGACAAGGAGCTTATATTCCACTAAAGAAATACAAATACAAAATAACAACAATAAAAGTAATAATATGAATAATAGCTAATACACATATGGCACTTACTGTGATCATCAGGCAATTTTCCAAGCAATCTACATATTAATCCTCCCAATGAGATAGTTTTGTCCCCCTTTTACAGAAGAGGAAACTGGGGCACATAGGGTTAAGTAACGTGCCCACGGTCTCACAGCTAATAGGTGGTAAAGCTAGAATTTGAACCCCAGCAGTTGAGGCCAAAAGTCCGTAGCTCAACCACTGCACTATGCTACCTACTGATATTCCAAATATGCAGTTAAAATAAGCTGACTGCCTGTGGTGACTCATGCCTGTAATCCCAGCACCTGGGGAGGCCAAGGCAGGCGCATCACCTGAGGTCAGGAGTTTAAGACCAGCCTGGCCAACATGGTGAAACCCCGTCTCTAGTAAAAATACAAAAATTAGCCAGGTGTGGTGGCGGGCACCTGTAATCCCAGCTACTCAGAAGGCTGAGGCAGGAGAATCACCTGAACCCAGGAGGCAGAGGTTACAGTGAGCTGCGATCGCGCCATTGCACTCCAGCCTGGGCCATAGAGCAAGATTCGGTCTTTAAAAAAAAAAAAAAAAAAAAAAAAAAAAGGATAAGCCTTCAGCTCTACTAGAACATCTAGGAAAATGAAAAAACCTGAATCAAAACAAACATCAAAATGTCTCAATGATACTGGCAATGGTCCTTTTTAGATCCAGACTCTTGTTATGTAGGTGTGCTCACTCTGTAAATAGTCAACGAAGTGAACATTGATTATTTCTGTTGTATGTTATATGTGAATAACTTTTTTTTTTTTTTTTTGAGATGGAGTATTGCTCTGTTGCCCAGGCTGGAGTGCAGTGGCACGATCTCAGCTCACTGCAACCTCCGCCTCCTGTGTTCAAGCAAGCAATTCTCCTGTCTCAGCCTCCTGAGTAGCTGGGACTAAAGGCACCTACCACCGTGCCCAGCTAATTTTTTGTATTTTTAGCAGAGACAGGGTTTCACCATATTGGTCAGGCTAGTCTCAAACTCCAGAACTCAGGTGATCCACCCACCTCAGCCTCCCAAAGTGCTGGGATTAGAGGTGTGAGCCACCATGCCTGGCTGTGAATAACATGTTTAAGTTCCCAAACATTTGTAATCTAAAGTTAATAACCAAATCCTGATAACATCACATCTACATGCTCAAAATGAGGTCCACGCAACTAGTCCAAAAGAGGTAACAAGCTAAAGTTTCAGCCAAATGCCAGTGAGCACAACAGATTCAACTCAATCTCTATCAAAAGTTCTAGCTGCTTTGTTTTTGTATCATTGACAAGTTGATCCTAAAATTCATATGGAAATGCAAGAGAACCAGAAGAGCCAAAATACTCTTGAGGGAAACAAAACTTGAAAGATTCACACTTCTCTATTTCAAAACTTAGTCCAAAATACCAAGACAGTGTGGTACTGGCATAAAGACAGACATACAGATTAATGGAATAGAATTAAGAGCCCAAAAGTAAGCCCTCACATTTATGGTCAACTGATTTTCAACAAGAATGGTCAATAAACCATGAAAAGTGCTCTATTTTATTGATCATTACAGAAAAGCAAACCCTGGCTCACGCCTGTAATCCTAGCACTTTTGGAGGCCGAGGGGGTAGATCACGAGGTCAGGGGTTTGAGATCAGCCTGGCCAACATGGTGAAATCCTGTCTCCACTAAAAATACAAAAATTAGCCAGGCGTGCTGGCACATGCCTGTAATCCCAGGTATTCGGGAGGCTGAGGCAGAAGAATTGCTTGAACCTGGGAGGTGGAGTTTGCAGTGAGCCGAGATCGCGCTGCTGCACTACAGCCTAGGCAACAGAGGAAGACTCCATCTCAGAAAAAAAGAAAAGAAAAGAAAACCCAACCAACAAAGAGATACTCATTGGATGGCTATAATGAAAAAGAGGGATAATAAAAAGTGTTGGCGAGGATATGGAGAAACTGGAACCCTCATACATTGTTGGTAAGAATGTAAAATGGTGCAGCTATTTCAGAAAACAGTTTGGCAGTTCCTTAAATCTCCCACAGAGTTACTATATGACTAAGCGATTCCACTTTCATGTATATATCCAGCAGAACCGAAAACACATGTCCACACAAAAACTTGTACACAGATGTTCATGGGAGCAATATTCATAATAGCTAAAAACTGAAACAACCCAAATATCCGTCAACTGATAAACAAAATGGGATGCCATGGAATATTATTCAGCCATAAAAAGGAACAAAGTAACTGATACATGTTACAACATCAATGAATCTTTCAAACATCATGCTAAGTAAGTAAAAGAAACCAGACACAGAAGGCCATACAATGTATGACTCCATTTATGTGAAATAAGCAGAATAGGCAAATCCATAGTGACAGAAAGTAGAATGGGGAGTGGCTACTAATAGGTCTGGATTTCTTTCTTTTTTTTTTTTTTTTTTTTTTTTTTTTTTTTGAGACAGAGTCTTGCTCTGTCACTAGGCTGGAGTGCAGTGGCGCTATCTCGGCTTACTGAAACCTCCGCCTTCCGGGTTCAAGCGATTCTCCTGCTTCAGCCTCCTGTGGGTCTGGATTTCTTTGAGGGATGATAAAAACATCCTGCAATGATACTGTGGTGATGGTTGCATGACTCTGTAAACATACTAAAAACCACTAAATTGGAAACTTTAAAATGGTGAATTTTATGGTGTATGAATTACAACACAATAAATCTGCTACCTTTACAAAAAGTCAGTGTGCAAGTTCCTCTGGCTGAAGAACAAACTTGGAAATTGGTTTGAATGTTACTGAGTTGTTTTTTTTAACATTCATCATCATTGCAATAAAGCAAAATTCAGTTCTAGTGTCTTTACAGCAAAACATTTCAAGAGCACATAACACACAAATTAGACTACCATCGTCATCAAAAAGGCTATCCAGATATATGTAAGTTTGACCTCAGGTGATTTAGACATGAGGTTGACACTGACAGCAGAATAAAAACCTCATGGTCAATAATCGAATGTGCTTTTGTTCGGTGTTTTAATTTGAATAAAAGACAAGAGTTATGGACCAAAAAAAGGCCCCTCAAACATGGCAGGAAACGCAAACTAAAGGATGGTCTTCAAAAATAGGTAGAGACAGGACACAATTTTTAGCTACATAATGCCATCCACCATCCATCTATCATTCATTCATCTGTTCATTTTAAAAATGAGTATTTCAAGTAAATATTTATGGTGTGCTTATTAAAAGCCAGCCAGTGGGCGAGCTGTCAGGGATACAATGATAAGCAAGACAGATACAGTCTTTGCTTTCTCAGAGCCTATTCTAATGGGGAATACAAACAAGTAAATAAACAGCATGTTAAGTAGTTCAGGATGTTGTATAAATACACAGCAGACACATCTACTGTATTTGGAAGAAGTGGAGTGATCAGCAAAGGCTTCTAAAGGAAGAGACATCCAGGCTGACCGATGAAGAAATGAGGAGTTAGAAGTGGGATATGAGTGCTCCTCACAGGTTCAATAGTACATGCTTTTCCTAGCAGCCTATCCAAACAGAAGATGTTGTTAACTACAGCTCTCTGCCCATTCAGCAATACAATAAATACATACGTACTGAGTTCTTTCTATGTGCCAGCGATGGTCCTCATTGCTGGACATACACATTGTTGAACAATTTTGGAGCCCATCAGGGGAGGTAATGGGCAAGTTAATACATTTCCACAGGAAAACATTCTATCTAGGAAAGAAAGGCATGTGGCCCCAACCAGCCAAAAAAAAAAGGCCCCATATAGACTCAGTATCTCTTTATCTATAACATGTTCCAAATGACATAAGACCTCTAATCCACCTACCCAATCCACCCATCCACCCATTCCCATTCCAAGGTTAATAGAAATAATTAACCTTGTAAGTTTTATTTTTTAAATTTCGTTTCTACTTTTAAGTGTTTCAAAAGGCTTTAATGAATAACTTGTAACCAACATAAGAGAAGGTTTGAGGGTGTGTAGTATTAGCAAAACTTGAATCAACCTTCCTTGTATACTGTTAATCTTGAGTTTAATGAATACACAATAATTAAGCAAGAAATGTTTGATGTTTTCATTAGGCTCTCAACAAAATGCATTGCCGAGTGCCTAACTTTAGATATTTACAAAGCCACAAATATTAAATGTATCATATTCTATGAGAAAGATGAATTGCAGTATTAAACTATTTTTCTGCTTCTCTGTAGAGAACATGCTTTTGATGATTTTATGATGTATGAGAGAGAAATATAATAGTGCACAGGCCAAAACAAGGGGGGGTAGGATGAACTCTGATGAGCTCTGATTTCCAAAACAAAATAATATGAGTGTGCTTAGTCATATCTATAGTCCCAATCACTCCCACACAAAAAAGAAATATAATCCCACACCTGTAAATGCCTAAGTGGACTGTGCCATCCCTAATATAACAGGTAGCTTGTAGTCAAAGAAAAGAAGTTAAGAAGCTGGAGCGTTTCCAAGGTGATTACAGAGCAAAGACAGACCTGTCAACATACTAACTCCAGGTTTACAAAAACCAGCCTTCTTGAAGCTCACAAATAGGGTTAAACTACATAGTGATTTAGCCAAATAACCTTTCTTTGAACTTCATAAATCTACAATGAAATGAGAAGAGTGAAATGAAAAAGGGCTGTAAGGGTCTTCCAGCTAGGCAGGGGGATTGAACCTCTCTCCTCTTGAATCCTCCCTAAAATGACAGTGAAAGAATAAGAATAGAAGAAAGCCTTGGCATAGACAGGACTGGAGAGAAAATTTAGACTTATTTGTAGACTTCTCAAAGATGGAAGTGGATGACAAGAGGTAACTATCTTAAGTTTCCTCTTTCTCCAGTCTGCTAAGTGTTTTTCCATTCTGCAAGCAGGGAAGAAAGCCAACGAGAAGCAGGCCAGTTCACACCACGGAACCCTTACAAGGCTTAAAAACTAAAGGCACCAGATATATTTGATGGTAAGGGTGTGAGAAATAGCTAAAAACAGGAGGACTGGTTGAAAGTCTGTAGAAGACCCCCCAGATCCCTATCCCATGTGGTGTATTGATGATTTACAATGTAAGTCTGGAGAGAATGAGTAAGTATCTAATCTTGGAGACATCATACACGTTAAGTAAAGCACTTATTGGAAATAATGGGATGAAATAAAACTCTGCATACCTAAAAGTGACATATTTGCCAGCTTTCTTCCCTGACCAGGCTCCCAATTCTGTATAAGTCAGAAGATCAGAAAGTCCCTTTTGGAAGAAACTGACAGCCTCAAGAGGAAAGACCTACAGATATGCTAACAGCTGAGGGTTTCCTAATGAAATGGCAAGGTCCCTGACCAGTTATGCCATTCAAAGTCACCAGTTGCCAAGTGTCACCATGCAAATATAAACACACATGTGCACACGGTAACATACACAAGTTCTAAGCAACTTTTCGGTAGACTAACATGTAATTATGACTATGAAGTCAAAGATCACCAGATATTTTAACATAAAAGACCACAACAAACAATTATAAGGAACTCAGAGGAAACAGGCACAATGCTAGGAGTACCAAAAAAAATTGCAAGAAGGAAACTATTAACATCTTCAAAGATAAACAAATATGCTGGATCCTTGAAATAAAACAGTGCTATTATTCAGGTGGATATTCAGGAAATTTTTTAAAAGCTTTTAGAAGTTCAACATATAATAAATAAAAATTTTAGCAGAAGCACTAGAACATTAAAATGAGCAACTCTACCCCAGAGCATATAACCAAAAAACAGAGATAATATATAGAAGAAGATTTTAAAAACCAGAAGATCCAATACATAATAGCAATCCAGAAAGACATGGAGACAGAAAAACAGAAAATGAAGAGAAGGAAATTATCTGAAGAATAATTCAATTCAATTTCCAACAAAAAAAAAGTCATCAATGTCAATATAGATATGGTCCATTAAGTGTTCTGCACAATAAATGAACAAAGATCCACACCAAAGCACATCACTTTCTGGATGTGGAGACAAAGAGAAGATCTCAAAGAAGATACAAAGAAGACAGGTCATTATAAAGGATAAGGCATTCACCTGGTGCAGGCCTTCTTAATACCCACACTGGAAGCTGGAAAACAATGGATCAATTCCTTAAAACATCTGGGAAAGTTCCAAATTTACACTTAGCCAAAATGTCAATAAAGTATGTAGGCAGGCAGGGCACAGTGGCTCACGCCTGTAATCCCAGCACTTTGGAAGACGAAGGCGGGCTGATCACTTGAGGTCAGAAATTTGAGACCAACATGGGCTAACATGGTGAAACCCTGTCTCTACTGAAAATACAAAAATTAGTCTGGCGTGGTGGCATACACCTGTAATCCCAGCAGCTGGAAGTTGCAGTGAGCCAAGATCGTGCCACTACACTCCAGCCTGGGCGACAAAGCGAGAGTCTGTCTCAAAAAAAAAAAAAAAAAAAAAAATGTAGGCAGAATAAAGACGTTTTCAGACAAGTGATCTCAGAACACTTACATCCCATTCATGCTTTCTTAGGAAGAATCTAGAAGATATGCTCCACCAAAGAAGAAGTTAAACAAGCAAAGACACAGTCTAGAAGGGCACCAAAGGGAAGTGCTGGGATGACTGTGTGGATGGCCCAGAGTGCCAATTAGAGCAGGATGACCAGGGCTCCAGGAAGAAGGTCTCCAAGAAAAAAAAAAAAAAAGTAACTGATAGACTAGTTGATATGTGGGCCATACTGAGAAGGGCTGTATGGTTACTCTCAGAGAATTAAAGCACACACTAGTGATGAATACACAGGAAAGCAAGTAAAAAAATAAGGCACCTATTTTCCAGGGTTAAAAAAAGAAAAAAAAAAGCTCTACAAGAAAACAAATGTAATTATGTGCCTTGGAATGAACAACATGTATACAATAGTACTCATCTATCATGTGATTCATTCAAATTTTGTGATATAACAAATGTAGAGAGGGAGTTATAGTGGGAGATACATAATGGCTTACAGTAGGAAGTCAATAGACATAAATAAAATCTAAAATCACAAGTTAAAAAATAGCAGTATAAGCATGCTGTTTAGAAATATGGAAATAAATATACAGAAACAACTGGAAGACTTAAGTGTGGTTACTTCTAGGAAATAGGACTCTGGTTTGGAGAAAGATGAGGCAAGAGACTGCTATTTTTCATTAAAAATCATATAAACATATTGGAATTTTAAAAGTAGGCATTATCAAAACTATTTTTAAAAGTCATTAAGAGCAAAAGGTTTCGAGCAAAACAACCCAGTTGCTCTCTGCTATAATAAAGAATTACCCTGCCCTATTCCATGTAAAGTAAGATTTTAGAGAACATCAGAATTCTTCAAATAGATAACCGATAAAATTGGTATTCTAAATGTTTTCATCCAAAGTGCCACAGAGCACTAAAATCAGATGTCCACATTTCTGGCTTTGTTTGCAACTTTCTCCTACTACCTGAAAACTATCTTCCTCATACTTTCACCTTGGCCAAATACAGAGAAAACAGCCCAGAACAAAGAAACCAGAGCCAAAGGTAGTCTGACTCCAGTGAATCAGAACGACTCAAGGGATGCACTGTATAAAATGAAGCAACCTATGGGGCAAATACTGAGAAAGGACAATGGGGACAAGGCATCAAAAGGTTGCGATCACAAGCTTCTGGCAATTCTGACTCCAAGACTCCTATGGAAATTCAATACAAAACTTTCGAAAGTGTAAGGCGTACAAATATGAACAACTCCACCAAGTCACACGCTTTTATTTTCCTCCATTTAATTTCAAGCATTCTTTCCACAAACCAAAGAAGTCCATTTTTTTCCCCTTGAGCATACTATCTATTTCAAGACAACCTTGTGATTTAAATTTTTAAGACAACCTATTTGGTCAGCAATTCAAGAAAGAGCTATTGTGCTAAATAATGATGCACTTAGTGGGAAGCAGGCAGGGACTAGCTACATAATTTGTGGGGCCTAGTGCAAAATAAACATGCGGTGGTCCCTGCTCAAAAAGTATTAAGAGTTTCAAGACAGCAAGAGCAGAGCACTAAACCAAGCACAGGGCCCTTCTAAGCACAGGGCCCAGCACAACTGCACAAATTATACAACCAGGAAGCTGGCTCTGAATGCAGGAGTCAGAGCAATAAAGCCCTTTTTACAAGATTTTTGAGTTATACACTGGACAGGACAGGATGAAGTGATGTTAACTGGTAATTGGCAATGGCTATCTCATAAAATTCCAGGTAGAAATAAATGCTCCCAACACTTACTTGCTATAGGCTGTGAGAGAGAAATGTAAACATTTTGACATATTCAAGGAACTCGTTTGGAAAATAGTTCTTTGTATTGGAGCTGAGATTCAAGGCCTTGTGGAATTTATTTCAGTTTAGAACTAAAATTTTTTTAATAGGTTGGTTTGTGTCATGTCCAATTTGTCTTGAGTTTTTAAAAACACAATAACAAAAGGTCACTTTTAAGGACAGGCTGAATGATTTGCATGATCTGCATAATTTACATGATAATTACAGTACCTTTCAGCTAAATATAACAGCAAATGTGAAGTACAAATTACTAAATAGCAATCTCCAGCAGTACATATGTTTACGGGGATACTTGAATAGTATGTCTCTCAGCAACCACTGACTGTTTTTCAGATTTGCAGAGTAGTTGAAAGTAATCTTTAGAAATATGTTGCTAAACTCTTGCCACAATAATCCACCCAATGAAATAATCGAAGTATTGCTAATTCATTTAGGTCTAAAGAAGGGGTTGGGGGATCATAAAGAAACCATTTTCCCAACCATCCCAATACAGATGAAAATTATCTTTATTAAGAATAGACAAAATTGTTCCATAAAGCCTAGGCAAGTCTACATAGTCATAGCTCTAGAAGGCAGTTAACCAAGTTACTTAAGTCTGAAATCAACATTACCACAGACAAAAGTGCACTATGCAATGAATGGACTATCTTTGATAAATCTCTAACAGCTTTCTTGTCCAAACACTTAAGTGAGTACACAAAAAATGCTACAGGTTATGTAAATCTAGATTTAATAAAAATCACACTGAAATTCAAGTGAGCCAGTCATACTATTCTAGAATAAAAAACAACAAAACCCTTCAAACAAAAACATTCAAAACCCTTGAATGAAAAACGACAGACTGTTGGCCAGGCGCAGTGACTCACGCCTGTAATCCCAGCACTTTGGGAGGCCGAGGCGGGCAGATCACGAGGTCAGGAGTTCAAGACCAGCCTGCCCAACATGGTGAAACCTCATCTCTACTAAAAATACAAAAAATTAGCCAGGCATACTGGTGCATGCTTGTAGTCCCACCTATTCAGGAGACTGAGACAGAAGAATCACTTGAACCCGGGAGGCGGAGGTTGCCGTGAGCCGAGATCGAGCCACTGCAATCCAGCCTGGGTGACAGAGCTAGACTTCATCTCAAAAAAAAAAAAAAAAGAAAAAGAAAAACAACAGACTGTTTTGTCTGGCTCTACCAAAATATGGCTTTCCAGCTTCTCTTGAAAAGCCAAAAGATCTAGCAATACTTGGCTCACTTACCTAGAGACCAACCGTTACTGGGAGCGGATTGGCAGCAGGATCCAAGCTCTCTAAATCGCCACAGTTTCCATCACTCCTTTGGTCATACCAACACTACTTAATCATGTACCATTTGTCTGTCCTCTGTAAAGATTTAAATGGGCTATCCCTGGTTTTCACACATTATAAATTATACGTTCCTGGCACTAATAAACATTTATGTTCAACACTGATTGGAGGAAATCAGTTGGCAAAGTGGAACTGAAGAGAATCCAGAGACACAGGAAACCCATGTAACATCTTAAGAGAACCCAACAGCCTGTGAAGAACCATATACGTAGAGTTGAATGGATACCAATGATTTTTAGAATAAGAGTTGGATTTCAAATAATTCATAACATGCTAGGTAAGACATGACAGGCTAACACTATATGATTTCATGGACTGAAGCTATTAAAGAAAACAGAGCTTAAGAAAGTTCTCAAAACAAGAATCCTAATAAAAATATTAGTGACACCACCAGCATAACGTTTACTGAATATGAACCATGTGTTGGGAATACTTCTGAGAGTTTGTATAGGTATTTAGTTGTTAAATCTCCACAACAACCTTACAATGTGATTATGATATTTTGCATCTACTTTCTAGATGAGGAAACTGAGGCACACAGTAGTTATGTCACTTGTCCAAGGTCGAATACAAAAAAAATGGCAGAGCCCGAATTCAAATCAGTCTGTACACTTAACCACCAATCTATACTGCTTCCTGATAAGGAAGAAAAATTCAAGGTATTGAAAAAGGCACTTGAGGCAACACAGGAAGCTTTCATTTGAGCTTTAGATTTTCAAAGGGCAGATACAAATGGTGAAAGGAAGGAAGCAACGAATACTGGGCATAAAAGAATGGTGCTATCATACAAAAATAGTCTTAGGAAGGCTAATGCACAAAATCAGCTGAGGTTTATGAAAAATGCAAGGCAATAAAATGAGAATGTACTTGCAGATGAAATTTTTTATTCTTATTGATTACAACATATATGCTTATTTTTTTTATATAAAAAATAGAGATATCTAAAAAATAGGAAGTGAAGATCATCACACATAATCACCCCCTTCCAGCCAATTAACAACAATTTGGTAGAACTCCTTTCAAAATTGTTAATGCATATTGCTATAGTCTGAATGTGTCCCCCAAAATTCGTGTGATAAAAATTTAATCTCCAATGAAACAGTGTTGGGAAGTAAGGCCTTTTGGTGTTGAGGTCATAAGGGCTCTGCCCTCATAAATAGATTAATGCCACTATGAAAGGGGATTTGGGACATGGGTTCACTCTCTCTCATCCTTCTGCCTTCCACCATGTGAGGGCACACCCAGTAAGATGACACTCGTTAGATGCCAGCACCTCGATCTTGAACTTCCCAGCCTCCAGAACTGTAAGAAATAAACTTCTGTTCTTTATAAATTACCCAGTCTGAGGCATTTTGTTAAAGCAGCACAAAAGAACTAAGACAAAAATACTAACATTATTTTTCCCTAAAATAACAGATACAGGCTCAAAAATTATACTGTTCTATAACAATGCATGTTTCACCTAAAATAGATCATTGAGTAGGTCTATCACATTCTTTTTACAAACTGATGAATATTTCACTATATGAATGTCCACAGTACAATTACCTCCTACTAAGGAACTTTGAAGTTATTTTCCAATTTTCTAATAATTATTAGCAATGGTGCATTCAATAACCTTTGTATATATATCTTTTGTACATATCTGATTATTTCTCACAGAATTGTTGGGTCTAAATTTAAGTTGATAGAATACTATCGGTTTTCTCTTCAGGACAATTATGCCAATTTAACGTATATGTGTATATAGCCATCTATTCATATATTTATTCATTCGTTTATTTGGTACATCTTCTTATGGGTTTTATGGCACGCTCAGCAGGGTCATCTCCACCTAAGGCGCTATTATGTTCCATTCTACTGTTCCAAAGCCATACTGTTTTAATTAACTTACCTTTTCCTTTGTAGTATATTATTTAATAAGTACCATATCATTAGTCATCTTTTTCAAAAATTTATTTCATAACTCTAAACGTTTCAAGTTTTTAAAAAACTAATTTTAATTAGAACTGCACTAATGTATAAATAATTTGGAGATTATATAGACATCTTTCTGATGGTGAGTCTTTCCATCTAGCAATATGCTACATTTCTGCATTTATTCAAGCCTTCTTCAACTTTCATATATATTTTTAAAATTCTATTTCAAAAAATGAAGATTTTAAAATTAATACTGGAAGCCAGGCACAGTGACTCGCCTGTATTGCCAGCACTTTGGGAGGCCAAGGTGGGCAGATCACTTGAGTCCAGGAGTTCAAGAGCAGCCTGGCCAACATGGTGAAACCACGTCTCTACCAAAAATACAAAAATTAGGGCCGGGCTTGGTGGCTCATGCCTGTAATTCCAGCACTTTGGGAGGCCGAGGCAGGTGGATCACCTGAGGTTGGGAGTTTAAGACCAGCCTGACCAACATGGAGAAACCCCGTTACTACTAAAAATACAAAAAATTAGCCAGCCGTAGTGGCGAGTGCCTGTAATCCCAGCTACTCAGGAGGCCGAGGCAGGAGAATTGCTTGAACCCAGGAGGCGGAGGTTGCAGTGAGCTGAGACTGTACCACTGCACTCCAGCCTGGGTGACAGAGCAAGACTCTGTCTCAAAAAAACAATCAAATAAACAAAAAATAGCTGAGTTTGGTGGTGCACGTCTGTAATCCCAGCTACTCAGGTGGCTGAGGCATGAAAATCACTTGAACCCGGGAGGTGGAGGTTGCAGTGAGCTGAAATTACACCTCTGCACTCCAGCCTGGGCAACAGAGCAAGACTCTGTCTCAAAATAAATAAATAAAACTAAAATTATTGGAATCAAGAAAAATAATACATTCTATCAATGCGGGCAGATAACATATGAGGGGGTTGTGAAAAGATGAATTAATATTTAATGAGCAACTACTATGCCCCATAGGTGATACCAGTAGACATTTTTACAAGTCATCTCATTTTATCTCATAACAAGCCTACTTGCTGTGACTTGTTGTGATAGGTGATCTTAATGTCATTTTATAAAAAACGACACTGAGGCTCCGAGTGGTCAATAATCTGCCCAAGGTTTTCAGTCACCTGTTTAAGATTGAAGGCAGGGATCCTGTCTTTGTATCCACACTGCCAAGTGAACTAAGCAGATTTGACAACTGTCGATTTTGACGTGTCTCCTGTTTTACTTAACAGTATCTCATTTATCCTGTTATCCCATGTCATGAATCAGGAAATTCAGGCTTGGACAACAGGTATACAAACTTGCTGAAAGTCATACTGCAAGTAGGCAGAGAAGCCAGAGTTTGTATGCAGTTTCTTCTGACCCCAAAGTTCACATTCTCAGCTCCTAAAATATACTTACAATATATAGGGAAGTCAAGATTCAAACCCAAAGCTTCCTAACTTTCCACTACGTCATAGTAAAATAGCTCAATTCCTATTTTGCTTTTGTATTCACTGACAGAGGAATGACAGTCAGAAGACTGACTGCAAAGAACATATTCAGCTGCTACAGAAAATAAGTTGAAATCTCATGGATACAATAAATTCTGTCTAACTGAAGAAAGAAATTTTAAGCTGAGATTACCAAGATTCTTTTTTGAGACCACTGAAAACCCACAGAAAATAGAAATCTGCCCAAAGAAAAGAAACAGGGTAAACGTCATCCTGATTTGTCAAAAGGAAAAGGATGTAGGTTTCCATGTCATAAGAGAAACACACTAGGAACAGGTGGCACCATGGGAGACGATGGAGTTCAGAAAAATGCAAGGACAAGCGGGGGTGTGAAAAAGACCTGACTACCGAGTGCAGAGGTTAGAAGGACCTGTCAATTCAAGGACAGTTAAGTCACAGTGGGAAAGAGGAGGAGGAATGAGTGAGACGGGGGATAATGGGGTAAAATATCAGCATCAATCCCTCAAGCCCCAAAGGCCCACCCACTCCCCAGCAGAACCAAACTGGCCAGGAAGGGATCTCAGGAGAACCAGTTAAGAAATTAAGGCCCCCTCTTAGAAGGCACCGGGAGCGAAGGTAAGTCATCAGCAGACTAAAGGGTAAGGAAAAGGACAGGAGGCCAACTTACAGATTACCAACATGAATGAGCAGGGTATTCTGGAAAATGGGAGCTAACAGGTGCCCAGGGCTTATTCCCAACATGGCAGTTAATGCACTGATTAGTCAGATGATTTCATTCAAGCTCTCAATGGTGGTGCTGATTCTGCCAATACCCCTGCTTGCCACTTTCACAATTCATTCAGGAACTGGGGTGAGCCCTGGTGTGAAGGTCAAATTTATAACAGATCCAGCAGATGGAAAGTAAAGAAGGCAACAATTGGAAAAATGAGGAAGGGGCTGAAAACATAAAGTATATAAATGAACTTCACCACTGACACTTTATTTCTTGTCTCTGGCAAAATTTTAGGACAGATGAACAAACCCATGGTTTGCAAGCACTTAGGGCAGGATCATCAGTAAACAGCACTAGCTCTAGACGTTCACTAATACCACATGGCAGATAAATGGCATTCCTTTTTATGATAAAGTTACAAGGCCTATAGATGACAGTAATGCTATAAACACAGAGTCCTGGCTTTTACCATAGCATCTAATAGTCTCTATGTTCTCCATACAACCAAAATTAAGAAATGCAGGAAGGATGATAATATACTAGTAAATTTCTGGATCAAGGATAAAACTCAAAGATTACTGATTAATGATGAAGCTGTGTAATATAGGGAATTTCTAAAGGCTCCTATCTCAACCCTGGCTAGTTTAACAACTTTTTCTTTTTTTTAAAATTATTTTTATTTTTATAGTTTTGGGAGTACAAGTGCAGTTGTGTTACATGGATATATTGCATTGATATAGTTTGGTTTTTGTTCCCTCCAAATCTCGTGTTGAAATGTGATCCCCAGTGTTGGAGGTGGGGCCTAGTGAGAGGTATCTGGATCATGGAGGTATGGAGGTGGGTCCCTCATGAATGGCTTGGTGCTGTCCTTGAAGTAATGAGTGAGTTCTCACTCTATTAGCTACCGTGAGATGTGGTTGTTTAAAAAAAAAAAAAAAAAAAAAAAAAGCCTGACACCTCTGCCCCCTCTGTCTTGCTCCTCTCTCACCACGTGACACACATGCTCCCCTTTTGCTTTCCACCATGATTATAAGCTTCCTGAGGCCCTCACCAGAAGCAGATGCTAGTGCCATGCTTCGTGTACAGTCCGAAGAACAATGAACCAAATACACCTCTTTTCTTCATAAATTACCCAGCCACAAGAATTCCTTTACAGCAACACAAAATAGACTACTAGAAGCATGGCAGTGAAGTCTGGGCTTTTAGCGTACCCATATATAATAGTGTGCACTGTACCCAATAGGTAGTGTTTTATCCTAGTTAAACAATTTTAATCAATGACTTAGATGAGGCCGATAGCATATTTAGGTTACAGATGTCATAAAGATGGAAGACACAGTGAATAAGGTAGATATGAATAAGGGATAAATGATTCCACAGGAACATATGCCAAGTACTACACTTAGATAAAAAAGCCAACTGTGTAACAACCAACAATAAGCCAGGCATGGTGGTGCACACCTGTAGTTTCAGCTACTTGGAAGACTGAGATGGATCACTTGAGCCCAATCTGGGCAACATAGCAAGACCCTGTTTGTTTAAAAAAGGGAAAAGAAGAGAAACATGCAGCAATATGCAGAAAGCTCAATTAGAAGCCAGCTATAACCAGAAGCTTAACATAAGTTGGCAATGTCATGCTACAGCAAGAAATGCTCATGAGACTTTTCCTTTAAGAAACCTAAAGTCACGACAAGGGAATGAAAAAGCCAACTCTAAGCCGCACTGGGCTGACCAGGCTCAGGGCATTCTGTTCAAATATAGATGTCATATTAGAGGACAAATGGACACAACCAGGATACTGAAGGCTTCAAAACTAACAAATGAGAGAAGGTTGACAGAACGAAGAACTCGGTCTAGAGGAGAAAATGCATACTGACAGCTGGTAGGCTAGATCCAGAAGGCAAATGGGCTAGTTCATTCTGTACAAGATTTTAGTAATACCAGAAAACTTCACAGAAGAATCTGGATTTCTATTTATCTTGGGGATTGGCGAGGAGAAAAGTCTGGGGATAACTGAATGAAGAGGGGTAGCCAAAGCCCCATTTAATAGGAACCAGTCTACATCCTATTGTCTGACCCCTGGCTTTCAGACTTACTATGTATGAGGCTATGAGCATTTGAATTGCAACCACTGTTATAGAGAAAAAGAGTCAAAGGGTGAACACAAAAGCTGTGTTCTAAGACCTGAAAGGTTATGTCTGGGCTACAGATATACTAAGAAATTATTCTGGGGAGAATAAAGACAAAGGGTACAAGGCATAGAGAGGTTCAACATAAAAAAAGAACTTCCTAACAAAAATGGAACAAGCTACCTGTGTATATGGCTTTTCTTCACTGAAAAAGGGTCTCAAAGGAGACTAATTTGCTAAAGAACTAGAATACATAACCCAAAATGTCCTTTCCAAATCTGGGTTTCTCTGATGTTTTCGTATTATAAGTTTCATTATCTTCAGTACTGTCTACCATGGACAGCACACTGGGCTGAGCCCTGGATGTTTTTGTGTAAGAAAAGCACTGGCTTCATAGTAAGACCATAGGATTTACTGATTCCATGTCAACTAAATACAGGCTCTAATAGAGAATTACTATCTGATCCTCTTAGGCACATTAATTCACAAAAAATAGGAGAACCCTATTATTTCATTAGTCTTCAGATGTGAGGGCTACTTCTCCCTTGAAGTCACTCCAAGTTACAGTGAGGGAATCACAAGAAGGCATCACGGCATGATGGACAGAAATCCAGAATAGGAAATGTGCTTGAGCAAACTTGATAATCTTTCTAGACCTCAGTTTATGCATCTATAAAATGGGGCGGAGGGTGAGGGAGGGCATAAAAATTTAGTCATGACTACTTTACAAGACTGTTGTACAAATCAACTAACGCAGGCAAAGGTGCTCTGACAATTAGACAGCACTATATACATGCAAGGCTTTCCAATACAAAATGTAGATCTACTATGTATCACTTACATTTTTTTTGAAATAAGTTATGCTTCCCTGGCATAACAATCCATACCAATTTACCTATTTACCCCGTGATCCACGTATCCATCTATTTACCTACCTTTCCATCTCTATTTCAGACCTCACTTTTCCAAACCCTCTCATGTTAAAGTGTGAGCCAGGATTCACCAGTGTGGTACCAAAGTACTCTAAATGTGAAGTATTGCTCAAGGATCCGCCCCATGTACCTAGGGGAATAGGGTGTACAGGTACTAATGAGCCGCACAGGCAAGGCACCAAAGCTCCTTTCAGCTCTGAGCTGACATCTGAACTTTGGGTTTAATTCCACTTAGCCTTACTTAGGATGTAGAGAGGCCTCCATGCCCCTCAGCTCTCTGGAAGCTTGCCTGACCCTGTTGGATTGAACCCTATGAAACTGCTGTTTTGAGTGTCAAAAACAGTCAAAAAATTGGCTATGGTTCAACCTATATATCCTAAATTCCAAATGTATTAATTTAATTAAGGAGGGAAATGAGATCACAAAGGTTATCAGCCCCATCCCAGTAAGGCACAGGAGACCAATTTCCTGCCAAATTAATGTTTTACTTTTTATTTTATTTTTAGAGACAGGGTCTTGCTCTTTTGCCCAGGCTAGATCAAATTAATGTTTTAAATTTGAAATTCTTCTTACCGGCTTACTAGGAGATAAACATTTATTCTTTCCTACATTAGATGCCCCACATGTCACTCAGAAGAGAGCTACACCAGTTTGGCTCAAGCACCCATTTTTAGAGACGAATATATCAACAACAGGAGCAAGGAAGTGTTACCTAAAACTTCAGTGCCATGAAAGCACCCAAGTTCCAGGTAAAAAGGAAGATCCATTGTTATAACATGCACAATGAGGAGTCAGGAAAAAAGTGTTCCCGGAGATGTTCCAAATGGAGACATGAGAGTTAATCCCTTTAGGGAAATTTTAGAATGTTAAGCTATGCTATTTTCTAGCAGTGAAATCTCATCAGTACCCTGACTTTGATTATTTATTACAGGTTACTTATGCTTTGAAGTCTGAGCTTGCCTACTCAGTTTTAACAGATCTACACCACACTTCTTTAAGAATCCTTACGCAAATGTAAGTCTTTAAGCTATATAACGATTCCCACAAACCAAGGTTATATAAATGAAATTCCTTTATAATTAAATTTTTAGAGAAAACTGTAGGGATTTAGGCATTAGCATTCCTGGCTATTTAAAATGTAATTGATTTCTACCATAAATAAACTTAAATGTACCTATTACTTTTAATAGGCAGTAATGGAAATTAACTTATGTTTATATATATATATATATTTTGTGGGTGATATAACTGTCATTGCAAAACTTTTTTAACAAACATGAAGAGAAAATGAGATAAAGTGTTAACTGGATGACAAATACACACAACCACAATAATTTGCTTACCTGTAATACAAATTTCTGATCTATATATTTTTTGGCAATGCTGGGTTGGAATTCTTGGCTTTCCAAAAATCGTATGAAAAATTCATATACAAGCTGCAACAAACAGATTATAATTAATTTCAAATTATGACTCACTGAGAACAGTACTAAAAACCACCAAAAGCCTGTAACACTAAAAGTGACAGGGCTTAGAAAATTGATTTTAATATCAATCAACAAACCAGGCCAGCCTTTCTTGTGGCTCACAGTTGCTGTTATGCTTTCAACTTTTAAAATTTTAAATTAGAAAATACAACTAAACAAAGCAAAGAAAAATTTCCCATAATCTTGCCATTCAGAGACAACCACTGTTAACATTTCAATGTATATATTTCCTTCTACAACATACTAATGTACTATAAATATATTCTTCCAGTTTTGCAAACTACTTGTACCATTTAAACAATATATTATGTATATACTTCATTTAACATACCATATAAATATATTTTTACAGTTTCACAGACTACTTTTACCATTTAAACAATGTATTATGAACAATTTACATCAATAATATCTCAACTATCATTCTTAGTAGCTGTAAGTAGTCCATTATAATTTATAATGAATAATTCCATTATTCATAATTAATTTAACCAACCTCCCAGGCTTAGACATTTAAGTAGTTTCTGAATTATTTCTCCATCATTCTGCGACAACGTGCATCACATAACATACATCAGTATGTACTTGTTCAATTATGTCATGAGGAAATATTTCTAAATGTGGAATTGCTAGATCACAAGATATCCAAACATTCAGAATTTTTGATACTCACTGACAAATTTCTTTTCAGAAAGTTTATGGCAATTTCTACTCATCGGATCATAAGATGGTGTGGCACAATATACCCATCTGCAAAAAGTCAGCCTCAAATAATTGTTCTGATAAACAGTGGGGAATCACTGCGTATTCTCTTTGCATAATAAGCCTATGTCAAAGGCTACATCAGATCCTGACGAGGTATGCAACAGTATATCAAAACCAGAACCTTTAACTGGTACAACTGCCTGCGCCTGCAGTCTCAGCTACTCAGAAGGCTGAGGAGGGAGGACTGCTTCAGCCCAGGAGTTTGAGTCAAGCCTGGGCAAGAGAACAAGACTCTGTTTCTCTAAAAAATACATATATAATCCAGAACTTTTTAAACCATGAATACTGGGTTGAATGCCTAACTCTTTTCCTTACTAACTGTGTAACCCTGAGCAAGTTAACTTCTCTGAAACTTTGTCTCTTCGATTTTATAATGGAGATGGATAGTCTCTAAGATTAAATGTGAAAATACACACATAAAGCCCTCTGCACAATGACTAACATGTATCATCATCACTATTCCTAAAATAACATTTGCTAACTTTTTGGTCTCACTCCTTTACACTTAAAAATTAACAAGGACCCCAAAGCTTTTGTTTATATGAGATATATATGATATATATAATATCTAATCAGAAATAAAAAGTGAAAAAAACTTTAAAATTTCACTGTTTCATTTAAAAACAAGGTGCATTATATGTTAACATAATTATGTTCCTGAAAAAAAAAGAAAAAAAAAACTTTACTTTCCAAAAGAATTGAGAAGAAAGCCATTGTTTTATAGTTTTATAAATCTCTTTAATATGTGGCTTAATGTAAGACAGATTTTCATCTGCTTCTATATCCAATCTGTTGTGATATGTCATTTTGGTTTAAGTATACAAAGAAAATCAAGGCTGACGGAGATCCAGGGAGATCTCCATCAAAAAAGGGAGAGTATTTTACTAGTTTCTTTTTCTCCCACATAATTGTAGATATTCTTCTTTGATGCTACACTAAATTCAACAAATTGTCATTTCTTAAAGATTAGTTGCAACACAGAATCTGAAATGATATCAATGAACTTTTCATACTTTGTTACACTAAAATCCAATCATCTGTCTTGCACTTTGAATGGATCTTTATCCATGCATGCTTTCCTAACATCATTTGCCAACTGGAAAATATTGGTTCATTGAGTTACGCAGCTCTTTTAAATGTTGACATGTTTTATTATACAGTATCTAAAAAATCACATTCTTTATTATCTCAATTTTATTTTTAAAAAGTCTTTAAGCTTTGGGAAGCTGCAAGCTCAAGGTGACAGATGCAAGACAGATACAAGTTTTCTAAAATTCTAATTCTAAATTCTGCATTAATGCTCTAATTTTGTCAGTGGTAACAAATATTGTCAAATGGTTTTCTTGTTTGTTTCAGACAAAATATCCGCCAAATACCCAAGCCTGAATAATCATAGTTTGTTAGTCATTCCTTCAAGTAAAAATGATGTTTCATGAGGAGGAAAAAAAAAAAAAAAAGGCTAGTTTGGGTTACAGCTCAAAAACTATTACACAAATGCTTTTCCATAAGATAACCATTATATTTCAGTATGCAGTGGATGTTACTATGCATACTTCCCATTGTATCATGTAGAATATTTTTAAATGTGTGCTTGAGGGTCAAAATGTAATAAAATTATTAATTTTCACTGTTTCTTCAAAGATGTTCTCAAGTGAAATCGGCTTTTTTACATTTTTAATTACAAGTACGTGGCAGTGAAGAATACTCAACCAGTTTGACACAAGTGCCTTGATTCTCGTTAAGGTAGCAGCAATTTTAACCACCGCCACTTTTGCAATGAATAGTACAAACGTCAACACAGTGAAAGGACAAATCATATATACAGCACTGTTATAAAGGTAGTTTTGACCTTGCAGGACATGGAAAATCAGGTCTCAGAGCCCCTCTAAGGGTCCACAGATACCACTGATTTAAATGTTTCTTCTCACGTCAGACTCTAATTTAAGACTTAAATTAGGGATTCACGTTAGCATTTTACTTCCTTATAAAACTATGTTTTTCTCCTTGGAACTCTCTGAATTCAGAAAAATTTCTTTCCTAATGATCCGGACGTTGCCAAATTTCACATGTTATTTTGCTAGTCAAAATAATGCCCAAGTCCTAAGACCTCAGAGAATTGTTCCTTTTCTAATACACTCATCTGTCAACTCTCAGTTTTACATACAGAATGTCAGCCTTATTCAAATGACCCCATCAAGTGGGTTTTAGCCCTCTTTCGATTGCCACAAAGAGGGGAGATTCTCATCTTCTAAGCTGGCCTGTGGACTGGCAAGGCTTTCCAGCAAGACTGGCAAAGTGCTCTCTCCTCTCTGGTCACTTGAAAGCAGTTATGGTCTAAAATGTTTGGTGGAAACACTTCAGACATATTTATTAATAAGCATAAGTGTTCTCTGCACTTAAGAGAAAGATTCTACGTCAAAATCAAAAATCTCCCTTAAGTTTCTAAAGAGAAAGACTGGGGGCTGGGGAGGACAAATTACTTTTCAAGGTTACATAAATGAATTCTCCAAGGAACTTTAGTAAGAAGACTAGCATTCCTGTTTGTCAGTCTCAAACGGAAAGCACTAAAAACAAATTCTTAATTGTAAATGAAAGTCCTATAAAATTGTATTCTACTGAAGACACACCTAATTTCAGAAAATACATAAACAAGATACTATTTTGGATAACTGAAAAGGTTGAATAACATACAGAGTAGACCCCTTTGACATATTTGAACTAAAAATTATTCTTTTGTCTATTTTTAAAGATCCCAAAAGATCCACAATTTGTTATAATCAGTAATTTTTTTACTTTTTTTTTTTTTTTTTTTTTTGGTGAGATGGTCTCGCTCTGTTGCCCAGGCAGGAGTGCAGTGGCGCAATCTTGGCTCACTGCAGCCTCCGCCTCCCAGGTTCAAGCAATTCTCGTGCCTCAGCCTCCCAAGTAGCTGGGATTACAGGCGTGTGCTGCCACGCCTGTCTAATTTTTGTATTTTTCATAGAGGCGAGGTTTCACTATGTTAGCCAGGCTGCTCTCAAACTCCTGGCTTCAAGTGATCCACCCGCCTTGGCCTTCCAAAGTGTTAGTATTACAGGTATGGGCCACTACGTCCGGCCAATGGGTAATTTTGTGTATGCCACAAATTTAAATCAAAAAGGTATGCAGGAGCAGTCAATTAGCTGGGCAATGAGCACAGCCAACCACTCAACAACCACATCTCAATGTCATTTTGTTGTTTTGACCTCCTCCCGTCAGGTATTTATACTTTCTTCCTTGCAAAATGTGTTCCAGAAAAGGAAGCGTACTGCTAATTATGAAGTTAATAAAAAGTGAAAAGGTCTAAAACTATGCTGTGTTTTGGTCAGAAAAATAGACAGTTGGATCAACTAAAAAGTAAAATGTTAAACTTCATGATAGGTGACTATGACATGAATGACCTATCATGAAAAGAAAAAGAGACTTCTTATACATTCAGTGACTGCCCTCATTAGTGCTAAAACCACCTAACACTGAAAATGGAAAGGTGGCTAATTTGTGCTATAAGAATATACAAAGGAAACACAGGATTCTTGAGACCAAGTCAGGAGCCTTGGTCCAAAAGCAACAGATGGTGAAGGCAACAGTGTGCCTAGTGACCTAAACTTTACTATGAATGAAGGTTGATTTACGAATTTTAAAAGGTTCCTTCACCTGATCCAGCATTAGTAGGTCATATTTCCCCTTGAGCTAAAGAAAGGACCAAAGGATAATAACCTTGAACAGGATGTCAACACACATGAAACCAGCCCATATTATAATACCGTTTCTGCCTTTATATCCAAAAGGGCACAGGTCTCATTACCATTCTTCACTGTTTCTTTGGTTTTAGGATTTCAGATTAACTAATGGTTAATATTCCTGCAGTAATGACAGTGTAAGCTAGAGTGGTTTTTTGTGGCAGAATTAAAGAGTTTCAGAAATTAATTTGGTCCTGTATTTTACAGAGTCATTAAGTATGGGAAGGATTAACTGTAATAATGAGTAAAAGTTTATTGTACTTTAGGGGAAATTTATGTCTATGGTTATCATGACATAGAATATTCAAAAAGCTCTTGCAAATGGCAAGAGTGGTCCCAATGTCTTCTTTCGAATACAGAGAAGACAATATGCTGAGGCTTTGAAGACATCTCTTTCCTTGTCTTTTCCACCATAAGATGTGAGACTACTGAGGAGATCGTCTTTTTGTTGTTGTTAAGTTTCTTCCAGACTAAACTGTAATTCAATGAACTGTCACCAAACATTAAGAGTAAGACATGACAATTCACCCATTCAAAAAAGTAATTCTTTTTTGGATTGTGTCACAATCTGGGATATACCTATGAAAAGCACAAATAGTTTTACAAGTTTCTTAGATTGCAGACAATATGTCTGGGACCTTAAAAAAAAAATCAAACATCTAAGATAGTAAATCAATTACCGTGTTTTAACTAATTTACCCAGTCTTAGCATTGGAGGCAGGAATACATATGCATAACACGCCTGAGTAAGAGCTGAGAAAACAGAGCCCCCAAAAGCTCTCTACGTAACAACGGGAAATAGCACACGTGTGTACTTGCAGAAACTTTGAGTTGTCAAAGCAGGACAGACAGACTTGCAAATTTGTGTCAGAAATTCTGAAGTAGGGGGGAAAAACTCTTAGAATATCTCTAGGCCTTCTCTCTCTGCTGCACAGTTTGTTTGCTCTTCAAAAAGTCAACCTGAGGCCGGGCGCGGTGGCTCACGCCTGTAATCCCAGCACTTTGGGAGGCCGAGGCGGGCGGATCACGAGGTCAAGAGATCGAGACCATCCCGGCTAAAACGGTGAAACCCCGTCTCTACTAAAAATACAAAAAAATTAGCCGGGCGTAGTGGCGGGCGCCTGTAGTCCCAGCTACTTGGGAGGCTGAGGCAGGAGAATGGCGTGAACCCGGGAGGCGGAGCTTGCAGTGAGCCGAGATCCCGCCACTGCACTCCAGCCTGGGCGACAGAGCGAGACTCCGTCTCAAAAAAAAAAAAAAAAAAAAAAAAAAAAAAAAAAAAAGTCAACCTGAACCATGAATACATTTCTACGAAAATGCAGCAGCTTCTGCCTAGGGGTGAAGATGTACAAGGTATTATTCATTTTCTTCCACCCCTTCCCCCTTGCTATTTGTCGAGCAACCTAAGGATATTCTGACTCAATGGAAGGGTGACTTTGGGGTTCAACATGTACAAATTTCCTTGCTCTATTCTTTTGAGAAATTTTGGCCTTCAGAGAAGGCAGCACAAGGAAGGAACGAGCTGGAAAATTACCAGTATGTATTATACAAGTTAATACAATACAGATGGCTCTAATGCTGGAAACAGAGATGCAGTGATGCCCCTGATCCATCCTGGCACATAAGTGTGATTGGAAAACATGGCCTTCTCAGTGCAAGAGAACAGAATTGGCCTTTACCCAAGCTTTCTCTCAGCTGTTACTCTTCCTTACAGTACTGTGAACGAAATAGCTATTACAGTTTGGTTTTGTCCTTCTAACTAAAGAAACACATTTGTAGTTAATGTGATGACAGACATACAAAGTTCCCAGGGTACATACCACTAAAAATGAGATATATACTCTGTGAGCTAATCACATCCAACTAATGCTAATGTGAAAATAATTCTGTGCTTTGTTGGAGGCTCTAGAGGGCAGGATCATAAAGAAGCTCTAATAGAGAAATAAGAACTGCTGGCTGTACCTGCAACGTGGGGTTGGGGGACACTAAAGCATCACACTGACACTATTTTATTCTTTTGGCATTCTAATTATCAAGAATAAGAAACATAAAAAACATTCTCTAACTTTCCATTAGTGTACTCTAATTTGATTTCTTGGTGAATAAAGCCCTTCAAGGAATTCCCATGCTAATCAGCTAATGAGTTAATGGAGTTTTCTTTTATAACAAATGGTATTTCAAAGTACCTGTAAGTGTGGCCACGATGCCTCAAGGGTAGGTTCATCTTCTTCTGGATCAAATTCATTGCTGTCACTAGGAGGGAGAGTTCTGAATATATTGCAAGATACCTAAAAATAAACAAGCAGCAGAGTTAACGGGAAGCACCTTCTGCACAGTTTTACACAAGGTCCTTGGAGCCAAGCTGAGGGGAACCCAGATAACAATGCACAAGGAACATCACCAAACTAGAATAAGGACCTCTTTCTATAGGCTCTGAGGTGGGGACCACCTCCAGGCAAGCTGGAAAGTAGCAAAGCAGCACCATCCTACTCTCTTGAACACTATTAATCGTCCTTATTTAACCCTTCCCTCCCTAGGTCCCCATGATTTCATACCTCCCATCAAAGCCTGCTCTTGGTTACTTACCAGTCAAGCATGTTTCTGATTAACCAACTGACATAAGAAATAAATAACTGCTGGCCGGGCGCAGTGGCTCACGCCTGTAATCCCAGCACTTTGGGAGGCCAAGGTGGGGGGATCACGAGGTCAGGAGATCGAGACCATCCTGGCTAACACAGTGAAACCCCGTCGCTACTAAAAACACAAAAAATTAGCCGGGCGAGGTGGCAGGCACCTGTAGTCCCAGCTATGCGGGAGGCTGAGGCAGGAGAATGGCGTGAACCCCGGAGGACGGAGCCTGCAGTAAGCCGAGATCGCGGCACTGCACTCCAGCCTGGATGAAAGAGCGAGACTCCGTCTATTTAAAAAAAAAAAAAAAAAAAAAAAAAAAAAACTGGTAATGGGCTTCATGTGCTTCCCTTATCAGGCTTATTCACTATTTGCAAACTTATGGTTGAAATAACAGTGAAATTTCAGGCTTTTCTAATAACCTTAAAAATATTCCTTATCTGTCCTCAACAAGTTGGTTTACAAAATAGTAATGATACCCAGAGTAAAATCCTATCTGTGATATAAACCTCTATAAACTAGGCATTCCTTAACTATAGGCAAGATCCAAATTAAACAATGGTTGTTCAAAACATGGCCATGAGTTGATAACTGTTGAAACTGGGTGATGAAGAGATAAGGATTCATTATACTATCTATTACTTCTGTATATGTTACAATATTTCCTTTTGTTTTTTTGAGACGGAGTCTCGCTCTGTCACCCACGCTGGAGTGCAGTGACGCAATCTTGGCTCACTGCAACCTCCTGCCTCCCAGGTTCAAGTGACTCTCCTGCCTCAGCCTCCCAAGCAGCTGGGATTACAGGCGCATGCCACCACACCCGGCTAATTTTTGTATTTTTAAGTAGAAACCAGGTTTCACCATGTTGGTCAGGCTAGTCTCGAACTCCTGACCTCAAGTGACCTGCCCACTTCAGCCTCCCAAAGTGCAGGGATTACAGGCGTGAGACACCACACCTGGCCTATTACAAGATTTCTATAGTAAAATGTTTATGTTTTAAATGTTGTTGGTACTAGTCTCAGGATTCCTTTCTGGTTTCTGTTTCTTGCCCCACTCACCCACTCATCTTTCTCCTAATGACCCAAACATATCCTCCTAATGACCCAAACATAAGACAGGGAGGGACAGGAGAACATGCGTAAAAAGTGAGAAGGGAAAAAGAAAGGAGATATTGCATCAGAAGCCTTAGCTGGCCTTCCTATGTAATGCAGAAAATACTGAGCTACATAATATACTGCTCTGAAAGAGGAAAGAAGAAAGGCTTTGGGGTATCCACATAATCTGAATGTGTTTATTCATCCAGTAAATAATTATTAAGTGCCTATTACGTGTACACACTGTTCTAGGCACTAGGAAAACAGTAGTGAACAAAGCAGATAAAAACCCATGCCCTCATGGAACTTACTATATTCTAGTTAAAGCCACAATTATCCCCATTTCCTAGCTATGGAAACTGAGCTCAGATGGGTAAGCTACGGGAAGGAGATTCAATTTTATTTTAGTGCAATGAGAGGCCATTAGTGGATCTTAAAACAGAGAAGTGGCATGATCTGATTTTTGCTTAAAAAAAAAAATCACTCCAACAGCTATGTATAGAATAGGCAGGAAGAGGACAAGTTAGAAGGCTGTGAATGTGACAAGGAATGACGCTGGCTTGGCAAGGATGGTAGGGAAGACAGAAATAGACTGATTCAAAAAGGTAGTGCTTTGCTGCTGGCTTGGATATATGATGTGAAAGAACTAATTAAGGACAAGACATAGATCTGAGGCCATTAACCGAAGATGGAGATTACTGGAAAAGGGAAAAGTTTATTTCTTTACTTGCTTATTTTAGCGGAGAGATTCAGGGATCTAGTTAGAGACATATTAAGGGAGCAGTATCTAGGAGGCAATTAGAAATATGAAGTTGGACCTCTGAGCTGGACAGGTCAGAACCAGAGACATATAAGACTCAGCAGCATATAGATAATACTTAAAGCCACCAGACCAAAGGGATCACCTTGGAAAGGAGTAAACAAAAAGAAGAGAAAGGGTCGGCCGGGCGCGGTGGCTCACGCCTGTAATCCCAGCACTTTGAGAGGCCGAGGCGGGCGGATCACGAGGTTAGGAGATTGAGACCATCCTGGCTAACACGGTGAAACCCCGTCTCTACTAAAAATACAAAAAATTAGCCGGGTGTGGTGGCGGGCGCCTGTAGTCCCAGCTACTCGGGAGGCTGAGGCAGGAGAATGGCGTGAACCCGGGAGGCGGAGCTTGCAGTGAGCCGAGATCTCACCACCGCACTCCAGCCTGGGCAACAGAGCCAGGCTCCATCTCAAAAAAAAAAAAAAAGACAGAAAGGGTCCTTGGGCACCCAGTATTTAGAAATTGGGTAGAAAAAGAAGAGCAAATGAAAAGAAGCAGGGGATAATAGAAAAGAACTAGAGTTTGGGGTCTCAGAAGCTAAGAGAGAATAGTGTTTTAAGGAAGAGGTCAAGAGCAGCAAATGCTGTTCAGAGCATTGACTAAGATGAGCATAGAGCCGTATCTATTGGACTTGGTGGTCCTATGAAGTGTACACTATTACGATCCCTGATTTACCATTGAGGAAATAGAAGCATGGGTGTTATTAAGCTCTAAGGTTACAATTAGTAACCAGCAGAGTTATAACTGGACCCAGGCTGTCAGGATCCCCAGTGTTCTTTCTAGAAGAAAAGGTAGACCAACTTTCTTATTCGTTAGCCTAGATGACAGAAAAAAATGATCATGTGAGAATATGCTTTTGCTATCGCTAATGACAGCACACACAGTTCTATTGTTTTATTTTTGTCCCTTCCAGTGATTACTAGAAATTATTTTTATGAAGAAATAAATGACTTTTCAGATAACTATCAACCTACGACTTCCCTTCAACCAGCCAGCTATAATGTAATTGACAGGGCAAAGGTTCTTTAATTACTCAACTTTGAATCTTCATTAAACTATACATGTAATTCAAAAACTGAGTCTTCATCCCAACTGAGTCATTTATACGTACTACACTTTTTAACAAGTGTTTTTCCTCTCCCAAGACATGAAAGTAAACCATGAAAGGGGGGAAAAGGGGGCTTCTCTATAGTAAAAAATCTGGGTAAAGAAACAGAAACTTCTCTTCCTTTGTACTCCTGGGCATATAAACTCTCTTACAGTGTCCACTGCACGCTGCAGCAACTATCTGTTTAGGTATTTGTCTCTCCCTACTAATAACTAATTAGGAATATACAACACATTTGTCTTCCCAGCATATACTAAGCATTTAATAAATATTCACAAAATAGAAGTTTGGATATATTAATAAAGCTGGGTATTGTGGTTTTGCTTTAAACAAACTTCAACATTTTCTTGGTGACTTGAATAAATTTAAGTTATTTCTAAGGATGTTTATCCCTATATTGTGTTCTAATCTTCTGACTTAGTCAAAACTTCATCTCTCAGTTACAGCAAAAGAAGGCCAAGTTGGGTAAATAATCCAAAAGGCAGGTAGTTCTATAAGTATATACATTTCATTTAGCTACACACTGTCATTTCTTCAGATTTATCTTCCTGTCATGCTTTATTTAGTTTACTTCTCAACATTCACCAAATGAGGAATGAGAAAGCACATGTCTGCTGGGTTGGACAATTCAGAGTTGACTGGATTGGTGAAGTAGTTCTCTACCACAATGGGAAAGAATGGCAAAGCATATCAAGTGTCATAGAAATGGCCAAACCTCTGACCCAGCCTGGAATATACTAGGTACTTAATAAAAATGTTATAAATGAGCCATTACTCCCATCCTTGAGAATTTGCCCTGAGAAACTAATCCAAGACAAGAGTGAAAAAGCTACTTAAAGCTGTCACTTGCAACATTCTCCAAAAAATGTAAAACTGGAAATAACCTTTATGTCCGGCATCAGAGAGGTTTATCAACTCAGTGGAATATTGTGCAGCATTAAAGATGATGGCTATATGGGAGCACCAAAAAAAAAAAAGTTTATAAATAAAGATTTGGACGGAAAGGCAATTGAAAATTGTGTGATTATAAGGATAAGAATGTAAATGGTCCACTAAATGGAAATTAAAAGCTGTATTAAAGCAAGAGGACTATGAATGATAAACACAGTCCTAAAGCATACGTTAAAGATATACACTGTGAGTTACACCTTCCATTGCAAGATGAAAATGGGTCTTGAACTTGTTTATATAAGACTACTGCTGTCAAGCGAGAGTTAAGAATCACAGCCTCCAGGAGTGCCAAAGGCTTATCAAAAAAAAAAAAAAAAAAAAAAAATCACAGCCTCCCACAATACCAGAGAGCTTGGCTCATGAATGAATGATTTAAGAATTAAATGAATGAACCAGTTTAACTGTACAGTTGAGCTCCAAAATCATAAATTTAAAATCAGGTCATCCATGGATGGGCTTCCATTGGGGCACGGGGGAGGAAGCGGGGAGGCGTGTCTCTAAATCCCCTGATTTATCTGCAACAGTTTGTATGTTAGTCCAATTTGGGAAAAGGCCAGTTGCCTTCATCAGATTTTCAAAAGACTTCCAAGATCTAAAAATGGTTAAAAACCAAGGTCCTAAATAGTAAATTTGCTTCCATTAAATCTTCCTTTATCACTGGCAGTCACTTTTAATTTATAGTTTACGGTTAAATGGATTATTAAATAGGGCACTTGCATGCTTATGCAAATGTATCACAGCCATGAGTAAGCACCAACATCACTCCCCACCATGCAACAGTTTTGTGAAGAGCCTATGCGGCTAGATTAAAATGCATTCAGGTATTTCCAAAGTCACAAACGGTCTCTATTATATTAAAATATATGAGGTTCTAGCCCTACACCTCCTATTTTATTCATTCAAAAGTGGACTATCAAAAATGAACAAAAGGAAATTTTACAGTATATTAGATACATTTATTTTTCAAATATTGTATTTTAAACTACACTGGTGTCAGTGCAAAGTAAAAAAAAAAAGTTTAAGAAATAAATGCCTCTGAGGTAGTCTAATTCCTTTTCATACCAAAGATATTAGAATACACATCGGATGTTAGGATCAAACTAAAGGCTTGAAGGGGCTGGGAGCAGTGACTCATGCCTGGGAGGCTAAGGCAGGAGGATCACTTGAGGCCAGGAGTTTAAGACCAGCCCTGGTGACATAGCAAGACCCCCATCTCTCTATTAAAAAAAGAAAGAAAGAAAAAAAGGAGGCTTGAAGTCACTGGCCTGGCCTCCAAAAAGTGGCTATAAGGACAAAGCAAGGCTGAAGGGATGGGAGGAAAGGATGTCAAAACCTGGACAACCCCTCTTCAAAGACAGAAAACCTCCACTAACGAGCTTTTAGAATCAGATCAGGTTAGAAATTATCTTATCCAGCCCCTTCATCTTAGGAAACTGTGGTGCAAAGAGCTTGCAAGTTTTTCAGGGTAACAAATTACCATGAAACACAGAGAAAGTTCCCAGGGTTCCTTCTGATACATCACTTCCACCCTGACCCCTGAAGACCGTGGATGGACCTGACTTCTTTATTTCTCTCTTTTTCCTCTCATCTTCCCTACTCCCATTTCTTTTTAACATTTTTACTACTCTCATTTTCTCATCTCTCCTTTCTCATCAGCTCCTTCCGAGTTTTTTTGCCTGCCAGTGCCACTCAAAGGATGACTTCGCTCAGCATTAACAAAGAACTATAACGATCTCTCATCCCCACTGCCGGTTCAGACCTCCAGCAGCAAACATCTTGATTACTGCACAGTTTCCTTTCCGGTACTCTCTTCCTCACATCCCTTCTTTTTGTCTCCCCCAGTTAGATTTTGAAGCACTCAAGGACTCTATTCATCTCAGAATGTCTGGCACCTAATATACAATAAATGAAAATAACTAGAGGTGCCAAATAGAACTCAGGACACTGGTGAAATCTGACTTTCAGATAAACGACAAATAATTTTTCAGTATAAGTTCGTCCCATGCAATATTTGGGACTGTCTTATACTAAAAAATTATTCACTATTTATCTGAAATTCAAATTTAATTAGATGCCTTGTATTTTTATTTACTAAATCTGACAACCCTAAAATAACACTAATATTAAGAACCTCTACTGAAGGGGCAAGGTCAAGGACCTCATAACTGCTTGCTTTCAGGGCCCGGCTGCTCTATTATTTTTCAGTACATTAGTTTACTGCTGACTATTGTTAAGTATGGTGCTGCAACAAAAACAAAAAAAGTCAAATTCTTGGCCAAATGTGAAAGAAGAGACTACAAAGTTTCCAAGTTCATGACCTCATAAACAAAAGAGGAAGAAGCATTTAGGCATATTTTTATCAGTTTTTTATTAAACTTACTACTTTTTGACTTGCAAGAGCAAAATACAACTGTTATATTTCTAAATAGTTATTTAAATTACTGCAGAAAAAAAATCACCATTCCTAATCCATTTCCATAGAAATTACTAATTTTACACTATGATTTTGATTGGCATTTTGTTGTTAAGGAAAATATTATAATAGAACAGAGTGTGGCTAGCACCTAATAGCTACTCATTAAATATCTGCCAATATTAACAAAAAAATACACACGAAAGATAAGGACAATACAATGAGTGCTTTTTTAAAATTCATGAATACTTTGAATTTCCTGTAGTTATATTTTTGTTAAGATTTGAGGCTCTGGTACACTGGGCATGTAATGTGATCAGGGGACCACTTGTACCACAGTATAACAAGTCAATTTAAATCATCTTTGTGATTTAGAATGTATTTTCTAGATGGTTGAGTATCATCTTTCTTGAATAAAAGCAGATGAACTAGCTGACCTCAAAGATATTTTCCCCCTTTCATCTGTGAAACTGTAAGTTCATACAATTATACAATATTGCAAGCATATCAACTATAAATACAAAAAGAATGTTATCATGGCTATAAAGTGAATTTTAAGATTACATCTAAAAGGTAAATTTTCTAACCAAAAAGACTATATGAATGATGATAAACAGAAAACATTCCAGGAAATTTAAAGTTGCCACTATTTCTCCAGCACTATTCACATTAAGACCTCATCATGCAAGTAACAATTTCAATGGTATCCCTGAGTTTTCTCATCCAGTTTATGTATTCATTCATTCAATAATTCATTATGCATTAGAAAGAAACCAAAATGATTTAATCATTTACAACCAGGAGGGGCTAGTAAATGCAATGCTGTCACTTAGGTCATCATGGTTTTTTGTTTGTTTGTTTTTGTTTTTTGTTTTTTGTTTTTTTTTTTGAGACAGATTTTCATGCTTGTTGCCCAGGCTGGAGTGCAATGGCACCATCTTGGCTCACTGCAACCTCCACCTCCCCGATTCAAGTGATTCTCCTGCCTCAGCTTTCCTAGAAGCTGGATTAGAGGTACCCGCCACCACGTCCAGCTAATTTTTTGTATTTTTAGTAGAGATGGGGTTTCACTATGTTGGTCAGGCTAGTCTTGAACTCCTGACCTCAGGCGATCCACCCGCCTTGGCCTCCCAAAGTGCCGGGATTACAGGCGTGAGCCCCTGCACCCGGCCGTATTATTTTCATAATATTTTATGTTAGCACAAAAGATGAATCTAAGTAGATACGGTGAAATTGAACCTTGAAAGAAAATAGGCAAATCATCAATATTTACCATGAATGTCATTTTTTAAAAAACAATTAAATCTGAAACAAAAATATGAATATAAGCAAGACTTACTTTAAATCTCTAAATCAGACATTTAAACACCTAAGACTATTTTCAAACAGATTAGAATTTATATTAAATATTCAACCCTAACACCAGGCACAGTGGCTCACGCCTGTAATCCCAGCACTTTGGGAGGCCGAGGCGGGAGGATCACTTGTGGCTAGGAGTTGGAGACCAGAGTGGCCACAATGGAGAAAACCCATGTATACATACATACATACATACATACATGCATGCATACATACATACATACATACATGCATACATACATACATACATGCATACATACATATTCAACTGTAAGAATAAGAACTAAAATTCTAACCAAATTTTCTAACATAAAAATAATAAATAATAACATATATAACGTCAAGTTACTTTTGGTAACACCAAATTTAAGAGTTGTTAATGGTCTCAATAATAAAGAACCTCTCAAATCTGACATTTTTAAATGTCAGCTCCTTTAAATTAATTATAGATAATTATTGATAAATAAACATAGAAAGATCTCAAAGCATTTGTAATTATGCCTGAGGGACTTAGAATCAGAGCAGACAAATATCTTTTAAGCCGATACTTTAATTAGGAAACAAATGGCAAAATCTGTAAGCTTTCAATTACCGCTTAATTTAATTCACTGGTAATTTGTTCAATCAAATAATTTGTTTCTAAAGCCAAACTATGTATCTTAATTACCACAATAAATCTACTGTAGTTTCCACTTCAGACTAGGTATAAAGTCTTTTTTTAAACCTTGTCATCTATATGAATTAACACAGCTACTTAAAAGTTATCTGAATTTAAGAAACCATTCAAATCTGTTATTATAGTATAAAGGCATGTCCTGGCCAGGCATGGTGGCTCACCCCTGTAATCCCAGCACTTTGGGAGGCCAAGGCAGGCAGATCACAAGATCAAGAAATCGAGACCATCCTGGCCAACATGGTGAAACCCCATCTGTACTAAAAATACAAAAATTAGCTGGGCATAGGGGCGCATGCCTGTAGTCCCAGCTACTCGGGAGACTGAGGCAGGAGAATTGCTTGAACCCAGGAGGCAGCGGTTGCAGTGAGCCAAGATCACGCCACTGCACTCCAGCCTGGCGACAGAGCTAGACTCTATCAAAAAAAAAAAAAAAGCATGTCCTTAACACCTAATTCTAAGGATCAGAAATTTAAATTTAAGTCAGTTTGACAATTTCCTAGAATAAGCCATCCACTGCAGGTCTAGCTTTATTGCCTAACACATTAAATATTTAACTGTATTTGCTATGTAATGTCATCAATAATTATAATTTTCAGACATTATTATTCCAAACATGTTTATTTGAGTTACATATGATTCCTTGAGTCAAAACAATCTCCTCAATATCCTTGTTTATCACAAATGTAGATCTCAGTTGCATGATAAGAACTATCTGAAATACTGTAACAAGTAGGTATGATCAAGCCACTCCAGCAAGCCTGTCCATATCTTTATCATAAAACTGCATTTGCGGACAAAGCTCTATACTTTTGTGAAGACATTCACTGAACCAATGACAGGGTGCATTGTTTACATGTGACTAAGAAACATGCACTTGTGACAGTTGTGAGGTTTGTTTTACAACATCTAGAAATCCGGAAGAGGATTTAAAAGGAGATTTCTAAAGCGAGTAATTACTTTAGAAATAATTAGTAATTATTGTTACACATTTAGAAATAATTAGTAATTATTCAAATATACTTTAGGAATAATTAGTAATTATTGTTACACATTTAATGTCATACTTAAATCTGTATTAGCAGGGCTTTCTAGGACATAACAACTATTCTATTAAATATGATTCCTGAAATGAGGCAGAAAGAACATATTAAAATGATCAGAAGTTTAACAGGCAATTGAAGAAAGGGAATATCAAAAAAAAAAAAAAGCTTAAAACTTATAATACCCAATTAGAATTTTTAAATATAGCCAATATTCAAAAGGCAGTATTAAATTAATAGAAGTCTTGGCCATGTACTATTTTCATAACACACAAGGAAGACATCATTTTTATTTATATTTCCTGCATCAAGTATTTATTTTTTACTCTACTGGGTATACACTACAGATTTACACAGACCAAAAAACAAACACTGTTTTCATTGTTATTGCTGCTTACTGCTGTTAGAAGCAGTCGGAGTATTTAGCTGATAATTGTTATGATGAATTGGTATAACTAGATTTAACATACGGTGATTGCTTCTACAAATAATTTGGTCCCCTTAGACACGGAGTCTCTAGAAGATCGGAGCACTGCCAACTGTATGAAAGAAAGGAATCTGTCCATGAGATATCAAGAATAGAGAAACAATAGAATTTGAATACAGATCAAATGTAAATATAGGCATGGTTTGGAAGACTATGTCAACACTTCGTTAGAAGGGGACAACAGGGAAAAACTGAGTGAAAGAAAGGATTTTGTCTTTTGTTTCCACTCTCCTTGACCTGTGGCATGTTCATCAGAAGACAGAGGTGCCACAAAGACAGGAAAAGAGAAGAGACTGGGGGAAGGGGAGGGAAGAAAGAAAGAAAGATTCAAGGGAAAAAGAAAGACATTTGAGCTGGCCCCCTCTATGCAGTGATCACTAATGCCAAACTAGTATAATCAAGTTAATAGAAGCAGAATTTATAATAGCTGCAAACTAGAAACAACCTAAACGTTCATCAAACAGTAAAAAGGATAAGCAGTCATAACCAAACCCCCCAAACATATATAAGCTGTTTAATTCCTTTCATATAAAGTTCTAAATTAGACCAAACTAAGTCAAACTAAGTTTTCATTAAGTATTAATGTCAGGAGAGAGGACTCAAACCTAAAAAGTCTTAACCACAGCGCCACATACAGTTTTGTTTTTTGTTTTGTTTTGTTTTTTTTTTTTTTTTTTTTTTTGAGACAGGGTCTCACTGTGTCACCCAGGCTGGAGTGCAGTGGTGCGATTACAGCTCACCACAGCCTCAACCTCCTGGACACAAGTGATCCTCCCACCTCAGCCCCGCAAGTAGCTGGGACTACAGGCATGTGCCACCACACCCTGCTAATTTTTATATTTTTAGTAGAGATGGGATTTCACCATGTTGCTCAGGCTGATCTCAAACTCCTGAGCACAGGCAATCCACCTGCCTCGGCCTCCCATAGCATTGGGACTACAGGAGTGAGCCACTGTCTACAGTCATATTTAAAATAGGGGCTCTGTGGGTACAACATGGCACCAGTTGACTAGTGGGCTTGCCTATAGTGAGACTGGCTGGGCTAATTCCTTACCACCTGTTCATGCCCCTCCCTCCAGAACTCCCTTTTAAGTTTTGTCTTTAGGTCTTTTCTCTTGGGCTTGCCTGATTCTGCAGAGAAGAATCATCTAATCTCCTGGCTAGAGTGCATAAGGTATCTGGGAACTGAGTGGGTTTAGTCTCAATTCAACATAGTGTCCTACTTTCAGAAAGGTGCGCGCTGCTCTCAGCTGTGCGTAATGTCCCCAAGTCCAGATTCCCTCTAGTTTAGCCTCTCCAGAGAGTAAAGCTTCAGTGTTCTGCTGGGATTTGAGAGAGCAGTTACATAGCTACCTGGTTTTGGGAGAATGGGAGAAAAGGAATTCTGGCTACTTCTTATACAGACTTTCCAGCGAATCTCCTGTTTCGCCCCCATGCACCCTTCCTTTGAGAGGTTATCTTTCTGAAGTTCCTCGGAGTTGTGCATGTGACTTGCCCTGTCTTGACTTTCCTTGCTGCTGCTTTGGGTTCAGCTTTCTCTGATGGACCAAGGTAGTAACCACTGTTCATTTGCTTTCTAGCTTCCAAAATGTTAATTTTGAGATCTCTCTATTTTGCTTTGTTCTTGTGGGTTTTATTTCCTTTCAGTAATAACTTTTTCATTTCAGTAATTGTGGGGAGATTTTAGGGAATAAAAGTAAACATATGCATGGGTTCAATATACCCTATTTACTCAAAAGTTAGTGATTATTTCCTATTAAGTTATTTCTTCCATTCTCCAGTAACTTCTGCTAATTCAAGTAATTTAATTTGCTTATGCAAAAAAAATCAGTCTCTTTTTAGTGGGGAAGAGTCCAGTATAACAGCAAAAAAACAAACAAACAAACAAAAAATGGCAGATACTCTAATCTTAGCCAAAATAAACTGAGAGATCTTCACAAGAGTTTCTTTCTCAGAATTAGCACCAACTACATTAGTGGGTCTTAGTATAAAATAAAATAGAAAAATAAAGCATGTTCAGGATCTGGGAATACTGAATGCAAAATTCAAATGAACGCCTCCAAGTCATGATTTCATCCAGTGAAGAAGTACACAACCTCCCCAAAAAGAAAAATAAAGGTCAGCACTAGAGGTAGAACAAGTCCCAGCCCTTAGTATGCTGCTCTCCTCTCAATACTCAGTCCCCTATCACCTTTTCCACTACGACCTCTGTGTCCAGGGCACATGGATATCCTTAATTTCTTTACTTCCAGTTACATATAGAGCAGTTTTGACATCTCACTATCATCTCAAATTCAGGCTGGTCAAAACCAATTTCACTCTCATTGGACTCCATTTATCTCTCAAAGAGAATTCTCCTCCCACCTCCCCATTCTTTCAAGAAGTTCACTATTTTTTTAACCCTTTGGAGTTTTTGTTAACTCTTCTCCTTTATCTGCTATATACAATTTGTCAACAAGTCATTTTATTTATTACTTCAAAATGTCTCTTTGGTGCTCATGATGGTATTACTTTTAATAGTGGAAATTTGGAAACTGTTTAAATATCCCAAATTGGAAAATCAGTTAAGTAAACAATGGTACATCCACATAATGGAGTGTTAGGAACCATCAGAATTATGCTTTTAAAAGATTATTTAATTACAGGAGAGTATGTTTACATCATAATGATAATGTATATATAGTAAGATTAGAAAAAAAGGTTTAACAAGGAAAAACAGGAAAGAGCAAAAGGGGAATTTTCTGGGGAGATGACAATGTTCCAGATCTCATTTGGGGTGATGACTATACAAGTATATATAATTGCTAAATTCATTGAACGTTCATTGCCTAAGATCTGTTCTTCAAATTTTATTACAAGTTAAGTATATCTAAATTTTTTAAAGGGAAAAAAGTCATATTAAAAAAAAAGCAGACTAGGAGCAGACTGGCCAAAATGTGGGTAATGATTGAATTTAAATACCGAAACTATGGGTGATTCTTTTTTTTGATAAGGGTGGAGAAAAAAAACGGAAGATGGTGAGTTCTTTACATATTCTTAATTTCCTCTTCCTCTGCAATCATCTGACAAACCTAAGACAACAGCCCTCTGCCACAGGCCATCCTGGGTTATATCTGCCAGCCTAATCTTCCTTAAAGGAGCACAGACTTTCTTCATAGGGTCTGGAGAAAGAAAAGTAAGAATATAGTTTCATTTCACCTCCTGTTCAAAAATCCTTACAACTCCCTGCTCGCCATCTACAAGATTAAGTCTAACCTCCTCTGCTTAATTTGCCACACCCTCTCTAATCTAAACTCATCCCTGCCTCTCTCCACCTTACTGCCCACAAATTCTGACCATGAACCCTCCGCTTCCATTCGGCTCCTATTTCAAGATCAAACTTTGCTCAAAATAGGAGGCAACTTTTTACCTGCTGAAATGGTGACAGCAATGTTAAAATAATTATCTCTAGAGTCTGTTATCCTCACACAAAACCATCACAGGGAAATGATATTTCACACAGAGATGACTGTATTGTACTCGCTCCAAAATTGGAAATGTAGCAGTGAGTCCAAAAGTGAACATTGTTGATATTAAATCTTAGAATCCAAAAATAGACGTGTAAACATTGCAATAGTCATAGTGCTTACTGTGTATAAATCAGTGCAGGCCCTCGTACCGCCTGGGTTGGCCTCAAGCACTCCCGCCCCACACAGGCTAACCATGTGATACCAAGGCTTTGCTGCATTTCACCATCTGGGGACTGTGGGTCCTAAGTCCTAGAAGGTTACTAAAACTGAATTGAGTGTTTTCTGTAAAAGCCACAGTGCACAAGTTGATAAAACAATACCAACATAAGGCTTTTTTGAGAACACAAATTCTAAACATCTGCTATGAGGACTTCATGGTTCCAAATCAGCTAATGCTCAAACAAAAATTAAGCCTCTTGAATTGCGAATTTTTAAAAAAGCATACACAAAACATTTGAGGCTCCTGATGTGTGTTTCTGACTACTAGGTATGTGTTATTAATTGAAATCACAAAAAATAAACAAGAAACACAGCCAAAACTAACTGTCACTGTCTCTTATACTCTGTGTCTATGTGCACGTCTCTGTGTGTGTCTGTGACCTTTCATTAGCAAAACAAAGCCCTGAGCTAGTTGGTGAGTAATTAAAACACACCTGACCTACATATAACCATAACCATATAACCATATTTAGCACATATAACCATAGGTTCTGTCCATAAACTAACATTCCTCCTTATCCCAAAACTACTGCTTCATAATGAATTAAGTGTGATATGCCACTCCAGGGGAAGACAGGACAGCCAGCCCTCCCCGTTGACAGTGACACATAGCTGGCTTCATCTTAGTTCCTCTGAAGGAAACCAAGAGAAGGATCTAGGGGCAGGAACTGACCACCAACCCTGTAAGCTTACATTTTAAATGTGCTTTAAACACCACTGCCTTCTGATTATTTTATTGCTGAAACAACTGTCAGAGGCATTTGAACCTGAGCAACTCCATCTTGAACAGGGGCTGGGTAAAATAAGGCTGAGACCTGCTGGGCTGCATTCCCAGTAAGTTAAGGTATTTTTAGTCACAGGATGAAATAGGAAGTCAGCACAAGATACAGGTCATAAAGACCTTACTGATAAAACAGGATGCATAAAGAAGGCAACCAAAACCCACCAAAACCAAGATGGCAAGGAGAGTGACCTCTGGTCGTCCTCACCGCTACACCATGGTACTACATGGTACCACATACCAACGCCATGGCAGTTTACAAATGCCATGGCAATGTCAAGAAGTTACCCTATATGGTCTAAAAGGGAGAGGAACCCTCAGTTCGGGAACTACCTATCTCTTTCCCAGAAAACTCATGAATAATCCACCCCTTATTTAGAATATAATCAAGAAGTAACCATAAAAATGGATGACTATTTTTATGCCTATGGACTAGCCCTTCTTTTATTCCTTTGCTTTCTTAATAAACTTGCTTTCACTTTACTCTATGGACTCACCCCAAATTCTTTCTTACATGAGATCCAAGAACCCTCTCTTGGGGTCTGGGTCAGGACCCCTTTCCGGTAACACAACTACTCTCACTTTACAGAATAGGATATAACACATTTTGCACTTTGTTATTAAGGGCAGCACAAATACAAAACTTAATTTTCCAACAGTTTCTCTATTGTCTACAATTTTTTTTTAATCTGTCTAAGAGAAAAAAGCCAGAAATCTCTGAAAATGAAGTGGCCTGCCTTATTCCAGAGAGTGGTCTATCCTATTCTCATAAAGCCCTTACCTTCTGCAGGAAGGCCAATTCCACAGTATTTCAAAGTAGCCCATTTAGCACCTAACATTATCCTCCCAAGACCCCACTCCCTACCTTTCTGAAAAGTATAGAAACATCATATTTTCCAATAGAACTTCCTTGTCCATTTTGTCAAAAAAATACACTTGCTCTCCAACTTAGCAAATAATTATAACCAGCCTGATTTTTACTGAGAAATGTCTTTCCTTGTGTGTGCCACTCCTGACCCTCCTCACCATGACCCCACCAGCTGTCCCTCTCCACTACTTGGCCAACCCTCACCTCTCTCTACTCATCACAGAAATGGCATTTCTACTCTATAGTCTAGTGTCTTTGCACCATTTTTCAGAGGCAACTTGCTCCTGAGAAGTCACTGAATAGCATATTTCTTCTTGTTTTCCTACAGATCAAGTTTGGCTTTAAATACTGGTCAGCAGCCAACTGCCTCCTGGAAATGACCTGCTCATTGTCTGCTTGCCAGATTCTTGCCTCAGGCACTCCTGTCTCTGTGAATTCCACATTGAGGACACTCATTTTCTCAGCTTTTTCCTGCTCATCATGCACCACTGTGGTGTAACCAGCTTCCTCCAAACAATCAGCCAATAAATCCCTCTCTTTCATTTCTGTGTCTCCTCAGTAGAGAGACAGCCAAATCATACAAACTAACACCAAGAGCTGGGATTATCCAAGACCCACTTGCACATGCCACAAGCAAGATTTCACACTTTGTCATCCATGTGCTTAATAGATTTCCCAGAAGCATTGCTTATACCTTTAAACCACATTTTCAGCTTCAAGGTTAAATTAAAAGGTGGGAGAAAAGAGAAACCAAAACTTGAATGCAGTACTGTAACTTATCCTGCAAAATTCTGCTGCCAGCCACTGGGGGGAGGGGTAGAGACAGGGGGAGTATACTCATTACAGTGAGATATTATTGGATATATCAGTGCTAGACAAGTCACAGCTGTCAAACAATTTTAAGTATATTAAAAACTCTGAACAACCTTTAAAGCAGTTAAGCCAGAAGGACTACAGCTTGTAAATGAAGCAAATAGCAATCTCGAGTAGCTCAGTGGCTTCCTGAGTAAAAACCCTCTCTTTAGCACATTTAAATTAAAACTAAACACTTTAAAATCCTTGTCAGATTCCTTAAGAGAGAATGATTGCGGAGAGAAATGCTAAATTATTACTAGAGTTGGGGACGTGAATATGCAAGTATATCAGGAATTCATTTAGATGAACTTAGGGCAGTATATATATAAATGTATATATAACTATAAACACAGGGGCATATGCAGTTTCACAGGCAGTTCTCCCAAAAAAAAAAGGTATGAAAATAAAACTTCATAGAGAGTTTGAAATCAATAGTCAGACAAAAGATATGGAAAGTCATCTGAAAAAGACAAAAAAAAGCTTTCAGGTTAGCAAGACTTCATTGTAACCAGAAAAATGTATTAACCAATATAGACAGGTTAAGTCTACTGGGGTGCTAGAGATGGTACCATGAATAATGATAATAATGATATGGTGACTTTAACAATGCTTACCACAGTGCTAAGCACTGTTCATAAATTAATTTTCAAAACAACCTTATAGAGTTATAGTATAATAACAAGCTTAGAGGGATGAGACTCACCTGGGATCACATAGTTCAGTAAGTGGCCAGACTGGGTCCTGGTCTGTTTTTTTTTTTTGTTTTTGTTTTTGTTTCTGTTTTTTGAGACGGAGTTTTGCTCTTGTTGCCCAGGCTAGAGTGCAATGGCACGATCTCGGCTCACAACAACCTCCACCTCCCAGGTTCAAGCCATTCTCCTGCCTCAGCCTCCACAGTAGCTGGGATTACAGGCATGCGCCACCAGGCCTGGCTAATTTTGTATTTTTAGTAGAGACGGGGTTTCTCCGTGTTGGTCAGGCTGGTCTCGAACTCCGGACCTCAGGTGATCCACCCTCCTCGGCCTCCCAAAGTGCTGGGATTACAGGCGTGAGCCACCGCGCCCAGCCGGGTTCTGGTCTGTTTGTCTATGCCACTGACCCAGGAAGGACAGTAAAAAGGAAAAGCAGGCTGTACACACATAAGTGCTTCCAAGGATTAGGATGTCCATCATGGAGATGGAGGGATGTTTGAATCATCTAATTAACTCCCCTTGCTCTGAATTCAGGCTAACCAACCAACCTAAGGATTCCTTGGCAGCTCGCATAGCTTGCCTGCAGGGAGAGAAGGCACAGTTCAAATACACACAAACAGCTATCCACTGAGCAGTGCCCTTCTCACTCTGAATTCATACACTGGCACTTTCAATTTCCATATACGTTTTCTGTGGGTCCTACCAATTCAACACAAACAGGGCTGCAAGGTGGGGCCCCTCTATGATGCACAGGTAAGGTATCGCCACGCCAATGTTACCACATAAGGAGCACCAACGGGCAGAGGAGCCTGATTTTTGGAACTTCTAAGGGTGGGGCAGAGAGAGAAGTGGAGTGGGAAAGCACATGAACTCAGGGGACTGCTATCTGGGTGGAAGAGAGAGAGGGGTGTTCTGAAATACACGGCCTTCCTCCTGGGCTCCTCCTCACCTCCTCAATCACTATTTACTTTTCCAGACTGGGAATAAGTGGTAGGGTAGAGAGAAAAATTGAGAAGCAGCGTTAACAATTCAAGAATAACACAAAGGGAGTGTAAAGCTACTATATAGGGCAGCAGAAGTGGTAGGAGAGAGGGAGTGAAGAAGAAACTGTTCTTAAGCAAAAAAAAAAAAAATGAACATTTAACCCCAGAGCATACTATGTGGTCTGGCCTTGTCAGAAGCAGCAAAATACAGGGAAGGGCTTAAATCAAAGGCTTTTTTACTTTTTTAGAAGAGCTCAAGAAACAAACATAGCACAGAGGCAAGACTCCAACTTTTAGGGGTTTTAGACCTCATTCCTATTGGAAAGAATAATTCCAGGAAAGCATTATGGCTTAGCATCTAAGAGCATGGGTTCTGGGCCGGGTGCAGTGGCTCACGCCCGTAATCCCAGCACTTTGGGAGGCCGAGGCAGGCGCATCATGAGCTCAGGGAATCGAGACCATCCTGGCTAACACAGTGAAACTCCGTCTCTACTAAAAAATACAAAAAAAAAAAAAAAATTAGCTGGGCGTGGTGGCAGGCACCTGTAGTCCCAGCTACTCGGGAGGCTGAGGCAGGAGAATGGCGTGAGCCCGGGAGGCGGAGCTTGCAGTGAGCCGAGATCGCGCCACTGCACTCCAGCCTGGGCAACAGAGCGAGACTCCATCTCAAAAAAAAAAAAAAAAAAAGAGTATGGGTTCTGGAACCAGATCACCAAGGTTCAAATCTCAATCACCCAGGTGAGTGGCTTTGGACAAGTTTCTTAACCTCTCTCTTCCTTTACCTTATCTACAAAATGGTATCTATTAGATACTACCTATGTCACAGGTGGTTCTCATTCAATGTGAAGATTGAATTAACTCATATATTGTTCCTGCAGATTTTTATGCAGGTAACAATAGAAGGCATACGGGTGCTGGCCATCTTCTTTCATTAGTACACACCTTTGTGAAGAGACTCTAAGGATTAAGTATATGGCCACAAGTCTAAATCGTGTAACTTTACAACAACCTACCTAAATTCACACCATATAAAACAAAAAATCTGAACAGTCAGACATGTATTTAAGATACTGAGTTCACTACCAAAAGCCTTCCCACAGAGAAACTCTAGCCCAAATGGTTTCACTGGTGAAATCATTCTAACAACTTCATTTTTCATCTTTAGTTACTGCCAGAAATGGGGGGACCCCGTTCCTTTCCAATCTTGTACTCTCCAAGTGAGCAGCATCCAGCATAGATATTTAGTGCACACAGGGTAAAATCGCGCTTAAACCATTTTTGAGTCACATGTACCTTTGAAAATTTAAGCAAAAGCAAGTTATTTTCTCCTATAAAAATACATAGAACACAGCAGGGCGCGGTGGTTCACGCCTGTAATCCCAGCACTTTGGGAGGCCGAGGCGGGCAGATCATGAGGTCAGGAGATTGAGACCATCCTGGCTAACATGGTGAAACACCGTCTCTACTAAAACACAAAAAATTACTCGGGTGTGGTGGCGGGCACCTGTAGTCCCAGCTACTCGGGAGGCTGAGGCAGGAGAACGCCATGAACCTGGGAGGTGGAGCTTGCCGTGAGCCAAGATCGCGCCACTGCACTCCAGCCTGGGCCACAGAGCAAGACTCCGTCTAAAAAAAAAAAAAAAAAATACACAGAATACACAAAATTTTGCAGTTAACCTAAGAGGGTTCAGTGACCCCAAGAAATCCATCTATGGGCACCCCAAGCTGCTAAATCAATACTGTTAAATGAGCTTTAACTGGATTAGCACAGTTAAATTGTGGGAATTGAGGAAGTACAGACCAGTTTCCCTACCCTTTGAAAAATTACGAATGCTAACAAACTGTTCCTAACCTTGAGCAGTAAGTTCCTCCTGATTTCATTCTACAAATGTCTTTGGGAGATCTCATTATCATATCCTTAAATTTTTTCCTTTGTACCAAGGAATTCTTTAATTTCTAATCTAATTCTCAGGTCTTCTTTTACGCTTATCCTATCCTTCAAATTTCCCACCAGCTTCAGTTATTAAGTGTGCTTCTCAGATATCACTCATTTCTCTTCCATTATGTATAATTCTAATATTATAAACAGTCCACCCTCACCCACCCACCCCCAATGGCTCTTTTGCTATTAATGCATATCTACAAATCTTATCTCCTTTGGATCTAAAGAGTCACCTCCAAGGCAAATTCTGGCCAGGATGTATACAGTAGTCCCCGTCCTATCTGTGGTTTGACTTCCCATGGTTTCAGTCACCCATGGAATAAGTACAATAAGACATTTTGAGAGAGAGACAGAGAGAGAGACACAGAGAGAGAAGGAAGAGGGAGACCACATTTACGTAACTTTTACTACAGTATATTGTTATAGCTATTCTATTTTACTGTTATTGTTAATCTCTTACTGTGACTAATTTATAAATTAAACTTTATCATAGGTATATATGTATAGGGGAAAACATAGGATATACGTATGGGATTCAGTACTATCCACAGTTTCAGGCATCCCTGGGGTCTTGTAACATATCCCCATGGTTAAGGGGGGACTATCATGGTTATATTCTTTATCAGATGCAGGAAGATGAAAAATGGAAATTTCATATTTCCCCCCGGCAGTTATCATTCCAAAGCTACTTTTAGATAGTTGTTCTTTTATTAAAAGAAACTCTCTGCCCTTCAGCTAATAATGTAGCGAGGTTAACCAAGCACTACTAAGAGTACATGTCGGCAGACTCTGAGAGATTTAATTGCAACTTCATAATTTTCTACAATGTCATATTATTGTATTAAGAGGCTAACCAGAGCTCTGGTTTCCAGTTAAATCAAAGAATGTATAAAAAAAAATAAAGCACTTAGATAACCAAGTGACAGGTTATAATTTGAGAGTAGGAAAAAACAAAGCTAATAGTGGCCAAGAAACAACGTAACGAACTCAAAGAAAGACCTCAACAGCAAGGAAGGAAAAACCAGTGAATATATTTTATCTTAAAACTAAATTAACTTTGGAAAATTACATATTCTACCATTTGAGGTATAAGCAGAGATTGAGAATTGAAGCAGACTTTGAAACCAAGAAAAGCCAAGTCCTAGAGACAAAATAAAAATAATAACAGCAAATGATCAGTGTGACAAGGTTGAACACTTTTTGTAGGAGAGAAGTGACAGGATTTTACTCTAATGAAGACAGTACACCCAAGGTGCGAGCAATTATCTACAGCCGTCATCTCAACCTCTTGATTTTTTAATCTACTCTTCAACCCACTAGCTCCCACCTGTACCACTGCACTGAAACAATGATTCACTGGTATCATCTAGAGTTCCATCATTGTTCTTTTCCTCCCCTGCCCTACTCCCATTCTGATAACTACCAATTTCCACCTCCTACTTTCCACATCTAGGTCTCCCATAAGAACCTCAACATTAACTCATCGAAAACCAACTCCTCAGCTTCCATCCAAAGCCTGCTCTCCCTACTCCCCAACAGCAGCACCACACCACAAACTACCCAACTGCCAAAGCTATCCGAGACTCCTTCCTCTCTCACACTCCAAAAGTTCACATAAATGCTAACAAGCAGCATCAATTTTACCTCCTAGGTGAATCTCAAATGTTCCTTTCCTCTCCTTCTCTACTTCCATGCCTGCAGTTCGCTTAGGCCCTCCACAATTTCTCCAATAAAACAGTCTCCTAATTGATTCCTCTCTGCCTTCAATCTCAGCCTCCTCCAATCTCTCTGTCCCACTGTCACTGAAATACAAATCTGACCATGTCACTCCGCCACACAGAACCTTTCAACACTTATCCATCCATTGTCTGTCAGGTTCTTTCAGACTGGCCCACATCCACATCTTCAGCTGCCACCATTCACCTCCTCCCACTCTCCAACACACATATACACATAACACTGTAACAACGTAGCATGACTGTGTTTCCCTGTATATAACATGTGGTTTGGGAATTCCTTTGCATCACATAATTCTCTTTAAGTTCAGCCACATTCATCTTTTAATACCCTACTGAGGCTATAATCATTCTGTCAAGCCTTCCTTAACCACCCTTCTATCTACCTTCACGTCCCTTTACTCCTTCCTTGCCTTGTACAGACTTTACTACTATATATATGACATTATCTTGTTACTGTTCACGTGAGTATTCCCTCTACCAGATTGTGAGCTCACTGGCAAAGTGAAGCCCTGTCTTTTTTATTAGCAAAATGTAAAAGTGTAACACTGAGTCATTTAAATAAACATTAAGAATTAACTAAAACAATGTCTTCACCCATGAGATTTCATCTCATATTTGAAGTATCCCCAAAAAAAACATTTTCGAGAAAAAAAAAAGATGTGCAAATATAAACAATATAAAATACACAGAGTTCAAGCTCAGGTAAATAAAAATTTACACAAGGTGATTTGGAAAGCCAGAAATTCCAAGAAATCTTTCAAATGGATACATAACAACAAAACCAAAAAGGCATTAGCATAATGTGGTTAAAAAAAATATGCCTCAGGGACAGACACCTGACACTTGAGATGATGTGAAGCAGAATGGAGCAAAGCCTAAAGGAGCTGGAAGTCCTGATTCTCATTTTTTCATCAGCTATGACTCCAGGAGACCCCAAGAGAAATACATGACACAAACCACTTTCTGAAGGAACTACTTTGCACAATGGCCTGTAAACTTTAAGAAAGGCATAATCCATTCAAAATTTCTTAGACTGTGTTGATCAAAAGAGGTGTTAGTTTTCAGAAATGGAAAGATGTAAGGGATTCATCATCAACTCCCTCTATTTATAACAGAAGAAACTGAGGCTTAGAGAGAAAACTACTTACCCAAGTTCTTACCACTAGTTAAGTGGAAGATGAGAAATGAAGACAGTGGCTTCCATGTTCTCTGTCTGGGACTCTTTATGGGCTATTTTGCTTTACAGGCACACCTCACATACATTATAGGATCAGTTCCAGGCCATCACAATAAAGCAAATATCTCAATAAAGTAGTCACACACATTTTTGGTTTCCTGGTGCATGTAAAAGTTGTGTTTACAATACACCGTAGTCTATAAAGTGCACAATAGCTTTATGTCTAAAAAAACAAAAATGGATATACCTTAAAAATACTTTATTGCTAAAAAATGCTAACAATCATCTGAGCCTTTAGCGAGTTGTAATCTTTTTTGCTGGTGGAGGGTCTTGCCTTCATGTTGATGGCTGCTAACTCATCATAGCGGTGGTAGCTGAAGGCTGAGGTGGTTGTGGCACGTTCTTAAAATAAGATGACAATGAGGCCAGGTGTGGTGGTCTCACGCCTGTAATCCCAGCACTTTGGGAAGCTGAGGCGGGCAGATCACAGGGTCAGGAGTTCAAGACCAGCCTGGCCAACATGGTGAAACCCCATCTCTACTAAAATACAAAAATTAGCTAAGCGTGGTGGTGAGCGCCTGTAATCCCAGCTACTCGGGAGGCTGAGGCAGAAGAATCACTTGAACCCAGGAGGCGGAGGTTGCAGTGAGCGGAGATTGTGCCATTGCACTCCAGCCTGGGCAATAGAGTGAGACTCCGTCTCAAAAAAAAAAAAAAATGACAATGAAGTTTGTGGCTTCGATTGACTCTTCCTTTCATGAAAAATTTCTCTGTAGCATGTGATGCTGTCTGATAGCATTTTATCCACAATGGAACTTCTTTTCAAATTGGAGTCAATCCTCCCAAACCCTGCCACTGCTTGATCAACTAAGTTTACATAATGTTCTAAATCCTTTGTTGTCATTTCAACAATGTTCACAACATTTTCAGGAGTTGATTCCCTCTCAAGAAACCACTTTCTTTGCTCATCCATAAGAAGCAACTCCTCATTTGTTGAAGTTTGATCATGAGATTGCAGCAATTCAGTCAAATCTTCAGGCTCTACTTCTCATTCTAGTTATCTTGCTATTCCCATCACATCTGCACTGCAGCTACTCTCTCTATTGAAGTCGAAGCTCTCAAGGTCATCCATGAGGGTTGGAATCAACCCCTTCCAAACTCCTGTTAATGCTGATATTTCGACTTCCTCCTGTGAATCACAAATGTTCTAAATGGCATCTAGAATGGTGAATCCTTTTCAGAAGGTTTTCGATTTGTTTTGCCCAGATCCATCAGAGGAATTACTATCTATGGCAGCTACAGCCTTAAGAAATGAATTTCTTAAATAATAAGACTTGAAAATCAAAATTACTCCTTGACCCATGAGCTGAAGATTGGATGGTATGTCAGCAGGCATGAAAACAACATTCGGCCGGGCACGGTGGCTCACGCCTGTAATTCCAGCACTTTGGGAGGCCGAGGCGGGTGGACCACGAGATCAGGAGATCAAGATCATCCTGGCTAACATGGTGAAACCCCGTCTCTACTAAAAATACAAAAAATTATCTGGGCGCAGTGGCAGGCGCCTGTAGTCTCAGCTACTCGGGAGGCTGAGGCAGAAGAATGGCGTGAACCCAGGAGGCAGAGCTTGCAGTGAGCTGAGATAAAGCCACTGCACTCCAGCCTGGGGGACAGAGTGAGACTCCATCTCAAAAAAAAAAAAAAAAAAAGAAAAAGAAAACAACATTCATCTCCTTGTATATCTCCATTAGAGCTCTTGGGTAACAAGGTGGATAGTCAATGAGTAGTAATACTTTGGGGGAAAAGAAAAACAAAACGTTTTTCTAAGCAGTGGGCCTCAACAGTGAATTCAGAATATTTGGTGGACCATGTGTAAACAGAAGTGTTGTCATCTAGGCTTTGCTGTTCCATTTACAGAGCATAGGCAGGGTAGATTTAGCATGGTTGTTAGACGCCCTAAGATTTTCAGAATGGTAAATGAGCACTGGCTTCAACTTAAGTCACCAGTGGCATTAGTTCCTAACAAGAGAGTCAGCCTGGCCCAAGCTTTGGCACTGATTTCTCCTCTGCAGCTGTAAAAGTCAGAGATGGTAACATCTTCTAATAGATGGTTGTTTCATCCACATTGAAACTCTGTTGTTTGGTGTAGCCACCTTCATCAATGTCTCAGCTAAGTCTTCTGGACAACTTGCGGCAGCTTTAGCTTCTACAACAGCATTTAGTGCTTCACCTTGCACTTTTATGTTAGAGAGATGGCTATTTTCCTTAAACCTCATAAGCCAACCAACCTCTGTTACTGTCCAACTTTTCTTCTGCAGCTTCCTCAACTCTCTCAGCCTTTATACAACTGAAGAGAGCCAAGGCCTTGCTCTGGGTTAGGCTTTGGCATAAGGAACGTTGTGGCTGGTTTGATATTCTATCCAGACCACTGAAACTTTCTCAATTATCAGCAATAAGGTTGTTTTACTTTCTTATCATTCACATGTTTACTGGAGTAGTAGTTTTAATTTCCTTCAAGAACTTTACCTTTAAATTCACAACTTGTCTAATTGTCTGATGCAAGAGGCCTAGCTTTTGGTCTGTTTCAGCTTTTGACATGCCTTCCTCACTAAGCTAAATCACTTCTAGCTTTTGATTTAAAATGAGAGACATGTGACTCTTCCTTTCATTGGAACACTTAAAGGCCATTATAGGGTTATTAATTGGCCTAATTTCAATACTGTTGTGTCTCGGGGAATAGGGAGGCCTGAGAAGAGGGACAGAGGCTGAGGAACAACCGCTCAGCAGAGCAGTCACAACACATACAACATTTATCGATTAAGTTTGCTGTAGGGGCACATTTCATGGTGTCCCAAAGCAATTAAAATAGTAACTTCAGGTCGGGCGCGGTGGCTCACGCCTGTAATCCCAGCACTTTGGGAGGCCAAGGTGGGTGGATCACAAGGTCAGGAGATAGAGACCATCCTGGCTAACATGGTGAAACCCTGTCTCTACTAAAAATACAAAAAATTAGCCAGGCGTGGTGGCGGGCGCCTGTAGTCCCAGCTACTCAGGAGGCTGAGGCAGGAGACTGGTGTGAACCCCGGAGGCAGAGCTTGCAATGAGCCGAGACAGAGCCACTGCACTCCAGCCTGGGCGACAGAGCGGGACTCCATCTCAAAAATAAATAAATAAATAAATAATTTTTAAAAAGTAACTTCAAAGATCTCTCATCACAGATCACTATAACAGATATAGTAACAATGCAAAGGTTTGCAATATTGCAAGAATTATCAATATGTGACACAAAGATATGAAAGGGGCATATGCTGTTGGAAAAAATGGTACCAACAGTTTTGTTCCACACAAGGTTGCCACAAACCTTCAATTTGTTTGGGCACAGTGGCTCACGCCTGTAATCCCAGCACTTTGGGAGGCTGAGGTGGGTAGATCATGAGGTCAGGAGTTCGAGACTAGCCTGACCAACATGGTGAAACCCTGTCTCTACTAAAAATACAAAAATTAGCCAGGCGTGGTGGCTCCCGTGTATAATGCCAGCTACTCAGGAGGCTGAGGCAGGAGAATTGCTTAAACCCCGGAGGCGGGAGGTTGCAGTGAGCCAAGATCGTGCCATTGCACTCCAGCCTGGGTGACAGAACAAGACTTCGTCAAAAAAAAAAAAAAAAAAAAGCAACCCCCAATATCTATGAAGTGCAATAAAACGAGGTGTGCATGTGATTTGTTTATACCCATAAGAGCTGCTTTGCTTTCCTAATTCTAGAAGTCTGTAGGTGGTATCCAGACTTCATTTAATTGTTAAAAATGGTTTCCACAACACATAGATTACTTTTATCTCTTACTCTTTTCTTCCCCTAACAGGAATACCAGTTCTCAAAGTACAAGTCCCATCAAGTTGGATCAAAAGCTCTCGGTACTAATGCTGATACTGTAACATGCCATTATACATCATTACTCATCCTGGTTTGCAAAACCCATCTATCACTTCATTAGTATTTCATAAAAAACACTATCATTTCCCTCACTAATTCTGGTGAAGTGATTTTGTTTTACAGTAACACGAAAGAGAAATCAGCGGGGACAGTGATTACCCAACAGGCAGGATCATCTTGGAATTAGAGAACTTAAGAACCACTGTGGCAATGGAATAAAACACATCTCAGTGACGGAGTATTTTAAGTACAAAGAAGTAACAGTGGGTTCCACCAATGATCGTAAAATCAAGTATCTAATAAAATCATTGAAATGTAAAAATAGTATTTACTGAATACTTGCCACATGTTAGAGACTGTTCTAAAACTTTTATAAATATTGTCGCTAGTCCTCACAAAACCCCCCAAAGACAGGTATTACACAAATTAGGAAAGTGACCAGCACCAGGATGTATATATACAATGGGCTTAGAGGGAATGAGGGCACCAAGTGGGACGTGGTTCCAGTTTTCCTTACAGAACAGTAAGCACACGTTCTATGGACTGTATATGTATGTATGGTGTTGAGTACCCTGATATGCAAACAAAAGCACAAGCATGTTACCTAGGTGGAATATTTAAGGAGGGACTGGGAAAACTATGGCTACCCTCCCCCCACCCTATGTACCTCTTAGCACCACACAAAAATGGAGAACCCCTAAGTTAAAGTAACTTGCTCACATTGATGTAGAAAGTATGGCCAGAGCTGGCATTTGAACCCAGGTCTGTATGGTTCCAAAGCCTTGCCTTTTCTTTTCTTTTCCTATTTTTTTTTTTTTTTTTTTTTGAGATGAAGTCTTGTTCTGTCACCCAGGCAGGAGTACAGTGGCACAATCTCAGCTCACCGCAACCTCCACCACCCAGGTTCAAGCGATTCTCTTGCCTCAGCCTCCCAAGTAGCTGGGATTACAGGCATGTGCCACCATGCCAGGCTAATTTTTGTATTTTTAGTACAGATGGGCTTTCACCATGTTGGACAGGCTAGTCTCAAACTCCTGGCCTCAAGTGATCCACGCGCCTCAGCCTCCCAAAGTGCTAGGATTACAGGCGTGAGCCACCGCGCCCAGCGCCTTGTCTCTTTCTACTCTATCATAATATCCCCTTTCTGTAAATGCTCCAGAGTGTCTAAGTACCGTATATAATTAGTAGCTAACAATTTCAGAAATCACCAAATATGAAAAATAAGTTATACTTCTAAGAAGCCGAAACTACCATCTAGAATTTTCTAATGCCCTAGAACAGCATGTACACTAACAGACTCAATGCCTCCTAAGATAAAGCTCCAGTGTATTTTAAAACACATACAAATGATAGGAGTCTCTTTTTTTGGCTGGAGAATGGGGAGGAAAAGAGGGAGAAAACGGTCTCCCTTAGGAGACCAAAGCTGGTTTAACACCAAGCTGGTCCATATGGATGACAGAATTTTTGGATTATGCTAAACACTCAGTTTAAAATCTGGGTATAATCCAATGACATCCAATATCTTAATCATAATTTGAGAGACTGAAATGCCTACATTTTAAGGAGGAATTCATTCATTCAACAAATTTCAAGAAGACCTGGACTAGGTAGGAGGTATTATGGATGCCACAGATATGTGCAGGACACAGTTCCTTCTTAGGTGTGCTTACACCTAATTAGAAAAATCAGATAAATATGTGAAAAGACAAAAAAAAAAAAAAGGAGCAAATGAACAAATTCCCAAAATGGTGAGTTGCCAAGAAGCAGAGGAACTGAAGGAAGGAAAAAGCACTGTGTTTTTTCAGGAAAACAATAGTAGCACTTTAAGTCAGCCCTTGAAGGGAAAATGAGAATTAGAACTAGAGGTGAGGGAGTGGGGAATACGTGAAAGTCCAGAAACAAGGAAATAAAGGCTATTTAAATCAAATCAATACCAAATGCTGGTGAGGATGTGGAGCAGCAGAAATTCTCATTCACTCCTGGTAGGAATGCAAAATAGTACCACTACCCTGGAAGACAGTTTGGCAGTTTCTTATAAAACTAAACATACTCGTTACTTATAACAAGTAATAAAAGTAAATGCAAATTAAAAAAAAACTAAACATACTCTTACCATACAATACATACAGCAATTACACTCCTTGGTATTTACCCAAAGGAGCTGAAATCTTATGTTCATAAAAAAAACTTGTACACAGATATTTATATTAGCTTTATTCATAATTGCCAAAATTAGGAAGCAACTAAAATGTCCTTCAGTAGGTGAATGGATAAACTATGGTACATCCAACCAATAAAATGTTATTCAACACTAAAATAAATGAGCTATCAAGTCTTGAAAAGACATGAAGGAAACTTAAGTGCATATAACTAAGTCAAAGAAGCCCATCTGAAAAGAGTACATGCTGTATGATTCCAACTATATGACAGTCTGGAAAAAGCAAAATTATGGACACAGTAAAAAGATCAGTGGTTGCCAGGGAGTTGAAGGTGGTGGGTGATGAAGAAGTGGAGCACAGAGGATTTTCAGGGCAGTGATGTATGGTATGTATGGTACTATAATGGTGGATACATGTCATTACACATTTGTCTAAACTCAGAATGTCCAACACCAAGAATGAGCCCTAACGTGAACTCTGAATTCTGGGTGATAATGATGCGTCAATGTAGGATCATCAATTGTAACAAATGTACTGCTCTGGTGGGAGTGAGGGGGGAGGTGTTGATAATGGGGGAGGCTGTGCTTGTGCAGGGACAGGGGCATATGAGAAATCTCTGTACTTTCCTCTCAATTGTGCTGTGAACCTAAAACTGCTCTTAAAAAATTAAATTTTTAAAAATAAATAAGTATACAGATGTCCTCATACAAAGGCAAACTGATGTGTGTATAAGGATATTCATAGAGTACTGCTTAAATATGGTACATTCACACAATAAATATTATGCAGCTATAAAAAGAATATGGCAACTTTATATGTACTGAAATATATATTGCTAAGTGAAAAAAGCAAGGTACAGAAAATACATAGTGTGCCACCATTTGTGTGCTTACAAAAAAAAATATTTATACATATGTTTGCATATACTTATATATTCATGAACTATCCATGGGAAGATACAGAAGAAAGTCATAACCGATACCTCTGTTGGCTGATGATACAGGTAGGCTAAAACCAGGGACTGTGCTCTGCAGAAGGCAGGTAGACTAGAGAAGATCCTCTGCATCACATTAAGAGGTTTAGATAGCATGCAAACTCAAGAGCAAGGTTTCTCAACAGTGGCACTTGTGATATCTGGGGCCAGATAATTCTTTATTGTGGGGGCCACCCGGTACATTGTAAAATGTTTAGCAGTATCTCTGGCCTCTCCCACTAGATGCTGGTAGTACTCTCCTCTCACATCTAGTTGTGACTACCAAAAATGTCTCTAGACACTGACAAATGTCCCCTGTAAGGTAAAATCACACCTGGTTGAGAAGCACTGCTCAAGAGCCACACGGTCATCTTTAACCTACAAAACATTCTAGTGCTACATTCCTGTAAATTAACAACAAATCCAATATACATTCAGATATAGAACTGAGGAATATATTGGGCATCGTTTTCAGATGACCTTCATTATTTCAGTCACAGTCTCACGCTGAGATCATTCAAGTGCCTTTGCAAATCTGAACTATCATTTTTAAACATATCTACTCCATCACAAAAGTCTCTTTTCTGCATTGGTTGAATACAAATGATAAAGAACTAAATACAAAAGCCAGGCAGATGTTCCGCAGTACACAGAGAGTGTGCCAGATCCTGCAATGGACTCCTCAACGATGCACTGACCTTAAGGATCTCTGAGGCTATTTCACCAGTCAGTAGACCAGCTTCCCCACCCTGCAAAGCCCATCCCCAAATAGCGTGCACTCTCCAGCTCCAAGATCTTCTGGGATGCCAAGAAAGGCAACTCTCCCACAGAAATCTATCAGAAAACCACATTTTGGCTCAGCTTTTGAAAAACTAAAATAATTGTTCACACAGTAAGAATGTAATTACTCACATTATGTTAATAATGTTTTTCCTCATAACTCCTAATGACCACACAAAATCTAAGACACTATTCAAAAATCATAAAAGGTATCAACCCTGACTTCAAGGAGATTATAAAGAGAAGCGTTAGTTATAAAGCCCAAGAGAGGCCTTAACTACATTCTACAAATCACAATTTTATTAAGCATTAAGCCATTTCTAATATACCACAATGAATAAGATTAAAAAAAAAAAAGACATCCAACAGGCTTGAATATTTTTCAAACACGGATCTAAGACTTTTGTTATTTTCCTGTGTCTTTTCTTTTGCCAAAGCTAGAAATCCAGTAATACCCTGGCAATCTTGGCTTCATATTTTGAAGTCATTTATTGCTTCAGCACTGTCGTAGTTAAAGTTCTGGATTTCGTTCTCATGAAATCATGCTCTTCAAATTCTAGCACTGTGCCGACTACATTTGCTTAGCTCTCCAAAGGTTGGCTCTCATTTGTGGAGTTGACCTCCAATGACCTCACTCTTGCAATATATACACCTGTGAGTCACTATGGAAGATGCTTAAAAGTGTCCGCGGAGAAAAAAAGAAACTCACCATTCTAACTACTTCAGGGTAAGTCTGCTCTGTCAAACAGCCTCTGCTTATTGTAATGTAGTCCACCAGTTCATTAAGAGTGGAGCGCTTGTATTCTTTCATTTTAAGATCAGATAGCGTGTCCATGAAGTCAAAAATGACACAGCACTGCTGAAGTTTCTTTAGGAACAGTTCAGGCTGCTCTGAGGATGGAACGTCTAAGAAAAAAAAAGGAAATGGTGTAAGTCTGTCATCAATTTCCAGGTAACAGGAATTCTCTGTGAAAGTTACTTCAAAGGCAAGCTAAAAAAAAATAAGAATTCACATGACAACAGTGTTCTTTTTCACAGTTACACATGGGTGGGAGGGGATACCGTATCTACTACTTCAGAGACCTTGTCTTTGAAAACTACATTGTACCAACAAAATTGACTGTATTTGCTATTCCACAACCAAGGATTGACCAAAATCCCAAAAGACTTTAGAAGGTTGAAGCAAATTTTAACCAAAAACACCCCAATGTCAATACCTTTAAATTAAAAACACTGAAAAAGGTCAAACTTTCCCTTATAAGAAAGCTTTCGCTGTGGTTTAAATTAGTTTTACTAAAAAATTTCAAAGCAGAAATGTCAGTTGATTTATTTTAATTTCATGCTGACATCCTTGGTATTTAAAGCTATTGTTGTGTGTTTATATTTTTTTGTTTTGTTTTGGCTTGATCTGTATGAAGTTTCTTTCTGAAAGAAACCTGAAAAATCTACTAAATGAAACAATACCAACTCTCTCAAAAAGAGCACACCAGCAATAAGAAAATAAGAGTAAATGCCATATAAATCTACATTCTCTTTTTACCCATCTTCTTGTACTGTGAGAGAAAACCACTAACATCTTATATTAATATGTTCCCAGAATGGACATCTGCTCTTTTCCCGCAAACAGCAGGTCAGACATTTGGCTTGGCGTTGTTTCTAAAAAATATGTAGAAATTTTAGGTTAGTTGAAATTCCTCAGCTAGAAAGGAGCCTGATCTACAGTTGGACTTCAAATATACCGACTAAGCTGTAGACAGCCTATCCCCTCCTATCTTCTTTCCAATATTTCATTCCCCCAAACTGGAGCTTCCCTGGAGAAGCAATGAAAATTATAACCAGGGTAGGCTCTACTGCCTTCATCCAAGGTGATTAGCTCATTAATCCTCAGAACATCCTTAGAAAGAAGCAGGTGGCATTATTCTTCTCCATTTTTCACACACACACAAAATAGAGACAATCATTGAGGTCCCACAGGGAATGGGTTACAGAGCTGGGCAAAGTGCCCAGGTCTCTAACCACACTCCCATGTTCCTTTTGTACTAAGCAAGAAGGACCTTAACAGTGTGTAGTCACTTGCAGTCATCCTCAGTTGCCAGCCTTCTGGTAAATGCTTTACAATGGCCTCCTGGCTTGGGCTGCCTGCTCCCTGGAGAGGAGGGCAACAGCATACAGCACCCCCCTTACAGCCACCAGCAGCAGGAAGTGAAGGCCAGCCTCATTTTCACAGGACCCACCAGGCTCCTCTCTACAACCTTCTACCCCACCTTACACCCCACAACCCAAATGCCAGCATAGCTACCTCGGACCTCACAGGCAATTCTGGCAAAACACTGCCAGTTAAGTAAACCTAGATGAGAGTGGATAGGACACCTAAATACATAGGCTTTCTCTACCAGACATTAGAGAACAAGAAGCAGTCCATATCTTTGAATGTATAGCATCACTCCTACTCTCAGCAAAAACAAGTATTGAATTTAGAAATTATTAACCAGTGAGTTTCCCTTCCCCCATCACTCCTAGGTCCCCAAAAGCACAATGTGTCTTGCAGTCATGATATAGGTCTTATCCTATGCCCCCCTGGATTTAATCGGTTTTACAATATTTAGCCTTAGACTACAAGAACTAAATTCAGTCAGACCAAACTCTCTAAGTGCTACCTGCTTTGGGCGTTTAAAATAAATAAATAAAAATGAAATAAGGCTGCTTATGAGCATGACTATATCCTTAACCAATGACTAATTCATGCACAGGACCATCACAGTTAATTACTAAAATCTTTCGAGATCGAAATCAGACCCCAGACCTAGCAGCCGAATGGGAATACTGATGCTGCAAAGGGGGCAAGAAAAAGCTTTTTTTTTTTTAGTTTGAGATGAAGTCTTGTTCAAGCAATTCTCCTGCCTCAGCCTTCTGAGTAGCTGGGCTTACAGGCATCCACCACCACACCCAGCTAATTTTTGTATTTTTAGTAAAGACAGGGTTTTGCCATGTTGGCCAGGCTGGTCTCAAACTCCTGACCTCAGGTGATCTGCCCACCTCGGCCTCCCAAAGTGTTGGGATTACAGGCATGAGCCACCGCCCTGGCCAAGAAAAAGCTTATTAATATAACATTCGTTACAGGTCAAAATCTTTAGGGAAATTTTAATTAATTCAATATTTGATATAGTGATTTTAATAAAGTCTAAAAATCAGACTATCTACATGTTGAACTCCTTAACATAGCATATATAACTTATAAAAGCATCGATGAATTGTAGTCTTTCCTCCTAAAGTACATCATCATTTAAGCAGTGACAACAACAATTAACATTTGTGGTCACTGCAATAGTACTCAAGAGATTCATATACTTAGCAGTTCAAAAAATTTAGGCAGTTAACACTTAGTCCTATTTTTTAATGTTAGGCAGTTGAAATTTATCCTTTATTTGTGCAAAGTGATATAATGTCATAGACAAATGTGAAACAGGCTATCCACCTGTCCAGTGGAATAAGGATAATAACTTACATTTATTGAATATATTGGGTACATTTATTGGGCACTTTATCTAAGCACTTATACATATTATATCTCCTTTAATCCCTTCAATGGCCTTCTGCAGTAGGTACTATTTCTAACTTAACAAATGAGTAAACCAAAACACAGAGTCAGTGACTTGCCCATAGTCACACAGTTAATAAGCAGTGGAGACAGGATTCAAACCCAAGTGGATTGGCTCCAAAGCCTGGACCCTTCACCACTGTGCAATGCAACACGAAACACAGTGAAAGACCAGAGTGATACCCTATTCCAGAACACAGGGTGTGTGCAAACACAGAAGAGGAGGAAGAAAGCAGACAAAATGAACAAATGACTCTCCATTCATAAAGCATCATGCTAAACCCCTTCTCTATCTCCCCTCTAGCCCATGCACCAAGAATTAACACAGCAAAAGCTGCGATTTGTCCTTTATCATAAACTAAATTCTTTCTAAAATGACCTACCTTCATTAAATTAAAAAACTTGCACAGTCAAGATGAACCAAAAGGGGGTTCTTAAAGAGACAATCCCTTTATGGTAACAATTTAGGAAAGTTTTATACATGTTGAAGGATGACCAGTCCAAACAAGAGGTTCTTCATATAATGTCTGGGCCTCAGACTGTCCCATATAGCTAATACTGCTCCCAATCTCCTCTCTCATCTACCTAGTCCCAGGTGGATGTGAAAAGGTAGAATGTGAGAAGGCAGGACAGGCCAGAGATCAGAGAAGGAACAATCTCTGAGTAGTCCAGAAGGTTTCCACTATATAAGAAAAGTTTAGTGTCTATGTAAGCAGTCCCTGAAGTAGATCCAAATATTCTTTTTAAATAAACATTTATTAAAAGGATCACTTAAGAAGCCATAAAGAGAATCTCATAAAAAACAAAAACATATCATAAAGGCAATGAATTCTGACCACAATACAGTAACACTAGATTTTAACAACTCAAAGCTACCCACCTCCAAAATCCAAGTCACCTGGAAATCTAAAAACTTCAGAAGTCAAGACTGAAGAAAAAAACAAATTACAGTCATTAAGAAATAAATGTGAATTAGGAAAATTAAAGGTCATCTTAGAATCCCAAAGCAGACCAGGCAGTGGATGCTTCCGTCACCTATCTTCCAGTGAAAACCTCTGGCCAGCAGAGGCCATCCCTGCTCCCAGGAAAGGGATCCCACAGAAGCACGGCCATAAATAATGAGCAATCAATAAGCGGTTATGTAATACCGTGAAGGTCACTGGCACAATGACTCCTCCATCCAAGGTTGTATGTGTTCAAAAGAGAGAATAATTGATCCCATTATCACAGCTTGGTAAGATCCCATAAGGTCAGATTCCACTGCTCTAGAAGAATTCTTAAAATTTTAAGTTGGTTTCCAGAATATGTTTCTCCACCAAGAAAAGAATGCAATGACCAGCTAAACTGTACTTCTCACTGCACTGTACTTCTCTTTACTTTTTAGCAGTAGTCATTCTCCCCCTTATGTCTTTATATCACCGTCTTCCAGTATCCACCTATCAATTTTCATCAATAAGCAGGGGAAAATGACTACGCCTACCTCCAAGGTGTTCATTACATCTGAATATTTTTTAAATTTACGAGTGTGACATGCAATGGGAAAATGGACATAAAACTCAACACAGAGTGAGGATGCAATCTCAGATTAAGACAAAGATTCTCTTTGTATCTAAAGAAGTCAACAGGATCTATATACAGTTTAGCTCTTGCTGGGGGGCACTCCCCTCACCCTAATCATGATTTAAAGGGAAGGTTGTTTACAATTTGCAGAAGTAGCTCATTCTTCCCTACTAGTCCACTTCCATCATTCCACCCTATCTAATGTTTGGGGCACATAATCATGGATCCAATATCACCTCACATTTTCTTCAGGCCTGCCTCATTCAGCACTTTGCAAAGCAAAAAGTAACAAGGGTAGAAGAAATAAAATATGTGCCCAGTCTCTTGAGTTTGGTACTCTGGGACTCCGATCAACAAAAGTTGTTAAAAATCAGAACGTTAAATTCACATTTGCAAATATGCCAGCCAAGTAAATAAAGGAGGCCTACATCATTATATTTATTACCCATCATATCATAAAAATAAGGTAAATTGCTTTTAAAAAATAAGTTAATAAAGAAAATGTGGACTGGCAAATTATTTACACATAAACTATTGAAATGTATGTGGAAATAGAGTGAATAAGTATTTCTATAAAATGTTCATATGTTTGCATTGGAAGCTAAACTATAACATTGCTTGAGCTCCTAATGAACAATATTTATAATATCATTCAATGAATATCTATAAATTATATTTATATTTCCATTCAAAAGATCTAAAATAAAATTCTTCTAAATTAACAATACTTTTTACCTGAAAATGTCCTAAGGTATTACTCACTTAGCCCTTTTACTTCTATTTCTCCAACTTTCACAAAAAATAATAGGACCAGCACACAATGAGAATAGTAAGTATGGCCTCTGATCCCACAGAACTTTCTCTTAAGATGTACAAATCCTCATCCATGTATACTCTGTCCTTCACGGGCAACTCTCCATAAACTTCAACAAAATCACTGAGAATTTTACTTGCATAAGACATACGAGTCTATATTTACAGAAAACTAAGTGTCTCATAGTTCTAAGGAGATGCTTAATACTAAAACATTAACATAAATAAAACATTATTAAGCAGATTGAGCCGTGATAGACTGAAGCTAGGTACACTAGCATATGCGGTAAAATGCCTAATTACCTGCCCATGTAGTCTGTCCAAATCATTGCTATCAATTTTACCTCTACCTTTTCATAGCACATATTTCAAGAAACCTAGAAATAATCCTATTTTATTAGTAGAACTAAGCTTCCATTACAGGAATTGCTTTTGACACCAGTAAATCACAGATATAACCAACAATATTTCCTCAAAACGAGGAGACAACTATAAGCCTTTATAATAAATCAAATAATAGACTTCATGTCCTATGAACTGGAGCCAAATATAACATGTTGATTACACAGGATATTTCAATGCACATAAGCAAATAAAAAACTAACCCAGAACCAATCTGTTAACTAAAATAAGCATTAAATACTTGACCAATCCAATTACTTTATTATTGTATTCAAAGAAGTGAGTTCAAAGATGTTTGTTGTTGATGATGGTGGTGATGGTGGTGGTGGTGGTGATGTGATATTTCACTGCTAAGCATTTGTATTTTATAAAAGTGACTCCAGTGATTTCAGTATGTCACTACGGTTAAAAACCACCGTTTTTAAAGTAAGCACTCTAAAATCCTTCTTTCATCCCCTCCTCCTTTGAAATTCTTTCTCTCCATTATTTAAAGCTAGCAGTGAAAACTTTTAGTTTCCAAGCTAAGGAAGGTCCCTGGAAACATTTACAACAGTGAAAGCGTTCTTTCTTGGCCTTGGCTATAATAGGTGAATGTCGAGTTGGCTGCTTTTAGAAATCTTGCCAATCTGTTAGAGAGCTTGAGAAACACTTTGCTGATTATTAGCATACACGTTTTTTAAAGGTTCAAAACGTGTCATAGAATGACTAGCACAGATAGAATACTGTCAAAAGGATGAGATGAAGGTGTGGGTATTGACTGAAATTTCCAGGTAAAAAGAATAGAGACAATAACAATCATGAACACTTACAACCATAAAGCACTGTACTAAGCTCCTGACACACATTATCCCTTTTAATCCTCAGAATATCTTAGGTGTAGCCACTATTAATATCCCAGTTTTTCAAATGAGGAAACTGACACCCAGAAAGGCTAAGTCATTTGTCCAACATGACACACTGGAAGGGCTGCAGCTAGTATCTGAACCCCAGTAGTCTTACTGCCCCAACAGTCTTGCTGCGGAGGAGGGAAGGGGCATACCAATAACAATGATGATAATGGTGATGATCATGCTAAATAACAGCAACTAACCCCCATTAGAGTTGTACATATACTTCCATTGCTATGGTTAGTTATTTGTTTAAGAGAAGTTGCAGTCTAAAAGAAAAATTGGTTGACTTTTCTATTAAATACAAATATTCACGTTTTAAAACTTACAACAGTATAAAATCAGCCTTAAGCTAGTGAACAAGTTTAGGCAGGTAGGTTTAAGTTTTAGATAATAATAACATATTAATTATTCTTCCCAAATGAGACAACGAACATGTATTTATTATTATTGTGTCATGAAGCTCTCCAGTTTCCCTTTCCCAAAAGCTAACAATATGCTCTCCAATTTACAAATAAAAACCAAAGGTCACCACCACTAGTACAAACTAGTATGGCTTCAAGCAGCAAAATTACATGATTCAGGGCTTTCGTGTTATTTTGACACTATGATCTAATCAGAAGAAATAGAAAATATACTCACACGCACACATACACACATGCACACTGATAAATGACACACAGTGATAAATGCACACAGTGATAAATGACACAGTGTTTCCAACACTGCATGTTATCCCTCATGCTTTATCTTCTAATGCCAAGTTGGTTACTGAAACTTGTCAACACATGAAAAAATATTTTAAAACTGATCAACTCCTCATTAGAGGTTTAATTATTTTCCTGCCACCAAACTCACCACAGGACAGATGCCACCAAAGGTTCTGACAAAGTCAATGTCTTTATTAGTAATTCATTTCCTAAGGGCTTATTTCCAGGGCAGTAATGCCAGGAGGGAAAGAACCGAGGCCTTTTGAATATGAGGAATTCCTAGAGCTTGACAGGCTATACTAAAAAAGAGCTGCAAGAATTATATACAGTATTCTACAGTTTGCATTTCAGTGGTTCCCTCTTTTGAGGATGTTACGTGCCAGTAAAATTACAGAAAAAAAAAAAGCAGTTTGTCAATTTTTCTTCAGGTAAAGGCATTAAAAACATAGCCACCATTTATTTTCACTATAATTTCATAAAAATAAAGCACCTTTATAATAACAAAAGAAGATAAAGAACGATCATAGAATAAAAGACAATACTTCCTTTCAAAAGGAGGGTTGGTGCTGGGCACGTTGGCTCCCACCCAAAATCCCAGCACTTTGGGAGGCCAAGGTGGGAGGATCGTTTAAAAGCCAGGTGTTTGAGACTAGCCTAGGCAACACAGCGAGATCGCGTCTCTACAAAATTTAAAAAAAAAAAAAAATTGCTGGGCTTGGTGGCGTGTGCCTGTAGTCCCAGGTACTTGGGAGGCTGAGGTGGGAGGATCACTTCAGCCCAGGCTGCAGTGAGCTATAAGCGTGCTACTGTACTCCACCCTAGATAATAGTGTGAGACCTTGTCTCAAAAAGATATAAATAAAAATAAAAAGGAGGGTTAGCAATTACCCCTCACACATACACACACACACACATGCATGTGCACACATACACACATAGAGTGGTATATTCTCTCTCGACCTTCCTTTCTCTTCTTATTTTTCACTTTTCCCAGTACTGCCAACAACTTTTCCAAGGGCCTGTATTTGGGGATCTCTGAGCCATATTATTCCTTTCTTCCAATACTTTTCTAGAAGCACGGACAACAGAATTCTAGCTGTAATGACAGTACCGATTTCAACTGTATTTTTTTTTTTTTTTTAGACGGAGTCTCGCTCTGTTGCCCACGCTGAAGTGCAGTGGTGCAATCTCGGCTCACTGCAAGCTCCGCCTCCTGGGTTCACGCCATTCTCCTGCTTCAGCTTCCCGAGTAGCTGGGACTACAGGCACCTGCCACCTTGCCCGGCTAATTTTTTGTATTTTTAGTAGAGATGGAGTTTCACCGTGTTAGCCAGGATGGTCTCAATCTCCTGACTTCATGATCCGCCCACCTCGGCCTCCCAAAGTGCTAGGATTACAGGTGTGAGCCAGTGCACCCAGCCTTCAACTGTAGATCATCATAAAAGCTGAGAAGATAAATCATACGTTCTGCAATTGTAAAGGAAGAGCAGCCATGTCAGTCCTTAAAATTCTTAACACAAAATTCCCATGAAACTGCACATACCTCCATTCAAGCACTTGCTACATTATACTGCAACTTTTTTTTTAACCAGCACTACACCTGCCTTGCACGTTTTAATAAACTGTTCGTATCAGAAGTTTTAGAATATAGTAGGTACGTAATGTTAGTTGAGTAAGTAAATTCTACATATTTGCATCTTATTTCCCCATGTTTTCATTTTTAAATTATAACTTTATTCCTCCAGAAATAAAATTAGACTAAAGAATAGAGGAAAAGGCTTGATATAATGTATTTAATAAAATAAATTATTTCCTAGTATATTAATAATATCAAGTCATGAAATGCAAATTTTAAAAGTAAGATGGTTTTATGGCTGGGCACAGTGGCTCATGCCTGTAATCCCAGCACTTTGGGAGGCCGAGGTGGGCAGATCACCTGAGGTCGGGAGTTCGAGACCAGCCTGACCAACATAGAGAAACTCTATCTCTACTAAAAATACAAAATTAGCCAGGTGTGGTGGCGCATGCCTGTAATCCCAGCTACCCGGGAGGCTGAGGCAGGAGAATCGCTGGAACCTGGGAGGCGGAGGTTGTGGTGAGCTGAGATGGCGCCATTGCACTCCAGCCTGGGCAACAAGAGCAAAACTCCATCTCAAAAAAAAAAAAAAAAACTAAGATGGTTTTTTTGTTTTTGTTTTTGTTTTTGTTTTTAGGCAGAGTCTCGCCCTGTCACCCAGGCTGGAGGCAATGGCACAATCTCTGCTCACTGCAACCTCCGCCTACTGGGTTCAAGTGATTCTCCTGCCTCAGCCTCCCGAGTAGCTGGGATTACAGGCACGCACCACCACGCCCAGCTAATTTTTTGTATCTTTTAGTAGAGACGGGGTTTCACCATGTTGGCCAGGATGGTATCGAACTCCTGGCCTCGTGATCGCCCACCTCGGCCTCCCAAAGTGCTGGGATTACAGGCAAGACAGTTTTTAATGACCCAATATGTATAAATATAAGAAGGAGTGAAAAGAGCCAGCTTATCTGAAAGAACCTAACCAAAAAAAAATGCATTAGTTCCTCAGTTCCCTGAACTATGTTCCCTTATTAATATCCAGTAAGGTAATGCCTTATTTTAACAACTTATTTAAAACTCGAATTCGCTTTTTTTTTTTTTTGATACGGAGTCTAGCTCTGTCACCCAGGCTGCAGTGCAGTGGCACGATCTCGGCTCACTGCAAGCTCCGCCTCCCGGGTTCATGCCATTCTCCTGCCTCAGCCTCCCGAGTAGCTGGGAATACAGGCGCCCGCCACCATGCCCGGCTACTTTTTTGTATTTTTAGTAGAGACGGGGTTTCACCGTGTTCGCCAGGATGGTCTGGATCTCCTGACCTCGTGATCCGCCTGCCTCGGCCTCCCAAAGTGCTGGGATTACAGGCGTGAGCCATCGCGCCCGGCCGAATTGACTTTTTAAAATAAACAGAATGGTTTATATTCAAGGATAAGAGAAAAATAGGGAAAAAATTCAAAATGAAGATGAGTATACAACATTAAGTAGCATAATTTGGAAATGCCCTCTATAGCAAAATAACCCGAAAATTTTGTCATTTATTATTTATAAATGAAAAATGAGAAGGTCTAGTGCAAAGGGAATGGGCTCCTCTATTCATTCACTCACTCTATCATTCACTGATCCGCCAAATATTCATTGAACACCCACCAACAGCCAGGGACTACTGTGATAACATAATGAAGAGGAGACAAAAGTCCTGAGCTTTACATTCTAGCAGGAAGAGACAAATAATAGAAACTAAAAATAATAAACATGTTATACGGTGTATGCTATGGGGAATAATAGTGTGCAGGGCAAGGGGGACTAGGCACGCTGGGGTTGAAGGGTACAATGTTAAACAGAGCATTCACCTGGAAGATGACATTTGAGCAAATACTTGAAGGAAGTGGGGTAGTCAGCCAAGGCTGTCTGGGGAAGAGTGTCCCAAGGAGAGAAATGGCAAGTGCAAGGTACTGTGGCAGGAAGAAGGAGCATGCTGGTGAATCTGATGATCAGCAAAGAAGTGAATGTGGCTGGAGCTGGAGTGGAAAGTGGGGAAGAAAAGGACAGAAGAAGAAAGGACAAGTGGCTGCAGAAGATCATCTTGGGTCTTGTGAAACACGGTGAGGACTTTGGCCTGGAATCTGGTTCTGAATTAGAATCACACTTTTACTGTTTACTGACAATGGACAAGCCACTTACTTCTCTGAGCATTAGTTTCCTTGCATGTAAAATTAAGAAAATATACTCTGGCCAGGCACGGTGGCTCATGCCTGTAATCCCAGCACCTCGGGGAGGCCGAGGTGAGCGGATTACCTGAGGTCAGGAGTTCAAAACCAGCCTGGCCAACATGGTGAAACCCCGTCTTTACTAAAAATATAAAAATTAGCCAGGTGTGGTGGCATGTGTCTGTAGTTCCAGCTATTTGGGAGGCTGAGGCAGGAGAATCGCTCAAACCCAGGAGGCAGAGGTTGCAACGAGCCGAAATTGTGCCACTGCACTCCAGCCTGGGTGACATAGTGAGACTCTGTCTCAAGAAGAAGAAAAAAAAAAAAAGACAAGAAAAGAAAAAGAAAATGTACTTCACAGGGTTGAGTAAAGATTAAATGAAAAATCATTTCTAGGGTGGAAAGTGCTTTCCACAAAAAAGTCATCATTCGTTTGACAAATATTTATCAAGTATCTATAAATACTGTATGGAATCAATTTCCTATTTCATAACTTATTAAAACTATCTTCTGTGCAGAAATACTTATATTTGCTATTTCTGGCACACCTTCAAAATTAGTTTTAAACAATTTTTTAATTTTATTCTGAAGTATTTCTAGAAACATTAAATTTTTGACCGGGCATGGTGGCTCACGCCCGTAATCCCAGCACTTTGGAAGGCTGAGGCAGGAGGATCACTGGAGTCCAAGAGTTCGAGACCAGCCTGGGCAACATGGTAAAACTCCACCTCTACAAAAAAAAAAAAAAAAAAAAAAACAACAACTAACAAAAGATTAGCCAGGCCTGTAGTCTCAGCTACTTAGGAGGCTGAGGTCAGAGGATGGCTTGAGCCCAAGAGGCAGAAGCTGCCGTGAGCCGTGATTGCACCACTGCGCTCCAGCCTCGGTGACACGGTAAGACCCTGTTTCAAAAAAAAATTTTTTTTAAAGAAACATTAATTTTTTGTTAAAATTTTATTCTAGTAATACCAAACTTGAATTAAACAAAGGCCATCTATTTAGAACTCTCAAATAACCATAACTTCTCTTCTGCACTTGTCTTTTAAGACAAGGAGCAAATCATAAAATCCTAATTTGATAAAAAGGAATTACGGAACAAATTTCCAGGATGTGCCTGAGAGTCAGCATCACTGAAGCCCAATTTTCAGTCAGGTTCAGAAGTATGAGAAACAAAAATCTTCAAGAAAAAAGATTATTTTTTATTTACGCCATGCTTATAAGGTAAGGAAATAAGTTAATGGAATTAAAGATTTTCAGCAAGCATGTAACATTCAATTGACCCTCCCTCCCCACAACCCGGCCAAAAAAACGGCAATAAAAGGAGACATTATTTTCAAGCATTTCAGTTAATTGAGGGTCCTTCCCCAAGAGATTACTTCTAAAGGGGATAAAATGGCCTATGTATTTTCCATTTGTTTTGAAGATTAACATCAACACCAATTGTTTCAGAATAAAATGAACCTGCAGCTATTTTAACAGCCCACTTATCTGTTAATTCATAATTTATAGTTGATCAAAGACATCATGAAACTTAAAAAAAAAAAGTTTTAAAAATACAAAAAAAAAAAAACAACAACAAGAGTCAATCCAATGTTGCAATGCCAGCTTAGAGATGCTATTTTTGAACCTCTGTTGGGATTTTAAAGTATGAGAGCTTAAGCTCCTGAGACTGACACAGGACTGAGAACAGTGGAATAGCTTCTAATCCCAAGAGTAATAAAGAGTGTAAATTTATAATTAAAGTCATAATCTCAGCAGTAAAATCCAGGGATGGCATGTAGTACACAGGCATGTAGTACACAGTCCCCTAATTGTGAAGCTCTCCCATGCTTCATACAAAAGATACTACTTAATTAATATAGTTAAATACAAATGTAAGTCCACATAGAACAGTTGAGGAAATCCAAAATTCAAATCTGAAATACCATGCCAAGAGACAAGAAACCCATTTCAAAGCTTTATTTCCTCGTGTGTATAAAAGCAGAATTATTCAAGCATAAAACAATAAAGACGGAGAAACTTACAAGTGTGTACTTACGTATGTATGTGTGTATACATATGTGTATACATACATATGTGTATGTATGTATGTGTGTATGAACAGTTTTGAGTATATGACTCCAAAATCAAAACTTGGAGAACAGTAATGCAGAGAGTTTAAAAAGGACAGCGAACGTGTCTGGGAAGCTTAACACTTTCAGAACAGAAAAGTATTTAAAAACATTATTGGCCGGGTGCAGTGGCTCACGCCTGTAATCCCAGCACTTTGGGAGGCCAAGGCAGGCAAATCACGAGGTCAGGAGATCGAGACCATCCTGGCTAACACGGTGAAACCCCGTCTCTACTAAAAATACAAAAAATTAGCCGGGCGTGGTGGCAGGCGCCTGTAGTCCCAGCTACTCGGGAGGCTGAGGCAGGAGAATGGCATGGACCTGGGAGGCGGAGCTTGCAGTGAGCCGAGATCTTGCCACTGTCCAGCCTGGGTGACAGAGCAAGACTCCGTCTCAAAAAAAACAAACAAACAAACAAAAAAAACACTATTTACAACATGTTCCTTCTATGCTGCTGGTTTCCTAGCCACAAAACATCCGTCTCCAAGGGTAAGACAGTCACTGAAACCTAAAGATATGCATGCTTACAGTGCAATTCTAAGCACAGCCTTTTTCTGAATTTTGATATAATTCAGCATTCTATGTCTAATACTGTAACCCAGAGTTTAGCTAAACATGCCATGGGGTAGTACAAACATTTTCTCTTCAGATTGTACTGAAAATGACTTTCCCTTTCAGAAAACATATTATATAACTCTATCTTCCACTTAAGGAGCCAGACCACATATGAGAAATAAGAGTTGACCTTAATAAGTATAATAAAGTTAAAACTAAGCTCGGCAACTAGGTCCACTATCTCAAAAGTCTGTCAGTTATAATTCTGGAAAAACATCACAGAAACGTTTAAGATGTCAAATGAATTCGATTTCTTTCAGCATAATTGGGAACTTGAAAAAGAAATGTAAGCCCATTCTGCATTCTTCCAGATGGCTGAGGTTGTCCTTGGGGTCACACACACACAGACTTTGAAATCAGGGGACCTGGGTTCCAATCAGGCTCCAGCTGGGCAATTTTGGGCAGTATAGTGTGACAGCTAAGACGATGGGCTACAGAGTTAGACTGCCTGGAGTCCAAGGTCAGCTTTGCCACTTCCTAGCTGGAAAAGCTTAGGTGAGTCTCTAGCCCTTAGTTTCCTCATCTATAAATGAGGGTATAATAACAGCACCTACCCCACAGAGTTTACTTAAGAATTAAGTGAGTACATAAAAATAAAAACACATAGAAGAGTATCTGGGACACATTTGGTGCTCAATAAACTTTAACTGCTAAATTAATGTTGTTGTTAAAAAGCACTGCTGAGCCTTAGTATCTTTTACAAAATGAGCCTAAAAACAGTAGCTTTGTCACAGTGATAGCACGAGCGTTTAAGACACAGAATGTTTACTGAATATTTTCCATATTCTAGGCATTGTGTGAAACACAATGCCAGTCTTTTTTTTCAAAAATGAACAATATAAATTGTTGATACATATAGATCTCCCCTCCCTTTTTGGTATGTCTGGTTGTGTAAGCATATTTGAAGAAAATAATATTGACCTTGACCTACTAATATAATACCCAGTGAAATAACTTCAAAATAAAGTTGTAACTTGATTAGAGGAAAGGTAAGATGCTGACTCAATAGGTGAGATGAGTCAGCTATCAGTACATGCATCAGCAACGTGTCAAACTCCTGAAGGGTGAAGAGAGTTAGCATTTGGATGGAAGAATGAATGACAAACAGAGCATCTGGGACAGAGAAGCTAGAATTTATGAAGACTGCAACAATCTGGATGAGCACTGCCAAAACAAGGATACCACTTGGGTCTCACACATCAAGGCTTCTTCTGATATAATCAGGTTTATGCAAAATGTGCAAAGGAAATAAATAAACAAGCAATGTTCGACAGCTTTGTCCTTGGAGCCAAAATTTTAAATTAGTATCATACTCACAAATATTAATACTTATATATACTAACTAAAAGTAATAATAGTAACTTACACTTAGAGTTCTTTACAACATATTCAAAACAAACAGTATTAACCTCCCACTAAAATAACATAAAATACTAAACCACTTCAAAGTATCTCTAAACCTTTCTTTTCCCCACACACTCTGTTATTTAGAGATCTAAGGACTTAACTAAAATTTTGCAAACTTTTAATTGCCTCCTAGAAGGGTTCAGACTAAGTCTGGAAGGGATATGATAGGTGGTTTCAACCTTCCCACAACACGAATTTGTTTAGAATCTACCATGTTTAACTTAATCATTCATTCATTCATTCCACAAATATTTACAGAACACTTTTTACATGCCAGGCACTAGTCTAGGCTATAAATATACACTATTAAGCAAAACCAAACTTCATGTTCTTAGCCTTCATGAAGCTTACAGACCAAATGGAGAGAAACCCTAATTAAATGACCATATAGATAAATATAAAAGTTAAAACATTTTACATTACAAAAAAAGGTACAAGAAGATATTATAAGGGCATATGTTGTAAAGAATGAAAACAAATGGATCTACTCTCAAAAAAAGTACAGTCCAGGGGGAAGCAAGATTTGCACCTATTAATAATGGCAAAAAATACAATTAAAGTGGCCGGGCGCGGTGGCTCACGCCTGTAATCCCAGCACTTTGGGAGGCCGAGGCGGGCTGATCACGAGGTCAGGAGATCAAGACCATCCTGGCTAACACGGTGAAAACCCATCTCTACTAAAAAAATACAAAAAAGTAGCCAGGCGTGGTGGCGAGCGCCTGTAGTCCCAGCTACTCAGGAGGCTGAGGCAGGAGAATGGCGTGAACCCGGGAGGCGGAGCTGGCAGTGAGCCGAGATCGTGCCACTGCACTCCAGCCTGGGCGACAGAGCAAGACTCCGTTTCAAAAAAATCAAGTAAAGTATCTGAATTTCATGGACCAAGTTGAGAGACAGAAAAGAAAAAAGCACCTGACAAGGAAATGGACCTCCAGCTTAGGTCCTTCATTATATCCTCCCATTAAAATCTTACAAAATTCCTGCCTAATACATGTTAATATTCCCATTTTACCTGTAAGAGAACCAAGGCTGCAAGATATTCAGTTTTATTATTCTGGGTCAATGGCTAACGTGTAAAAACAACTTCACTACAAAGAACCAGAAGGGATAATTTTACACCAAAATGAAATACTTCCTCCTCTCCATTTATTTGGACAGATAAATGTGGCAGTAGGATTATAAAGAATAAACAATGATTTTTGTCCTCCTCATCTCCTACCTCCCCACACCCCCCACTTTTTTTGAGACAAGGTCTCACTCTGTCACCCACGCTAGAGTGCAGTGGCACAGTCACAGCACACTGTAGCCTCGACCTCCCTGGCTGAAGCAATCCTCCCATTTCAGCCTCCCAAGTGGCTGGGATTACAGGCATGCACCACCACACCTAGCTAATTTTTGTAGTTTTTGTAAAGACAGTGCTTCACTATGTTACCCAGGGTGGTCTTGAACTCCTAGGCTCAAGGGATCCTTGCCGCCTGGACCTCCCAAAGTGCTGGGATTACAAGTGTGAGCCCCTGCATCCAGCCTCCTACCTCCCTACTTATAGCCCAGTTCCAACCCCAAGGCACACAGTATTCCACAATCACACTCTGCACTCATAACCTTTCCATAAGTTTAAAAAAAAAAAAAAACCGACTTGCCCTCTGATAATGTGGTGATTGATTATCCTGTCTACTAAAGGGTTAAGGGGTTATCTCTAGGAAGAACATATTTATATTATTAAAAAATACTTCATAGTGACAATAACAAAATGGCTTCATCCAATTGCATAATTTTAATAGGAATTTCCAGCATAAAACAAGCAAATTATCTGAAGACTCTATTGACACCTAATCTACTTTCACAGGATCATAAAAACAAGCCTTTATCAACAGATTAAAAAAAAAAAAAAACGTGGCTGAGCACAATGGCTCACACCTATAATCCCAACACTTTTGGAGGTTGAGGTGGGAAGATCAACACAGAAAGACCTCCGTCTCTACAAAAAAAAAAAAAAAATTACAGCATCCTAATAAAAAGATAAAATGTCTAATTCTGAAATTTTGACAATCTACATTGCTTGCTTGTACCATTAATGCACCCTGATATTACAAAGGTGACCAAGCAATAGCTTCTGAGCCATTTTTTACCCCACCCTGAAGTCCAAAGCAAGCATAGCATGCAGATGACAACATTTCTTTGAAAAAAGCCAAGTGGGGCAAGTTCAAGAGAGACCACTCTGAATGACATTCATCTAGATTCCAGAAACTCTCATATTACATAAATCTGCAAAAACACGCACCAGGCTCTCTTTGAGAATGGAGAGTACACATAAAAATGCGTAAGTTTCAAATTTCTGATAAAACCAGATGTCTTATGTATAGATTGTTCATAGACCCAGATGGGCCAGAAGAACCTCATTCATACAACTCTCACAAGTTTTCAGAATCTATCCTCTATTGAAAATATCATGATCTCCTACAGACAATACACTCTTTCAGGATCTTGACTATAAGCAATGTCAAAATACACTTGTTAATTAATGAATGAATAACCCAAAATAAACAAGAGTCACTGAAGACAGGTCAGGTATTAGAAAAAGATACGCATTCTAAAGAGCCATTTCCTGTTTCACAATAAATAGTTTCTGAAAATCTTGAATGAGTCATCCCTTCCCAGTCATATCATGTATACATAATAATAGTAAAAACTTAGTAAGCACTTACTCTGTGGCAGTCACTATTATAAGGAGTTTACATGTATTAACTCCTTTAATCCTTTCTACAATGCTGTGAGGTAGGTATTACCAACCTTATTTTTACATATAAAAATTGGCCCAAAGATATTTAGCAACTTGCCCACCATCACACAGCTGGAAAGGGGGCCCTGCTGAGCTTCAGACCTCCACAATCTGGCACCTGTACACTATCCCACCTCTGCTAAAGACTAATGAGAGCTGGCTTATCACTACTGATCATTTTTGTTTTCATCTAATATCTACAACGTACACTGGAGGGACCATCTGGAAGGGTTAATCTTCCTAATCTTCCTAACAGACTCTTTAACATAGATTGAGGAAGACAAGCATTCTGTCATCTATCTCCTCTTTGTACCAAGCAAAATGCAACTACCAAGGGTTAGAAAGATTCTCCAGCTGGCCTGTTATTTCTGTTAATATTTAAAAGCCCCCTTAGGCTGGGCACAGTGACTCATGCCTGTCATCCCAGCACTGTTGGAGGCCAAGGCAGGTGGATCACCTGAGTCAGATGTTCAAGGCCAACCTGGCCAACATGGCAAAACCCCATCTCTACCAAAAATACAAAAATTAATCGGGCATGGTGACAGGCGCCTGTAATCCCAGCTACTCAGGAGGCTGAGGCAGGAGAATCGGCTGAACCCAGGAGGCGGAGGTTGAAATGAGCTGAGATCACGCCATTTCACTCCAGCCTGGGTGACAAGAGTGAATCTCCATCTCAAAAAAAAATAAAATAAAGGACCCCTTTACATTAGTGTTAAGTCTCTCAAAAGATGATTCAAAGTCTTCTCTAACCTTCCAGCCTTCTCCTTTGCACTAAAGCTGGCTTACTTCAAGACTTCAACCTTGTTTGGATTTAATTTACTGTTCAGGAAAATGTAATGACACAGAAGTTTGGTTGTTTCATTTTGTTTTGAACACCTGACATTTGTTGAACTTGCATATGATTTGGAGTCTAACTGAGAGTTCAAACCTGTATTATCACCAGCACAGCCTAAGGTCAATTAGAAAGCCAGTTAGGTTGAATTGCTTTCAGCTAGTGATGGGACAGAAAGGAAGCATGAATAGAACAAGGAATAAACAAAGGAAAGGTGGAAGATATTTTAGACAAGAACAGCACAGAGGTGAGAGTGAGCACATTATGGGAGAAATTATAAGAAGATATGCATGTCTAGGGCATGGAAGACAGGTGACTAGAAAGAGTGGGAAATGAGAGGGAGGAATGAGGACATACCTGGCCAGAAAGGACTTTACAAACTGCAGGGTAACCTGGGTTTCATGTGGCTGACAACACAGAAATGTGGGACAGGAGCAAACATAATGAGAAGTGTTTTAGCGGGGGCTGAAGGGAGGCAATCAAATTAGCCAAAAACAATGTCATCAGAACCAAGTATGAAGAGTTATGAGGGCTTATACGAAGTTGATGGCCGTGGAAGAATAGAAGAAAAAGAAGCTGAGATACCAGAAGGTAAGAAACAAAGGGATTTTTTAAATTACATTAGATATAACAGAAAGGAAAGATAGTCAAAGATTACTAATGTTTCCAGGTTGGAAGAATGATGATACTGTTGGTAAAAATGAAACAATCAGACAGAGAAGTTAGTCAAGGAAGTTCATGAACTGTAGTGGCAACAACAGAATGTGAGGTAACTCCAAGGGAGAAAAAGACTCGAAATAGGACTGGAAACAAGGGGCTATAAATTAAACGGTAGAGATTCCAGAGTTTTCCCATAAAGGTGAAAGTTGAAATCAAAGGAACAGATAAGCTCAATGACTGAGTAAGGGGAAAACGAAGAACAGAAGGTTAAAAATGGAACCATGGGGCAGCTAGAGACAAGCTAAAGAAAACTCAACAATGAGGCAGAAAACTCAGGATAGGAAGGGACAGAGAACCAAGATGATGAAGTGCCCGCAAAAACAAGAAGTAAAGCTCTGAGACATTTCCCAGTGCTAACAGTGTACTAAAGATATACAAGAGTAAAACCTTCCGTAATTTTAAAGAAATGCCTCTAAATGCTAATGAAACAACCAAAACAGCTCTCTAGGAAGTCTGAGAAATGTCTGATGCAATCAGACTCAAGAGGCTGAGACAGGGCTAATTGTAATTTGGTTTTGGTGTGGATTTTATTAAATGAAGAAGAGTAACAGGAAAAGGGGATGACATGGAGAGAGAAAATCAAGTCTCTTAAAGTTTTTAGAAACTTGGGAGTTTTAACCCACATGCATTTGACTTTAACATTAAATTCTAATTAGTGATGTCAGAAAAATTGCAATAGAAAAGCCAAGGTGAAAAGAAAATAGTGAAAGGTAAAGAGAAGGAACCTGGATTTAATTCCGGATTCAGTAAAGAATCATGACAGTATTAAAGTTGGAGTGAGCACATGGTTTGTATTATTAAAACCTGAGGGAGAGACATTCATATGATTTGTATTGTTAAAAAGATCACTCTGGTCACAATGAGTTGAATGAATGGAAAAGAGGCAAGATAAGAAACAGGGACACCAGTTAGGAGACTACAGCTACATAGGAGGCAACTGTTACAGAATCGTGGGAAGGATTGGAGACAAAGTGGACAAATTAGAGATAATTTACTGGAAGAAGAATTGGTAGAATCAATTGTGCTTGCTGATAGAAACTACTCTGGGGGGAGAATACAGAGGTGAAAAGTGACTAACAGACAGAGAGGGATCAAAGGTGACTCTTGGCACTTGCCCCACTTCTCCACGTTCAGTGGGTGGGAGCCGGGTTGTCTGGTTTGAGCACCTGGGTGAACAGAGGAGTCAGCAAGTAAAAGAGGGAAGAAATAGTTTGGTGGGGGAAATCAAGTGTTACACTGACAATGTGTTACATTAGAGATGTTTATAAGACATATACATGGAAATGTATTGTATATACAAGACCAAAGTCTGAAAAGAGTGAGGTGGAGATAGAAATGTGGGCACCTCAGCTGGGCGCAGTGGTGTGCTCCTATAATCCCAGCTACTCGGGAGGCTGAGATGGGAGGATGGCTTGAGCCCAGGGAGGTCGAGGCTGCAGTGAACCACAACTGCACCACTGTACTCCAGCCTGGGCAATAGAGTGATACCCCATCTCAAAAAAAAAAAAAAAAAAAAAAAAAAACAAGAAGAAGAAAAGCAAAAGAAATGTCATATTTGGGGGAAAAAAAGGAAGAAAAGAAATGTGGACACCAACAACATATAAATGGTAATATATAAGTGGTCTTAAAGCCAATAGGCCGGATGAACTCACCTACGGCAAGAGTGCAGAAAGTGAAGCAGAAGGAGCTCTGAAGAAACCCAACACTTACAAGTTGAGTAGAGGAGGAAGAGCCAGCTAAGAGAATGAGAAGAAACAGCCAGAGGCAAAAGGAAAACCTGAGCAGGGTCACAGAAGCCAAAGAAGAGTATGTTTCTACAAGGAAAATGTGGACAAGTGTCCAACGTTGCTGAGAGACATGTGACATGCAGGTGGCCCTGACAAGAGTAATTTCAGTGAAGCGATGATCAAGGCAGATCAACCCACACCTCACCCTCCCTGCCCTATCAACATGGCTTATCACTTCTTTGCTTCTTTTTCTTGGGTCTTTCAGCATCTATTCCTGCCTTCGTCAACTCTTTATCAAATTCAAACTTCCCTAGAGAAAGGTTCTGCTGGAACAGCATTTCACTCTCTTCTCTGTTGGGTAGAAGCTCTGGGCCACATTATATCTTGCCTATAGATGGGATGATCTTGGGTCACGGAGTCACCCAATCCGTCACGTGAAACCAGAACACACGTACCACATGACATCCATTAGAAGGGGGTGTCTGGATATAAAGGGGCAGTCTAAGTCCTGGCCTGTTTCCAACACACTTTACAAATACTTAAATCAAAGACCAATGAACACTTTTAGTGATGAAAGTCTAAGGAAGCTTATAAATTCTAGGCAGTTTACTTTTTCTTAACTTGGGATGGATATCCAGATGTTCAATATATCACTGTTTTTTTATATATTACAATTAGTTTACAAAAATTATTTATAATCTTTCATTTAGATAATACATTGAAGACTAACAATTTTTGGAGGAAAAACTACAAAGGCAAAGAAGAACTGTTTATAGGTATGAAGTCACAACATTTAACACACTTAATGATTTACAGAAAAACACTGCCTAGAAGTGGCTTTTAAAACTTTTATGATAAAATATTAAAAAACATAAGATAGTTTTTTTAAATAGCATGCATTCATGCCCTATTAAAAAGAAGGAAAAAGTTTCCATCCAAAAATATTCAGGCCCTATAATTTTAACCCACAGGAAAGCCAAGCTAAAATGAAAAAACATTCAAAGGGAAGTTTACAGTGGAAACTCTGACAAATGCTTAACTACAGTGTCATGAACAGCACTGCTATTGTATGCATGTCTATATATTCAAACATGAATACATACATTCTTCATTTCAATTCATGGCCATAAAAATAGAGGATTATGATACTTAAATCTTCTATCTGTCATTGATAAACCTAAACAACAACAAAAAAAGTAAAAGCATTAACACAAGCTGGAGTCAGAATATTCCACAAACAATGCCCTCACATTTGAAAGTAGGAAGAATGCTAACTTAAACCTGTATAATGCTCGAGTTTTTCAAGCTTTCTCAAAATGTATTATTTCTTCTTCTTTTTCCCCCCCTTTTGCTTTTTGTTGTTGTTGTTGTTCTCATGGAAGGCACAACACTGGATCAAAATGAGTTATTTCATTTAATGATCCTACCAACCCAGTGAGCTAAGCTGGCTAGGTTTGATACTCACTTTGCAATTGAAAAACCCAAATTCACCAAAGATAAATGCTTTGCTCAAAAGTATATTTCAGTAACAGAGATTATATTCAAGTACATATCTTATAGGCTACAAAAAGACCACTCCTCCTTCCGCTAAAGTTTATATTATTAATAACATATCCTTTAATAAGGAGGCTTCAAATCCCTGCTCAATCAGTTCAAATATCACATACCATACTCTGACTTCTAAATCAGACTCTACTGTCCACCCAACTAATAGTTTTATTAATCAATCAATGATTAGTAGTTTTTAGGCATTCAATGCCCTACTATATGGATGTATTACCAGCACAGAGAACCCTATACTGCTGGTGATCACTGTTCTTCTATCCTTAGATTTTTAAGGCCTTTAGATCCATTAACAATTAGTAATCATAAAATCATCTATAAATTACTTATTCATGACATTCACAGATAGGATCACATATTTAACACAAACTTAACTGAATAAGAAGCTACTTTATTATACCTGACTAGTGTCCACTAACAGCTGAAAACTAAGAACAAGAGGAAGCACTTAGACTGTAGAGTAGTAGAGTCTGTTTTATGACTTTACTACAAACGTACACACACACAAAATATGAATCCAATACATCTCCATTTCTAAATGGTGATTTACAAGGACCAAATCTCCACACCTCCCATTTAATTAGTGGGCTGTTCTCAGGAGTAGGCTTATAAAGGCCACAATACCTACTAAATATTTGGATTACAGCCATAGAGTATCAGCATCTGCATCATTTCGTAAAAAAAGAAAACCATTCTCATTAAAAAATTAAGACAGCATATAATACTACTACTACACCTACTATACATCTGCCTCAGCCAAACTCAATAGACCATCTAAAAGCAAATGTGCAATGTAGTAATATTAAATAATATAAATAACCACCATTTATTGAGTACTCAATACATTCCAGGAACTGCCAACCTGCTTTAATGATAACAACAACAAAAATTGCAGCTAACATTTATTGATCCTTGATAGTCAGCCAGGCAATGTTCTATGTGGTTTACAGAAATTATTTCACAACATCACACATTACAAATGGAGAATCCAAGATACATAGAGACTAAGTATTTCACCCAAGGTCATAATGGCAATTAAAAGAGGGGAGGGGAGAAGAGAAAAAAAGCAGTAATGGAGAAAGGAGATGGGAAGGAGAGGAGAAGAGGGAATAAGAAAAAAAAGGGAAAAACAAATTAGATATATTGCCTATAAAACTTAATTGCCAAATAAATGCAAATACTCATTTTAAGGAAGGTCCTTAAACCTTTTCAAAGAAAAGTATAAGGCAGCCATAAGGTTAAGGTTCTCTTATCTATACAATACAGGATCTTACTGAAAAAGCTCTTAATAAAAATGTACACTGAAGTGCTATCACTTCAGCAGCATATATACTAAAACTGGAATGATACAGAGAAGATTAGCATGACCTCTTTTAAGAGAAAAAAATTTAAATATATATATATAAAATTTTTAAATGTATACTGAAACTACAAATCCAAAAATCCACGAGAGAAACAATGAAGTCCAACTGATATTGCTCTTACACAAAACATGGACAAACAATTCAGCTTGGAGATCCTTCAAATATTCACTTGAGGCTGCTTTTCTACTTCAAATGGGGAAATAAAAATGACATAGCTTCAGTTAATACTTGGTCACCTGCTTAAACTACATATAAGAAACCAAGGAAGGGCAAATTGAATAAAGGTTTTTATGATGTGGATATCTATCCTGTAGAACTGAAAACAGACTATTTTCAAATGACTTGGGACACATCGAATGACAACTTGTGGTCCTCTGCAACCTAACATCTGGCCTCTTTTTGAGAACGGTGAAACTGAAACCCAGAGGTCTCAGTGAAACTTTTGGTTTCACAATTACTCAGGATCTCAAAGAGCTTTTTAAAAATATGGATTATATCTACCAATATTTACCACATTAAAATTAAAAATGGGAAAATTTTTAATATTTATTAATTCATTTCAATACAATTGTAAATATTTTTTAAACTACTTTAAACCACATTTTCCTCAAAAAAATGAGTGAGAAAAGTGGCACCATTTTACACTTTTATACATCTCTTTAACATCTGGCTTAATAGAAAGCAACTGGATTCTCAAAACCCACTTTTGCTTCAATTTCCTGCAACAGTACAGGTAATGCAGATTCTGGAAAACACGGTCATGGGAGAGGGAAAAACATATAATGTCTTAAGTATTACTATAAAATTAGTTTTGACCTCACAGACCCCTGAAAAGGTCTCAGGAACCTTTGGGGATCCCCAAAGCATGCTCTGAGAACCACTAATCTAGGATATGAAGTACACACTGAGAAACCATGAGAACCTGGCTCCAATGCTGACTTACCCTGAGAGGAGATTAAGTCACTTAACTTCTCTAGATGCCAATCTCCTTCTCAATAAAGAAATCATTGGCCGGGTACGGTGGCTCATGCCTGTAATCCCAGCACTTTGGGAGCCTGAGGCAGGCAGATCACTTGAGGCCAGGAGTTCGAGACCAGCCTGGCCAATATGGTGAAACCCCCATCTTGTACTAAAAATCCAAAAAAAAATTAGCCAGGTATGGTGGTGGACGCCTGTAGTCCCAGCTACTCAGGAGTCTGAGGCATGAGAAATGCTTGAACCCAGGAGAAGGAGGTTGCAGTGAGCTGAGATCATGCCACTGCACTCCAACATGGGTGACAGAGTGAGACTGTTTCAAAAAAAGAAAGAAAGAAAAAAATCATTAAGAACAATACCTATCTCCAGTCTGTTATTCCCAGATTTCATAATAAAGATGAAAACACACAGAGATACACTCTGAGCTCTCTGGAAGATTAACTTCTATATAAAGTCAACTTCCAGGGCCTCTCTCCCATGGTGCTGTGGGTGGGGGAGGAGGGGTGCTTTTCTCCTCAGCGAAGACTGGAGGCAGACATCACCCCTCAAGGATCATCCTCAGAACTGCCACGTGCTGGACAGCCTTGTTTTTCTACCTCACACATTTACAGTAAAAAAAATAAATAAAGCCAACTTCTCAGGTACTATTCAGGTGAAAGCTTCACCTGCCTGTCCCTAAATATTCTAGCTCCGTTCACTTGGCACCTTGCTAAATGAACTGACTGGTTTGTTTGTCTACACTTAGAACAGACACTGAACAAAACATAACTTAAGTCTTTAGTACAATAAAGGTAAGAAGTGGCTGCCTGTTTAACTCAGTCTATGTAGCACCTAACACCATACTGACAACAAACTAAAATTCTTTTCAACAAATCTTAACTGAAAAGGATGATCTCTGAGAATGGGAGAACCTAAAAAAAAATTCTCACTGAATCCCAGTTAGTGAAATGAAACTGATGGAGAGGGAAGAACTAATATATGCAATAAAAGATTAGGTTAAACCATATGCAAGTGCCAGTTTTATACATCAAGATGGTCAAATATTGGAAATTTCATCTGGTTCAACCTAAAAGAATGCCTTATTTTGTTAACACTCAGACTAACAGTGTTAAGGCACCAAAGGTCGCTACTCAAATTTGAATGCATACATAGTAAAACTTTCCACAAAGAATTTTTGCTTTGTTTTTCCTTTTTGTAATATAAATATTAAAATATACTCAAAAGTAGAAAGGACAGTATAATAAACCTTCACATACTCATCACCCAGGATCAAAAATTACCAACCTTTTACCAATCTTACTCCACAGATAATTTTAAGGAAATTCATTTCCACAGCCTCAATTTTCTTTTTCTTAAGAGTTGGGGTCTCGGCCAGGTGTGGTGGCTCATGCCTGTAATCCCAGCACTTTGGGAGGCCAAGGAGGGTAGATCATGGGAGGCCAGGAGTTCAGGACCAGCCTGGCCAACATGGTGAAACTCTGTCTCTACTAAAAATACAAAAATTAGCCAGGTGTGTTGGTGTGCCTGTAATCCCAGCTACTCGGGAGGCTGAGGTGGGAGAATTGCTTGAATCTGGGAGGCAGAGGCTGCAGTGAACCGAGATCACACCACTGCACTCCAGTCTAGGCAACAGAGCGAGACCCTGTCTCAAAAAAAACAGTTGGGGTCTTACTCTGTTACCCAGGCTGAAGTGCAGTAGAGTGATCATAGTTCAATGCAGCCTCCAACTCCTGGGCTCAAGGAAACCTCCCACCTCAACCTCCCAAGAAGCTGGGACTACAGGCACAAGCCACCATGCCCTGCTATTTTTTCAATTTTTGGTAGACATAGGGACTCACTTTCTTGCACAGGCTGGTCTCGAACTCCTAGTCTCAAGCGATCCTCCTTTCTCAGCCTCTCAAAGTGCCGGGATTACAGGCATGAGCCACTGTGCCTGGCCAGACTCCATTTTTTTATGTATTTCATCCTAAAACCACCAGCCTGAAATCTTGTCTGCAATGACACTGCAAATTCTTCTTTTTCAGCTTCCCTTTCAAAATCTTCCTTCTCTCACATTAAAAGGAGAAACACACCTGCTCACTGATCCCAAACCTTAGCACAGCTCACTTCCCTCCCTGTCACCAAACAAAGGGTCGGTTTGAGTGTTAAGAAAATAGCAACTGGAAAACAAATTCTTTTGCAAATCTAGTAGTTTATCTGCTTTCAACAATACTGAAGGAGGATCTAACCAATTGTCATCAAAAATAATTTTTGGTGGTAGATTGATTTTTGACACATAACTCAGAAACAGTTCAAGGGACTGAGTGATGCTGCAATAACAGAACACTTCCCATTCCTATCTCTTATTTATATAATTAGGATTTGTCAGTGCTCTATCACAATAAAAAAGAAAAGTATGAAATAGAATTGGCCGGGTGTGGTGGCTCACACCTGTAATCCCAACACTTTGGGAGGCCGAGGCGGGTGAATCACCTGAGGTCAGGAGTTCGAGACCAGCTGGCCAACATGCTGAAACTCCGTCTCTACTTAAAATTTAAAAATTAGCTGGGCGTGGTAGCGTGCACCTGTAATCCCAGCTACTAGGGAGGGTGAGGCAGGGGAATTGCTTGAATCCAGGGGGCGGAGGTTGCAGTGAGCCGAGATCGCACCACTGCACTCCAGCCTGGGCGATAGAGCAAGACTCCATCTCAAAAAAAAAAAAAAAAAAAAAAAATTGATGCTAAATCCCCATTCTGGCAATAATCAATATTCACCCATGTATGAAGAGCTCATTTATTTAATTTAAAAAAAGCCACAGTCCTATGCATTTCATTGAGATACATTTCCAATAACTATTTAATAGTTTTAACAATCATTTATCAAAATGTAATACCTTTATATTAGTTTGAATTATGTGATAATGGCAATGACAAATTCTGTTTACTTCTGAATTGAATTAACACAGCCTCATGGTCACAAGACATTTTAACTTTCTTTATTTTAAAATGATATATTTTTAAAGTATGAGAAGTATGAGAGGGTTATCGGTTAATAAGACTTTCGAGTCTAAAAATATTTTTTATTCTGACAAAATTCTGGAGTGAGTACAATGGAAATACAACTTCAACAAACAGTTAAAGAATTCATTCAATTTTTTAGAAGATGATGGTAGGAAACAAATTGCTGTCCACCAGTACCTTTAAATACATATATAAAAGTAATGCAACAGTTTAATTATTAAATGTCAACATTTTAAAATATCCTAGAAATTACACGTTATGCAACTATGTAAACATGTAGGAAAAAAACTTTTCAGAATCAATACAAAAAATACATTGTTTTACAAAATTCTTTCAAGCCTATATGAGCAAAAATGTTTGAAAACTGTTGGCATGGAGGCCGAGCACAGTGACTCATGTCTGTAATCCCAGCACTTTGAGAGGCTGAGGTGGGCAGATCACCTGAGGTCAGGAGTTCGAGCCTGGCCAACATGGTGAAACCCCGTCTCTACTAAAAATACAAAATTAGCCGGGCATGGTGGCGCGTGCTTGTAATCTCAGCTACTCAGGAGGCTGAGGCACAAGAATTGCTTGAACCCAGGAGGCAGAGGTTGCAGTGAGCCAAGATCGCACCACTGCATTCCAGCCTGGGTGACAGAGTGGGACTCCGTCTTGGAAAACAACAACAACAAAAAAAAACTGTTGCCATGAGTCACGCGTGATTTTAGCCTCTATTTAGATGGTATTCTGAAAACATGACCTTTGGTGAAATCTTTATTTATTTAGTTGTTGGGGTTTGGTTTACGCAAGAAAGGGGAGTAATATGAGAAGGCATGAAACACATCTGGCTGACTCCGACATCTGAAACTAATAAATACAGTAAACCAGACTGTTAACAAAACATTTTATCTGAATGCATAAAAATCTTAAAAAGTGTTTAATTATATTTACTTTTAAGTACCAAAACAAGGCATAGTCAGACAGCCCCTAGAAAATCTAACAGAATAACCTGTTCATCATCAGTTTAATTTACCCAAGGCCTACTGTGAGCTGGGCCCTCAACATACAAGTACACATTCCTTGAACAAATAATTTTGAGCATTTTCTAGGGCTCAGACACTGTTCTAGGTACCGACAATACCGCAGTGAACAAAAGTGACAAAGATTTCTGTCCTGCTGGAGTTTACACTCTAGCAGGATGCACAGATAATAAACATTAGAAATAAGAACATAATATAGGCCAGGCCCAGTGGCTCACACCTGTCATCCTAGGACTTTGGGAAGCTGAGGCAGGCAGATTGCTTGAGCCCAGGAGTTCAAGACCAGCCTGGGCAACATAGCAAGATCTCATCTGTACTTTAAAAATATAAATAAAATTTTTTTTAAAAAATCATACAGTATGTTGAAAACAGACAAGTGCAAGAGAAAAAATAAGCAGAGCAAGGAAAGGAACATGGGGAGGGGGGGTCACAGTTTTAAACAGAATGCACTCGCAGACATAAAGAAGATAGATATTTGCCTAATTATGACATCAGTGTGGTAAGTACTATAGGAGATTAAGGCTGTCAGTGGGAATGAGGAGGAGATACCTAGTTCTCCCTCAAAGAAGTAGTGATATCTGAGCCAACTCTTGAGAGAGCAAAAAGAAGGGGTTGGCCAGAATCACAAGAGGAAGAAGGGCTCTCCCAGCCAAGAGAATAAATAGCCCGTGCAGAAAGGGCACAGAGAGGTGCACGTACACAGCGCATTCACGGCAGGCAGCTCCCCATGAACTGGGAGGAGGAAAGAGGGCGCCACTAGAGAAAAGCTGGGCAGGTTCAGATCCGAGAGCTTCCATTTTCTGCTGTGGGGTCCAAGGGAGCACACTACCAGCTCCTGCAGGCAGCTCCATGAAAGGTGGGTCCACAGGGGCCACGCTAGAGACAGAGACGTATTGACATTCCCACAATAGGAAGAAAGGAAAGAGCAGAGCCGAGATGGGGGAAGGAGAGAGCAGCACAGACTCAAAAAGCTCCCGAGGCCAGGCATGGTGGTTCACACCTGTAATCCCAGCACTTTGGGAGGCCGAGGCGGGTGGATCACGAGGTCAGGAGTTCGACACCAGCCTGGCCAATATGGTGAAACCCTGTCTCTACTAAAAATACAAAAAGTAGACGGGACTGGTGGCGCGCGCCTATAGTCCCAGCTACTCAGGGGGGCTGAGGCAGGAGAATCGCTTGAACTGGTGAGGCGGAGGTTGCAGTAAGCCGAGATCACACCACTGCACTCCAGCCTGGTGACAGAGTGAGACTCCACCAAAAAAAAAAAAACTCCCAAGGAGTTAGAAGCAGAAAGATAAAGGGCCCAAAGCAATGAAGCTCAGGCCACAACAGAGATGATGGGGCCACTCCCTAAAGGCAGGAAACCTGTGAAAGGGACCGGACCAAGGAGTAGCTGGAAATACAAGTCTGGACTGGAGAAAATTTTCTAGCCTGGAGATACAGACTAAAAAGCCTGAGAGGGGAAACTGAAGGCATCAGAATGGATATGATCGATCTCTTTCTTTCTCTTTCTCTCTCTCTCTCACACACACACACACACACACACACACACACACACACACAAAGAATCGTATCAAGTGTAAAGAAGAACACCAAGGACTTCTAAGCATTTCCTTTTTCAGAATGAACTTGCTCACATGAACACTATTATTAGTATTTTTTTCATCTGTCTTAAGCATACACTGTGTCAAACACCCACAAATATTCAAAAGCAAAAAAAGCAACTTCTTAAGAATGAGGCAATGACAAGAACGAGGCTATTACAGATAACTTTTGGAACCACAAGAAACAAAATTATAATTCAAACCAAAGAGAAGTATTCTGAACCTACTGAAAAAATTGGGAAGGCCAGACACAGTAAGTTCTAAGTCTAGGCCAGGTATATTTTCAAAGTCCTTCACACTTTCCTTAAGCTAGCAAAAGATATGGAGAGGTTCAAAAACACTATCAGGGCACCACAAAGTTTGATTTTTATGGCCTAATATTTTAGTAATTCACAATAAAAACACATAAGCCAATAGTATCTTGTAAATTTACAGGAATCCTAAGCAGCAAAGAACTACCCACAAAAAACAAGTTTGCTCATCTTTCCTGAGAGGTTGCACTTTCAACAATACTTCTGTATTAAGGAACAATGCAACAGCACTCTTATTTTAAAATTAAATAGTTTTTCAGCACTTTAAGAAAAGAAAAATAAACACCTCTGAAGCAATTAATATATTCAAATTCAACAGTCATTTCTTTCAACAGCTTTTTTACTTGTATTGTTTTCACAAAAGTAAATGTTCTATCCAAAAGAAACATCAATTTCTTTTACAGAAGTTTAGCCTGTTATCTAATTCACAAAAGAACTGCTACTGCTATACTCATTTAAAAAAAAAAAAAAAAAAAACATACTGGCAACAATATGAATTAAGATATGTGAATACCCTCTTCCATTTTATTTTATTTTATGTATTTTAGAGACAGAGGTCTCACTATGTTGCTCAAGCAGGTCTCGAACTCTTGGCCTTAAGCAATTTTCCTGCCTCAGCCTCCAGAGTAACTGGGACTACAGGCACTAAGCCATGGTTTGTTTTTTTTGTTCGTTTTTTGGGGGGTTTTTTTGAGACGGAGTTTCACTCTTGTTGCCCAGGCTGGAGTGCAACAGCACGATCTCGGCTCACCACAACCTCTGCCTCCCAGGTTCAAGCGATTTTCCTGCCTCGGCCTCCCGAGTAGCTGGGATTACAGGCATGTGCCACCACGTCCGGCTAATTTTGTATTTTTAGTAGAGACGGGGTTTCTCCATGTTGGTCAGGCTGGTCTCGAACTCCCAACCTCAGGTGATCCACCCGCCTCGGCCTCCCAAAGTGCTGAGATTACAGGCATGAGACACCGCGCCCAGCCAGCCATGATTTTTTTAAGGTAGAGAAAAATAAAAGTCTGCAAGTGTTTTCACTTCTAGTAATTCATAAGAATTAACACTATTATCTTTGTCATTGTACATATACTGACAAACTTTTTTTTTTTTTTTTTTTTTGATACTGAGTCTCCCTCTGTCACCCAGGGCTGGAGTGCAGTGGTACGACCTCAGCTCACTGTAACCTCTACCTCCCAGGTTCAAGTGATTTTCCTGCCTCCACCTCCCAAGTAGTTGGGATTACAGGCATGCGCTACTACGCCCAGCTAATTTTTGTATTTTTAGTAGAGACAGGGTTTCACCATGTTGGCCAGGCTGGTCCCAAACTCCTGATTTCAGGTGATCTGCCCACCTCGGCCTCCCAAAGTGCTGGGATTATAGGCATGAGCCACTGCACTGGCCGACAACAAACGTTTTTGATGGCGAAGTCCCCTAAAGGCATTTCCTCTAAAAAATGTACCCTAATCCCATTTTAAAGTTCTAGGTCCTCTTTTCCCAATTCCCACTTCTCTCCTCCCCTCTCCTGATTTCTCCTCCCCCGACCCCACCCATCTTTCTTTCCCCATTACACACACACACACACACACACACACACACACACATCCTTTAAACATTTCTACCAGGGAGCAATTTTTCTTCATGATGCTCACAAGTAGAAACATTTGCACAAATGGTAGGTTCCCTAACAAATCCCAAAAGGAGCACTCTTTTCTGGTATAAGTTACACACACATTCATACATAAATATCTATTATGTATATAGGCCAGTATTCTTACTTTGAAATGTATACTAAATTATATACACACTAGATACAAAATCCCATCACAAGTGTTTACCAATACCATCATTTGGGTTATACCAGAATATAAAGCTGCAAAACACATGTGGTCCACAGTACTCCACTGTTTCCCACCCTCCCATTTCCTTTCCTATCCTGTTCCTGCTTTCCTGCCTCCTTTTTCCCCACCATCCCGCATAAACTTTAAGTCCCAGTCTGTGGCTCAGCTAATCCCATGTCTAACCCCTGGTCTGTTAACTCTGAAGGCCCCTTTCCACTCCAGCCTTTCTCTCCAACCACCCTTAGAGGGTTCTCTCAAATGACACTTCTTTCATGAAGACTTTCCTGGCTGATTCCCTGAACCTGATGTGATCTCTCCCATCCTTTGAGCTGCAGGGGCCCCTCATTCACATCTCTCTTACAGCACTTAATTTGACTGCATGATGCAATCATATCTGCCCTCTTGAATTATATACAATTATATTTGCATCCCTGTAGTCCTATGAGACCAGCACATAACATGAATACAGCTGAACTGTCTCAAACCCACATGCTTCTGTAACAAATAATGTATTTCCAATACAGCTGTCCATAAACCCACATCTATACTCAGGCCCTCTAACAAGAATATTTCCTACCTTAGGAAGAATCTGAGAAAGTTATTTGTCGAGAAAAGTAACACAAAACCAGTATCCTAGTATTTTAACACATTGCCTCAATTTCCATAATGTCATATTACTTGAAAGTGAAAATAAACATTAGCTCAAGTTGTTAAGACATAAAATAAGAGAAATGTGATATAGTCCAGTAGGAAATCAGATTTGGAATTAGAACTATTATAATTTACCACCCCCCCCTCTTAAATTCCTCTTGTCTTTTTCTCCAATGCTCCTAAACATTGTTGCTAGTAACACCAACAGATGTTTTGCTTCTTCAGGTGAATAGTTTGGAGAGGAGAAGCTTGAGAATGGTTAAAAAGAAGGGAAGTGAAAAGTGTGGATAAATGGATGGGGTCAATGCCAACGATGTAGGCATTTCGAAATCAATCTAATGATTTCTGAAAAGCATTCAGAGACTGCTATATAAGCCTGAGAGGTATATCTATGTTTTGAGGGTCTTAACAAATTTGTAATTTTAGTCCTTTCTATACAAATTAGTGTTTCACCTTTCAAAACATCTTTAAACCCAGTAATAATCTCAATCGTGTATGCTCTATGTATTTCCTCTGTCAAAGAATACTTCCTCTTATTTCTACAACTCAACAACACTTAATTTCAGGATTCCATCCTCACATTGATCATCTCAACATAATCACTTTTTCTTAATTTTCCTCTCAGATTCAGTCCAAATATTCTTTTCTCAGGTGACTCCAACTGCTTTATTACAGTACCATCAAGGTTTTAGTAACTTCCTCTTCTTTATTTGTCTTTCACATGGTCTCAACTGCTTCCTTATATTCTCCCTCATGTCTCCAAAATAAAAAATGACATGAAATGAGACACAAAACTGGGAAGCACCTTTTACATTATACTGTATTACATAAATATTTTATTTCTATTATTCGCTCTCATGTTTTTGCTTCTTTCCACCCCATCTCACCCACACACCTACTTAGGACAATTTCTTCCAAACGCTTTCCTGCTAAAGGGCACTGCTTGCTACTTAGCAGGCATTTAATAAATATTCTTTCAGTGAATGATTTTTTTTTTTTGAGACAGGGCCTTGCTCTGTTGCCCAGGGTGGAGTGCAGTGGCACAATCATTGCTCACTGCAGCCTCAAAATCCTTGGTCCAAGCAATCCTCCCACCTCAGCCTCCCAAATAGCTAAGACTAGAGGCGCACACCACCATGCCTACCTAATTTTTGTTTTATTCTTTTTGTAGAGACAGGGTCTTGCTATGTTGCCCAGACTAGTCTCAAACTCCTGAGATCAAGCAATCCTCCCACTTTGGCCTCCCAAAGTGCTGAGATTGCAGGTGTGAGCCACTGTACCCAGCCGTGTGAATGATTTTAAGAGAATCCCCTAGACTCTATAATTCCTTCTAAAAAATTCCCAAAAAAGGGCCAAGCATTGTGGGTCATGCCTGTAATCCCAGCACTTTGGGAGGCTGAGTTGGGCAGATCACTTGAAGTCAGGAATTTGAGACCAGCGTGGCCAACATGGCAAAACCCCATCTCTACTAAAAATACAAAAATTAGCCTGGCGTGGTGGCGCATACCTGTAGTCCCAGCTACTCGGAAGGCTGAGGCAAGGGAATTGCTTGAACCCAGGAGGCAGAGGTTACAGAGAGCCAAGATCGCACCACTGTACTCCAGACTGGGCGACAGAGCAAGACTCCATCTTAAATAAATAAATTAATTTAATTAAATATAAATATAAATATAAATTTAAAAATTCCCAAAAAGACTTTCATGAAAGCTATCATGGAACTGTGTTACCCAACTACATGACCAAAAAGACCTAAAGAATCTAAGCAACTTTAATTTCTGGTTTTACAGATGAAGAAATGGAAACCCAGAGGCGTTAACTGACTTATCCAAAATCACACAGATGGTTAACGACAGAACCAGAATTAGAATCCAGGTCTTCGAACCTCTTTACTTTTGTGTACTATTGGTGGTATTGGATTTTTGGTTTTGTTCTTGCTTTGATTTAATTACTTTTTGCATTAATTTGGGGGGGTAGTTTATTTCTGATTTTAAAAATAGTATAGGCTCACCAAAGAAGATTTGGAAAGTAAAAAATGAACATAGAAAACTGCTAATTCACTTTTCAAGTACCACTGCCTCTCACATACCCTCACTCAACACAAACTATTTGTCCCAAAACTCTTCTTCATGGATTTATATAGCCCCATACTCAATGTTGGTCACCAAATACCATAATTTTTGTTGTTGTTGTTGTTGTTTTCTTTTTTTTTTTTTGAGACAGAGTCTCACTCTCACCCAGGCTGGAGTGCAGTGGCCCGATCATGGCTCACTGCAGCCTTGACCTCCCAGGCTCAAGTGATCCTCCCACCTCAGCCTCCCAAGTAGCTGGGACTACCGGTGCAGACCACCATGTCCAGCCAATTTTTGTATTTTTTGTAGAGATGGGGTTTTGCCACATTGCCCAGGCTGGTCTTGAACTCCTAAGTTCAAGCAATCTGCCCTCTGGCCTTCCAAAATGCAGGAATTACAGGCATGAGCTGCTGCGCCCAGCCAATACCAAAATTCTTAATTTTAGGTATCAACAAGCTTCCTGATGACACCAAGATTTAGAACGTTTCTATCATGGTATGTCAGAATTCAAGTACAAGTCATCTTCCTTTTCTCTGAGTGATGCCTTTCTCAGCTACATTATCTATGTTTAAAGAATACATGGAACTAGAAAACTGGCACACGCACAGCCACAAATCCAATGAAGTCCAGGCCAATTTATATCATTACCTACAATGCTGAAACATGATATATTTTGAGTATCTTAAAAACAAGTAGCTGAGGTAAGCAACTATAAACATATTTTTTTCCTTAAATTTTATGTATATGTTAGTATATGAATACCTAAGTCTGAATGACCTCTAGCTAATAAGTAGTAAAATTCTTGCAGAGTAGAAGAACTAGGCCGAATAAAATTGTGCTAACCAATATAGCAGCCACTAGCCACATATAACTACTGAGCACTTGGGAAATATGACTAGTCCTACCTAGTCAATAAATGGTGCTGGGAAAACTGGCTAACCATATGCAGAACGAAACTCGACCCCTACACCTTTCACCATATACAAAAATTAACTCAAAATGGATTAAGGACTTAAATGTAAGATCTCAAAACTATAAAAATTCTAGAATAAAACGTAGGAAATATCATTCTGGAATGCAATAAAATCAAAAGTTGACAAGTGGAACCTAATTAAACTAAAGCACTTCCGCACAGTGAAAGAAATTATCAACAGAGTAAACAGACAACCTACAGAATGGGAGAAAATATCTGCAAACTACACATCTGATGAAGGACTAATATCCAGAATCTAGAAGAAACTCAAACAAATCAACAAGAAAAAAACAACCCCATTAAAAAGCGGGCAAAGGACATGAGCAAACACTTCTCAAAAGAGGACATACAAGCAGTCAACAAGCCTATGAAAAAATGCTCACTATCACTAATCATCAGGGAAATGCAAATCAAAATCACAACGAGATACCATCGCACACCAGTCGGAATGAGTACTATTAAAAAGTCAAAAAATAACATGTTGGCAAGGTTGCAGAGAAAAAGGAACGCTCATACACTGATGATGGGATTGTAAATTAGTTCAGCCCCTATGTTAAGCAGTTTGGAGATTTCTCAAAGAACTAAAAATAGAATTACCATTTGACCCAGCAATTCCATTACCGGATATATACCCAAAGAAAAATAAATGGTTGTTCAACCAAAAAGACACCTGCACTCTCATGTTCATCATAGCACTATTCACAATAGGAAAGATATGGAATCAACCTTCAACAGTGGACTGGATAAAAAAAAAAAATGTGGAACATATACACCATGGAATACTATGCAGCATAAGAAGAATGAAATCACGTCCTTTGCAACGTGAATACAGCTGGAGGTCATTATCCTAACTGAATTAACACAGGAACAGAAAGCCAAATGCTGCATATTTTCACTTAAAAGTAGGAGCTAAACATTGGGTACACATGAACATAAAGATACGAACAATAAACACTGGGGACTTTAGAAGGGGGAAGCCAGGTGGCAAGGGTTGAAAAACTACCCACTGGATACTATGTTCACTATTTGGATAACAAGTTCAATTCGAAACCAAACCTCAGCATAGAGTGATATATTCATGTAACAAACCTGTACGTGGACTCCCTGAATCTATAATTTTAAAAAAAAAGCAGTATGACCAGTCCTTATTGAGATATGCTGTAAATATAAAATACACATGAGACTTCAAAGATGTAGTGTGAAAAAAAGAATCTAAAAATAGCTCATTTTTATATTGGTTACATGTTGAAATGATAATATTTTAGATATACTGAGTTAAAGAAAGTATATTATTAAAATTAATTTCAGACTGGGCACGGTGGCTCATGCCTATAATGGCAACACTTTGGGAGGCCAAGGTGGGCAGATCACCTGAGGTCAGGAGATCGACACCAGCCTGGCCAACATGGGAAAACCCCGTCTCTGCTAAAAATACAAAATTAGCCAGGCATGGTGGCATGCACCTGTAGTCCCAGCTACTCAGGAGGCTAAGGCAGGAGAATCGCTTAAACCTGGGAGGCAGAGGTTGCAGTGAGCAGAGATTGCACCATTGCACTCCAGTCTGGGTGACAAGAATGAAACTCCATCTCAAAAAAATTAATTAATTAATCAATTTCTTCTGTTTTTCACTTTTTTAAAATCTGGCTACTAGAAAATTTAAAATTACATATGTGTCCTACATTTGTGGTATCATATTTTTATTGGGGAGCACTAAAGTAAGACAATAAAGGAAACAAAGGGGACAAAGAAACACATCAAGAAACAAAGGGGAAAACTTTCCACTCCCTAGGCCCTGGAAGAGCCCAGAAACTTTCTGTGTTCACAAAAGAAACCTAATAATTCTCTGTTCTTCAATAACCCGACCTACAGCTTACTACCTCTGAACAAGAATTACAGGTTTATCTTAAAAGCACACTGATTTTTTACATCTTTATATATACCTAATATGCTTAGCCTAAACCTAAATTGTCATGAAAAAGGAAGAAAAAATAATAATGCTTTATTTTCTAATAGGAGATCTTCCTTTTTATTCAAAAGGAGACTTACTTCATGAGACTTTCTGCACCAAGCAGCTGTTCTTCCCAGTTAAGGACTCAAAAATTCCTGTTTCTCTCTTACATGATGGTTGACAATGTAAAAAATTAAACCAAATATAAAGGTGGCCTTTAGAAAGGCTTCTACTAAACAAGCAGTATTCCATGTTATTATGGCTCTGAGGCCTCTTATAAAAATTTTTAAAGGGTCATAACAGGTTTAAATTAATCCCATGGAAAGAATCTGACATTTTAAAAGGATCTGATGACTCAAAACATTCTTTTGGACTCTCCCAGCCTCTTCACTGGAAATGCACTCAGGACAGTCATACCAGTTGGGTTTCTTGTATGATGGCACAGATCAAGTACAAACTTGAAATGTGGAATAAGAAGAGTTATCATAGGTTCTCCTTGATCATCAAGTGTTTTGTTTTTGTTTGTTGAATTTTTTTGTTTTGGTTTGGTTGGGAAGGATGGTGGCATGTGTGTGTTTTACTTTTGCATTTGAGTGGAAGGGGTACTTAACAGCAAAACAATGACAGCCAAGTCTTCCAGTCCAGGAATTACCAGGAGCCTTATCAGAACCAGAAATTGCGTCTTTAGACAACGTTTATAGCCTCATAGAAGATACCAGGCTTCACTTTGTCAAGCTCTACTAAATTGGCCTGCCTGTCCCTACCACTGAGCAAAACATGAAAAAGCTAGAAACAGCAACACAAAGTCAAGAGCAGCCAGCCGCTCTAGGCAAGGAATTCTGATCTACTAAAGGTGAGTGTGGCACGCAGCCATAAGAAATGGGGTAGAATCAGTTTAAGCAAAAGAATCATCAGATAGTTGTATGATAGAGCACCCTAACTCCTTTGTGTAAAGCACTGTTGATAGTCAGGCCCAGATAACTCTTTTTTGGTTTGGTGGGTTGTTTTTTTTTTTTAACCCCAAACTCCTGGGCTCAAGTGATCCTCCTGCCTCTGCCTCCTGTGTAGCTGGGACTACAGGCACTTGCCACCAAGCCAAGCTAATCAGATAACTATTTATTGTGAGCAGCTCTTCTGTGAACTATAGAATATTTAGCAGCATCCCTGGCCTGTCTGCCACTAGATGCCAGTAGCAAGTCCTTACTCTTTCCCGCTTCAATCCTCTCTCAAGTGTCACAACCAGGTCTCTCCAGACATTGCCAAATTACCGCGCGCGCGTGTGTGTGTGCGTGTGTGTGGTGGGGGGAGGGGGAGGGGAGCAAAAGAACCCCTAGGTGAGAATCATTGGTAGAGAGCAAAAACACCAGAAACAGTTGTGACAGCAGCTAAATAAAGGCTGCTTACACTGTATCCAGTGTGACAAACTGTACTCAAGCTGTTAGTTTTGCACATGTGGCAAGACATATTTCTGACAAAATTTCTGATATTACTAAACATGAAGGATAACAATATAATGAAGTACTCTAGGAATATTAAACAGGTGAGCTTCAAATGACACAGGATTCTTAAATCACTGTGGAAGTGATGCTATCTGCCTCACTAACTAATTTAGCTTGTAAACTTTTAAAAATAAGATTAACCAGTAATGATGGTCAAGTATTCAGATGATGTTCCAACTCCTAAAGTCGGGTTACTTGTTCTTTTTAAAATTATAGCTTTAAATTTTAACTGTTTAAACTGTAGGAAGAAGGTATTCTCAAATACTCTACTAGAAATGTAAAACGCAACGTCTAAAGCAATTTAGCAGCACCTACCAAGGCTTTTATTTTTTACCCAGAATTCCACTTTTAAGAATGTATCCTATAGACATACTCCCCTATGTGAACACAGAGATATGTCTTAAGTAGCTCCCCACCAGCGTTGTTTACAACAGCAGTAAAATAAAAATGCTCCAGATGTTATCAATAAGAAAGTGGTCTTAAGTAAGTAACTACTTATTCATACCTTAGAAGACTGTACCGCCATTTATTTATTTATTTATTTATGAGACAGAGTCTCACTCTGTTGCCCAGGCTGGAGGGCAGTGACACATTCTCAGCTCACTACAACCTCTACCTCCTGGGTTTAAGCAATTCTCCTGCCTCAGCCTCCTGAGTAGCTGGGATTACAGGTGTGTACCACCACACTCGGCTAATTTTTTGTATTTTTAGTAGAGACAGAGTCTTACCAGGTTGGCCAGCCTGGTCTTGAACTCCTGACTTCAGGTGATCTGCCCCTATTAGCCTCCCAAAGTGCTGGGATTACAAGCGTGAGCCACCGCGCCCGGCTGTACAGCCATTTAAAAAAAAAAAAAAGACAACCAAAAAAAAATGACAAACTTTTCAGTAGGAAATGAAACATTCACAGAGGCCAACATGGTGGATCATGCCTGTAATCCCAGCATTTTGGGAGGCTGAGGTGGGTGGATTACTTGAGCTCACCAGTTCAAGACATGCCTGGACAACATGACAAAATCCCATCTCTACAAAAAATACAAAAACTAGCCAAGCATGGTGGTGCGTGCCTGTAGTTACCTAGCTACTTGGGAGGCTGAGATGGGAGGATGGCTTGAGCCCAGGGGGCGGAGGCTGCAATGAGCCAAGATCACGCCACTGCACACCAGGCTGAGCAATAGAGCCAGACCTTATCTCAAAAAACAAAAAGCAAAAACAAAAAGGCCAGGCATGGTGGCTCATGCCTGTAATCCCAGCATTTTGGAAGGCTGAGGCAGGCGGATCACTGGATGTCAGGAGTTGGAGACCAGCCTGGCTAACATGGTGAAACCCCGTATCTACTAAAAATACAAAAATTAGCTGGCCCAGAGGCATGCACCAGTAATCCCAGCTACTTGGGAGGCTGAGGCAGGACAATCACTTGAACCCGGGAGGAGGAGGTTGCAGTGAGCCAAGAACGCGCCACTGCACTCCAGCCTGGGTGACAGAGTGAGACTCTGTCTCAAAGACACACACACAAAAAAATTCATAAAAATATATATAGTGAGAGAGAAAGAGTACAGTACTATTTTTATAAAAATAAACATGTCTGGCCAGGCACGGTGGTTCACGCCTGAAATCCCAGCACTTTGGGAGGCTGAGACGGGCAGACCACTTGAGGTCAGGAGTTAAAGACCAGCCTGGCCAACATGGCAAAACCCCATCTCTACTAAAAATACAAAAAAAAAAAAAAAAATTAGCTGGGCAATGTGGTGACCTGTAATCCCAGCAACTAGGGAGGCTGAGGCAGGAGAACTGCTTGAACCCGGGAGGCAGAGGTTGCAGTGAGCTGAAATTGTGCCACTGCACTTCAGCCTGGGTGACAGTGCAAGGCTCCATTTAAAAAAATAAAGTAAAATAAACATGTCTACATATATGTATATGTAGACAAAAAAGTCTAAAAGAATATATACTAATTTCTTTTCTTTTTTTTTGGCAAGCATTTTTGGGGTTTTTTTGTTCATTTTTTCAAGAGAGGATCTCTCTCTGTAACCCAGGCTGGAGTGCAGTGGTGCAATCATGGCTCATTGCAGCCTCAACCTCCTGCGTGCAAATGATCCTCCTGCCTCAGCCTCCCAAGTAACTGAGAAAACAGGCATGTACCACCTTGCCCAGCTAGTTTCTTTGATTTTTGTAGAGACAAGGTTTCCCTATGTTGCCCGAGCTGGTCCCAACTCCTGGGCTCAAGCGATCCTCCCGCCTCAGCCTTTCATAAGCGCTGGGATTACAGGCGTGAGCCACCATGCCCAGCCAAGCATATGGTTAAGCCATCTACAGTATTTTTCAAGACCAAGACTTAAAAACAATTTGCACTGTTCATTTTACATATTAAGTGTTGAAGATTTTTTTTGTTAAATATCACTACTTCTATAAATCATGCTTTGTGGATTATTCTGCATCATACACTGGGATGTATTGGTGTTCACCGTTTATCCAGCAACATTATTCCAACACTGCTTGAGCCCTCAAGAGTGAGCCACTTGGCCAGGCACAGTGGCTCATGCCTGTAATCCCAGCACTTTGGGAGGCCAAGGCAGGCAGATCACCTGAGGTCAGCAGTTAGAGACCAGCCTGGCCAACATAGTAAAACCCTGTCTCTACAGGCTGAGGCACAAGAATCGCTTGAACCTGGGAGGCGGAGATTGCAATGAGCCAAGATCACGCCACTACACTCCAGCCCAGGCAACAGAGTAAGACTCTGTCTCAAAAAAAAAAAAAAAAGAGTGAGCCACTTAAGGCTTAATTAAATTTGCCAAACCAACCTCAAAGAGTTAAGAAACCTCATCCAGCTCGCCTCTTGAACCATAACCCATCAATAACTAAGAACATATACAGAGGGAAATAGTTCAATTTAGAACATTGTTTTAATAAGTGTTTACAAAGTGCTTAATAAACATGTAATTTATAGTTTAATTTAGCAGAATCTCATCATATGCAGTCAAATTTAAATGATTCTAATTTTCCTTTTCAATTTATTGATCTGAGTAATCAAAACTAATGGATGTGATTTTTCTTCTCCGACTTAAATCTTAAAAGAATAAGCAAAGAAGCCAAATGCCTGAAAGACTGACAGAAATAAAAATTAATAAAAATTAAAATCTCAATTCTAGATTTGGAATAACAAACTATTTTATCTGGGTACACAGTTTAAAAAAAAAAAAAGGTAGTTTTCCAAGAATTTTTCTGGTTCTAAAATACACAGGCAGAGACACACTTCAAATCAAAATGTCAGGCACTCACCATAATAGCTATGGCCTTTAAACCACCCCAGTACCCCTCCCCCTGCCCACAGCTCTAGCCAGTTTAACTGCTTTTAAATGGAACATTCTAAATTGCTAAAAATAAACTATCTCTATTTCCTCCTGCTTAAGTTTTCCCATTTTCCCATGACATTTTAACCTTTATTCAGGCAGTTATGATCACAAACATGCAATACCTATATGATACCATTTCTAACCATTTTATATACAGATGCATAAACGTATGACAGTATTTCCTTTCCCTTCAAAAAACAACATGGCAAAATAACTTGCAAGATCTCTAGCCAATTAAGAACCCTGGATCTGAAGACTGACTCCGTGGGATTTCATAAAACTTGGCTCCCCATCAAAAGGCCACAATTACTCTTTCTTGACTACAAGCATCATCTCTGGATTATCCACACCTCTTCCATCTCCAAAGATAACTAAAAAAATACAGGGTAACTAAATGAGTATAAAAACACATGAACCTGGCCAGGTGCAGTGGCTCCCCCCTGTAATTCTAGCACTTTGGGAGGCAGAGGTGGATCACCTGAGGTCAGGAGTTCGAGACCAGCCTGGTCAACATGGTGAAACCCGTCTCTACAAAAAACACAAAAATTAGCCGGACATGGTGGCACATGCCTGTAATCCCAGCTATTCAGGAGGCTGAGGCAGGAGAATCGCTTGAAACTGGGAGGCAGAGGTTGCAGTGAGCCAAGACTGTACCAGTGTGCTCCAGCCTGGGCGACAGAGGGAGACTCCATCTCAAAAAAACAAACAAACAAACAAAAAAAAACAAACACAAAAAACACATGAACCTGCTCAAGGTTTATGCAGAAAGTGGAAAGGTAAATCAATGATTAATGCAAGATGTCATACAACATCCTCCTTTAATGGCCAGAAGCATACTCACGTTAGTGGCATCACCTGGCATCACACTTCTCTACTGTTCAATATTTCTATTATAATATCAATAAATCTCATTTTCTTATTCACTTAGAATAATACATTTGGTATGTGGTGAACTTCTGGCAATAACTGAATTTAGTTCCTACAGCTTATGTCTTATTTTGAGCATGATGTCAATTCAGTCAACAAAACTAACCATCTTATCAGAAATGAACTTAATATCTCTTCTTTGTAATTTAGAGAGCTTTTTCAGGTAGTATCAACCAAGTCTTGAGGGATTTTTAAAATGTTTGTTTTTTTCTTGAGACTTAAGGTCCTAAAGACAAACAGTGTGGTTTTTATTCAGTGAAAAAGCAAAGATTGCTTAAATTCTCTAAGTTCTACTTACAAAAGAAACTACAAAATATATGCATGCTTTTAAACAAATGTATACTATCAGGTTGACCTCTCTGTCCACTTCACTAACCTCTTGACATCATTTCTTTTCTTTTCTTTTTTTCTTTTTAAGTCTACATCATGCTTTGCTTGACATGGTTTTAGAAAAGGATGTTTTTCAAGTTTTGTGTGTATGAACCTTTGGAATGTTTTTAAGTGTCTTGGATCTTCATTAATATCACTAAAGAAAATACAATAACAAAACATTTTTATGAATTCAGGAAGTACTTTTAAGTAATTTTTTTTTTTCCCAGACAGGGTCTCACTCTGTCACCCAGGCTGGAGCGAGATGGCACAAACATGGCTTACTGCAGCCGCGACTTCCCCAAGCTCAAGTAATCCTCCCACCTTGGCTTAACAAAGTGCTAGGATCACAGGCATGAACCACTGATCCAGCCTTAAATAATTCTTCATTAGTCACAAATCCCTATATACATCTGAAAACACCAGTACAAATCAGTCTGCAGATAGGGGTTCATTTGGATAATCAAATCCCTTATAACAACTTCATATACCTCTCCAGCATTCGTGGCCCAAAATTAGAAACCACTGGCAGAGACTATGAAATATAAAACTGCCTAGTTACAAGCAGAATGGCTCTTTAAAGTAAATATTAGGAATCGTAAGTGAAAATTTATTGTGTGTCAGGTACCAATGTTTTCCCACTATAAAACTGTATTTCCAAATTTAAAATCAAAATTAGTCATGAAAATCATTTATATATGCACGTTTACTTCATCACAGGCAATTTTTAAGAAATGCAGCTACTCATAAAAAGGCCCCAGGACATACTGGAACACAGAATGTGCCAGCTTCCATTTCCACCACCAAAGAGAGAAGGTTGGTTTTGGTTTGAGCTCCACTACCCAACCAGAGTATCTGTAACTAAAACCTTAATACAATTTTGAACATATCACAGGTCAGAGCTGCCTAAAAGAGAGAAAAATATATATGACAGCAGAAATGTAAAAATACAAATCATAAAATAGCCACCTCACTGTGAAACTAGAAGGGCTATGGCAGTAATAAGGATGAGAAAAAGAGCAGCAAAAACACAAATTTAGAGATTTCTCTAAATTAATCAATATTTGGTAGTATCTTGTTATTATGAGAAATAAGGCTGGGTGCAGGGGCTCACACCTGTAATCCCAGCACTTTGGGAGGCCGAGGTGGGTGGATCACCTGAAGTCAGGAGTTCGAGACCAGCCTGGCCAACACGGCAAAACCCGTCTCTACTAAAAATGCAAAAATTAGCCAGGCGTGGTGGCACTGCGTGCCTGTAATCACGGCTACTCGGGAGGCTGAAGCAGGAGAATCACTTGGACCTGGGAGGCAGAGGTTGTACTGAGCTGAGATCGCACCACTGCACTCCAGCCTGGAAGAGAGACTGGGATTCTATCTCAGAAAAAAAAAAAAAAGAAAGAAACCAAGGAATTTTTGCTCTGGATAAGCCCCAAGAGACCATCTATTCTAGTCCAGTTGTCTCATTTTACAGATGAGGAAACTGGCCCAAAGAACTTAAGTGGCTTGCTCCGGGTCATTCAGCTGACTGGTAGCAAGTCCTGATCCCAGATCTTCTGGTTCCTAGCCCAATATCTCCAGTTTTTTGTCTGGTATTTCACAATCCCTCTGCCACATCCTAATCTGGATTTGACTCATTATTTATGCTGAAAATTATTTGGACAATGTGTAACTATTGTAAACAGGTATTTCTCAAGCTTCATTTAACTATCCTGCACATCACTCAAATTAAACCTCAGCAGTTTTCCCATCTATAGAGGGGGTGGTGATGGGTATGTTTTGGGCACTATGAATTTTTCTTATAGGAACATATTGTCTCCCCTTTGATATTGAAAGTCTATGAGAAATAAATGTGTTTTTAAAAAATTAGTTTCAAAAGCAACTTTTCTTGAAATTCACTTTAATGAAAGTAAAACTTGGTTTTCAGAAACCGACGCCCTAGATTTATTTTGACTTTAACTAAATCAGATGGGTACATCACCTCTCATTCAAATAAATACACCAAGGTGCCAAATGAAGATGCATACTTACAATGCCAAATGCTGCAGTTCTTTTTACCAGCTAAGTCTTTGTGACAGGAAATCGTTTACATTGACTAAATTCTAAACTCAGGATTTAGGACAAAATAATAAAACTGATATGAATAATTGTTACATACTTGTATGGTTAACTGGTAATGACACAGAAACAGTAAATACCAATATGGAAGACCATAAATGAACCAATTAGAAATATGACAGATCCCTGGGTGGGCACAGCGGGCTTTGGGAGGCCACGGCAAGAGGATCTCTTGAGGCCAAGAGTTTGAGACAATAGAGCAACATAGATAGGCAATATAGCAAGACTGCCGTCTCTACAAGAAAATTTTTAAAAATTGCCAGGCATGGTGGTGCATCTGTGGTCCCAACTACTCAGGAGGCTGAGGCAGGAGGATCTCTCGAGCCTGGGATTTTAAGGTGGCAGCAAGCTATGATTGCACCACTACACAATCAGCCTGGGTGACAGAGTGAGACCGCATCTCTAAAAAAAAAAAGAAAAAGAAAAACTATGACATCCTAGCGTAACAGCAGCTAAAATTTATAGAGTACAAATTGGAGCCAAGTGCTTTCCACATGTTAACTCATTTAATTCTTACAACTCTACATCTACATACTATTATTATCTCCCACTTTACAAATCAGGAGACCAAGGTAGAGACAAATTAAATGACAAGTCCACAGTCAGACACTTGTAAGAGGGAGAGCCAGGATCTGCATAGAAAATGTTAATAAGGGCCGGGCGCAGTGGCTCATGCCTGTAATCCCAGCACTTTGGGAGGCCGAGGCGGGCAGATCACCAGGTCAGGAGATCGAGACTATCCTGGCTAACACAGTGAAACTCCATCTCTACTAAAAGAAATACAAAAAAAAATTAGCCGGGCGTGGTGGCGAGCGCCTGTAGTCCCAGCTACTCAAGAGGCTGAGGCAGGAGAATGGCGTGAACCCGGGAGGCGGAGCTTGCAGTGAGCCGATACAGTGCCACTGCACTCCAGCCTGGGCGACAGAGCAAGACTCCGTCTCAAAAAAAAAAAAAAAAGAAAATGTTAATAAGATATAATGATGGTGGAAATTTTACATCAAATGTCCAGAATAGGCAAATCCAGAGATACATACATAAAGTAGATTAGTGATTAAAGTAGATTAGTGATTGCCTGCAGCTGGAGAGAGAAGGTAGCGAGAGGAATGAGGAGTGACTGCTAATGGGCACAGAATTTCATTCTGAGGTGATAAAAATGTTCTAAAAATAGATTGTGGTGATGGTTATACAACTCTGTGAACATACTAAAAACTAATGAATTGCACACTTTAGATGAGTGAACTGTATAGTACGTGAATTATGTCTCAATAAAGCTGTTAAAAAATATGGTGGTGACATATATTCAAAACGGAACCATACTCAGCAATAAAAAGTGGAAAAGACAGTTAGTTGCCAGTATTAGGGGAAGCAATCTGAGTTCTCTATTTTTGCTACTTTGTCTAAAATTATTTCCAAATAAAAATTAGAGTTTTGTTAATTTTTTATTTTTTTGAGACACGGTTTTATTCTGTCAGCCTGGCTGGAGTGCAGTGGCGAGATCTCAGCTCACTGCAGCCTCCACCTCCAAGGTTCAAGCAATTCTTCTGTCTCGGCCTCCCGAGTAGCTGGGATTATAGGCACGCACCATCACGCCCAGCTAATTTTTGTATTTTTAGTTGAGATGCGGTTTCACCATGTAGGCCAAGCTGGTCTCAAATTTCTGGCCTCAAGTGATCCACCTGCCCTGGTCTCCCAAAGTGGTGGGATTACAGATGTGAGCCACTGCACCCAGCTGGAAGTTGTTTTTTTAAATGGAACCATCTACATAGCATGAAGCAGAGGGCACCAGACTTAGAGGCAGGAGGTGCTGCCCGGCCTCCTGACACCCCTAACTTCCCTTCTCGAAGTCCTGAGGGTGACAAGATTCATCCTGCTCAACACCTCACTTGCCATGAGGACCCCACAGAAGGTGGCATAATGAAAACACTCCCACTTGCCAGGATGCAGTGGCTCACGCCTGTAATCCCAGAACTTTAGGAGGCCGAGGCAGGCAAATCATGAGGTCAGGAGTTCGACACCAGCCTGGTGAAACCCCATCTCTATTAAAAATACAAAAATTAGCCAGGCATGGTGGTGTGTGCCTCTAATCCCAGCTACTCGGGAGACTGAGGCAGGAGAATTGCTTGAACCTGGGAAGCAGAGGTTGCAGTGAGCTGAGATCATGCCACTGCACTCAAGTCTGGGTGACAGAGCAAGACTCCATCTCAAAAAAATAAAAAAGAAAAAGAAAACACTCCCACCACAATACCCAAATGCCATCTATAGGAAGGATAAATATTACCATGTTGAAATTTTATAAAATTTTATAAAAGCAAATCTACCAGTAGAAAACTATCAGAAAAAGGTGTCTGAAAGCTCATGAAATATAGTAATAGTCAATAACTAGGCCGGGTGCAATGGCTTACACTTGTAATCCCAGCACTTTGCGAGGCCAAGGCAGGAAAATCACTTGTGCCCAGGAGTTTGAGACCAGCCTGGGCAACATAGCAAGAAACCTCATCTCAGAAACAAAAATACAAAGACAGAGGACTAGCACATTAATATTATGCACTGCACAACCTCTGAAGTTGCACATGGGAACCTTGAAAGATAACCAGTAAAGCAGTGCAATATACAGGAATGGTCCAATGAGCAATACAGACCATAAATAAAAAATTACATACTATAAGAGCCAAACAGGGAAAGTTAGCCATTTTTTTTTTAACTACTGTATGTACAGAGGGATTTTGGGAAAGGCATCATCAGAGTGAGCTAGACTAGACAAAGCTTCTTGGGAAGGCCTCCTCTTGAGCTGAGCCCTAAGGAGACAGAAGACGAATTTCCATCTTAGGAGGAATGAATAGAGCAAAGGCACTGAGGCCATTGAAGAACGTGGGGTGTGGAGTGACAGGCAGGAACAGGCCTCTATGTAGAGGTTAGAAACAAGCACTATGACACTGCCAAAGCAATATCCAGTCTGCTCAAAAAGCATTTGAACCACCTGGACTGCATATCCCCCAGGTAAAAGATAGCAAATCAACAACTCCAACCAATTTCTCAGGTGATTCCTATGCCCACTGAAGTCTGAAAACAACTGTTCCAGAGCAAAGGAGGTAACATAAGGCAAGCAGTAAGGGCAAAAAACACCACATTTATATCACATGTTAACACTGCAAGGAAGACAGTTGTTTTAGATGTTCTGTTTCAATACTCCCTACTATTATCCTTCCCCAAAAGCACTTTAATTTACTATATAGTTTAATGAATTTCACATCTGAAAATCATTAATAACCTGTCTTCTCTTAGGTATACTGAAACTACCAGAATTGCATGGGGGCCTTGAAAGCCCTTATTTAAGAGGTTCCGATGGCAAGATGTGAGGAAAACCATTTGGAAAAAATCCCAATCAGTATGCCTCCCTGCCCCAAAATATGCTTTACTAAGAAGGGCAGAACCCTGGTTTTAAAAGCAAAGCAAACAAAACAAAAACTCTTTCAAGTTCTGATTAAGCATGCAGTCCCAAAATCACACGCCAGTGTCCTCTGAGTGCAAAATTTGAATACATCACTTCATTATTCAGAAATGAAATAGATTAAAAGAGCTAGGGAATATGAGAAGTTTTGAATCACTCTCTAAACTACTTCCAAATTTTTCTTCCCAATCAAGAATCAGGCACAGGTATAGATTATTTCCACCGTAACACCTGAGTAGCCACTTGCCCAAGACCTGTACGTATTGTATAGATTATAAATTTCAAAGTTCCAAATACCTCTCACATTTTCTTGGCAAGCAAAACTTTTCTTGGCAATCAAAAAAAAAGCAAAAACAAAAACAAAAAAAACCCACCCAAGAAGTCAATTGGCCAGGCACGGTGGCTCACACCTGTAATCCCAGCACTTTGGGAGGCCAAGGCAGGAGGATCACTTCAGGTCAGGAGTTCAAGACCAGCCTGGCAAACATGGCAAAACCCCATCTCTACTAAAAATACAAATATTAGCCAGGCGTGGTGGCTCACGCCTATAGTCCCAGCTACTTGGGAGGCTGAGGCAGGAAAATGGCTTGAACCTAGGAGGCGGAGGTTGCAGTGAGCTGAGATCTCACCACTGTACTCCAGCCTCGGCGACAGAGTGAGACTCCACCTCAAAAAAAGAGGAAAAAGAAGTCAATCAAGTACTGCTTGAGAAACTATTTACTCATCGTATTAGATGTTTGGGGGAATGAGATACAAAAAACAAGGCTTACAGTCTAACTGGGGAGAGAAAACCTATACCCATGAAAAGCAATGGCCTGTAGAATGCAAGTGCCTTACACGTCTTAGTCACCCTTTACCCCCAGGGCATAGCATAAAATATGTGTTCAGTAAACACTGTTAAAAAAAAAATGCTGTCTTGGTCATCTTTGTCACTCCAGCATCTAGCCAAGTTCCTAATGCAATGTTTGCTGAATGAATGAATGATACCATGCTGTTCACATAAATATGTCTTGCATGACTTAGGTTAAGAAGATGGGGATCATTAAGGACTAAAGTAATCAAGAAAGATTTCATTGGGAAGACAAAGTTTTGAGTTATGAAATCTTAGAGCTGAAAGAAATCTTAAAGTATTACTAAGACCGGCCGGGCGTGGTGGCTCATGTCTGTAATCCCAGTACTTTGGGAGGCCGAGACAGGCGGATCATTTGAGGTCAGGAGTTCCAGACCAGCCTGGCCAACATGGTGAAACCCTGCCTCTACTAAAAATACAAAAATTAGCCGGACATGTTTGCTTGAACCCCAGCAGCCGAGGCTGCAATGACCCAAGATCATGCCACTGCACTCCAGCCTGGAGGAAAGAGTGAGACTCTGTCAAATAAATAAATAAATACTAAGACCATCTAATCTGGTAGCTCCAAAAGAAGTTTCCAAAGATGCCAAAAGCAGCTTTACACCTCTAAGGTTAAGAAGATAATTAACCTTGGTAATGACCACTTTAAAATTGAAGAAATCCCATAAACACCATGGTCATTACGATACATTAATAATGACAACCTGCTCACACACTGAACACTTCGCCATTCACTCTGCTCTCCCCACCCCTTCTCCACACTAAGAAGCCCATGCAAGGAGGCTGAGTTCTTCAAGCTCGTCTGCCTCCAAGCAGTCCTTGATAAAGTATGGACTGCAAGCTGGAGAATCACAGCCTTCTGCACACACTCTACAATCTGAATCTAAGCTGGTTCATAAAAATTGAAGACCAACAATCTGGACCAGCTGCATCCCCTCTCACTTGACAGAGTTCCACAGAGAAATCCATGCATTCATTCAGGCAACATTCAGTGACCGTCACATACTACCCTATTACCCACACCAGAAACTCAGTTAGGAACATAGTAGACACAGCACCTGCCTCCCAAGGTATCACTGGGTGAGGGAGAAAATACTACAAATAAATTACAAAGCAATGTGGGGAGTATTATAATCAATATGAAAAAATATATACACCCTAGGTATCCAAGAGACAAAATCACAACGTTGTGTAAAGTCAGGCAAGGCTTTCAATAAAAGGTAGTGTTTCTTTCATTCATTCTTTGACAAATATTTTCTGAGCATGTAAATATTTGCATGCTTCAAAGGGCACCATCAAGAAAAGGCAACCCACTAAATGGGAGAAAATATTTGCAAATCATATATTTGATAAGGGACTTATACCCAGAATATAAAAAGAATTCTTCACCTTAATAACAAAAAGATTGGCCGGGCGCAGTGGCTCAAGCCTGTAATCCTAGCACTTTGGGAGGCCGCGGCGGGTGGATCACAAGGTCAGGAGATGGAGACCATCCTGGCTAACATGCTGAAACCCCGTCTCTACTAAAAATACAAAAAAATTAGCCGGGCATGGTGGCGGGCGCCTGTAGTCCCAGCTACTCAGGAGGCTGAGGCAGGAGAATGGCGTGAACCCGGGAGGCGGACCTTGCAGTGAGCCGAGACTGCGCCACTGCACTCCAGCCTGGGCGACAGAGCAAGACTCCGTCTCAAAAAAGAAAAAAGTAATAATAATAATAACAAAAAGATAATCCAAAAGTAGGCAAAGGATTTGAATAGACATTTCTCCAAAGAAGATACACAAATGGCCAGTAAGAACATGCAAAGATGTTCAACATCATCAGCCATCCAGGAAATGCAAATCACACCCAATAAGATGACTATCATCAAAAAGAGAGAAAATAATACGTGTTGGCAAAGATGTAGAGAAATTAAATCCCTCATACCTTCCTGGTGGGGATATAAAATGGTGGAGCTGCTGTGGAAAACAGTTTGGCAATATCTCAGAAAGTTAAAACAGAGTTACCAAATGACCCAGCAATCCCACTCCCAGGTATAATATTTACCCAAGGTAACTGAAAGTATGTCCACTAAAATTGTACATGAATGTTCATAACAGCATTATCCATAATAGCCAAAAAGCAGAAACAACCCAAATGTTCATCAACTGATAAATGGATTTTTAAAATGTGGCACAATGGAATATTATTCAGCCACAAAAAGGAATGAAGTGCTGACACATGCGACAACATGGAGGAACCTTGAGAATCTGGCCTCAAGTGATCCCCTACCTCAGCCTCCCAAAGTGCTGAGGTTACAGGTGTGAGCCACGGTGCCCAGCCTGGGACAAGAGTATTAAATGCACCCATTACCTCCTATCCCAGGCCACTGCTGCAGGGGGCACAAGGGAGGATCTCAGTAGCCTGGGTAAGTAGTGAGCACTAAAGGACCATCAGTGGGCCTTCAAAAACTCACAAGTTGCCTTACAGAAAGGATATGGGGCCTTAAAGGCCTAGAAGCAGCAGTGAGGGAATACCAACTGCCTACCTGCTGTGAGTACAAGGCCCCTTCTAAAGACCTCTCTCTTTCCTGGCATCCAACTACCATAACTGTTAATTACCTTGCTCCTGGATTAATCTCAGAAGGGCAGTGTGGGTTCCTTTTAGAAGCCATGAGATAAACATGGCACTTCTCCCTTGGTACGATTAACTTTACTAAAAATACCAGCGTTTAGAACGAAAAGAAACAAATAGATTATGAAATGCAAAAATCTCTGAATTTTTAAAGTAAAAAAAAAAAACAAGACTTAAAAATAACTGCAGCAAGGGTAATTCTCTTTTTTTTTTTTTTTTTTTTTTGAGACGGAGTCTTGTTCTGTCGCCCAGGCTGGAGTGCAGTGGTGTGATCTCAGCTCACTGCAAGCTCCGCCTCCCAGGTTCACACCATTCTCCTGCCTCAGCCTGCCAAGTAGCTGGGACTACAGGCGCCCGCCACCACTCGGCCAATTTTTTGTATTTTTTAGTAGAGACGGGGTTTCACCATGTTAGCCAGGATGGTCTCCATCTCCTGACCTTGTGATCCGCCCACCTCGGCCTCCCAAAGTGCTGGGATTACAGGCGTGAGCCACCGCAACCGGCCCCAGCAAGGGTAATTCTCTTATGCCTAGGGGCACTTGATTAGATAAGTTTGAGAAGCCTGACCCTAGGGATTTATCATAAACCCACAGAACTCTTTTCTTCCGGAGCCTCAGTTTGTATGAGTCCCCTTTGTAGAGATCCAGCTTGAGTGGCACCTAATGCCTTTGGGATCCAATGTAATAGCCTGATCCAAGCCCATAAACCCTCACTCCACCCTCCTTCCCACCCCCACACACACTTCTACACACACGAGTGTTCTCTTCCAGCCCCTGCAGCTCTCAGGCCTTCATTACCAAGTGTGTGCTCTTCCCTCCTCGCACACCTCACACACCTCTTTGGAGCCACTATGCACACAAATGCTTTCCTCTCTAAACCACGCGGCTCACTTGTTTACCCCAATGCTATGGCAACCCCCTCCCTCTGCCTGTCACTCTTTGTTCTGTCACTCTCACAAAACAACTGCATATATTCGCTAGTTTCATAGGGACCACAATGGCACATAAAACTGTGTCCTGGGTGCCCATTTAAGCCCTTCTGGTATCATTTTCCTGAATTCTTCAGAAAATATGCCTTCTATATATATTAGCTAACATTTCCTGAGCATCTACAATAAGCCTTTTCCATATATCACTGCATTGAATCCTTACAACTCTAAGGTATGAGCCCTCTCAATATTCCCCTTTTTACCACCAAGGAAACTGAGGCATAGAGAGATTAAATAACTTAATCTAAGATCACTCCAACAGTAAATGGCAAAACTGGACTGAAGTCCTAGCTTGTCTTCCCCAAAAGGGGATGTTCTTAACCCTTCCTCTCGTAAGAAGCCAGAGTCCAGAAGAGACCCACAATCCTGACTGTCATTATCAGCACCCTCTTTCCACTAAATATTTAAAGCTCTCTCTTGCTTTGCTTTCCAGCTTTCTAATTCAACCAGCTTTGGGGCAGCAAAACATAAATTTCCACTTCTGGAATGGGAGACATCTCCAGTGAAAGTTACCTTAAGGTCCAGAAGAAGCCAGGCAGAGAAATCACATGTCTCAGCTTTTCCACTGCAAAATTTCTATTTTATACTTGAAGAATATGATTCTAATCAAGTACAAGTTAATCTGCACCTGAACATCTTCAGGTCCATTAATATAAAATCAGTAACTTTTTCAAATCAAAGGTTTCAAGAAATTAGATTTATCTGGTTCTTTAGCCTTCAAAGTCTGAGTCAAATAACTCTTACACAGACTTTGCTGCTTAAAATCCTTCACTTCTTCTCTAGGCCTGTGTAGACTGCAAATATTTCCATTACAGTTGCTTTTGGGACTCATACCCCAGTTGTATCTTAGTCTATGACATGCGCTATAATTTAAAAATCATAGAATTACCTTTATTTTAAAATATCCTTTTTTTTTTTTTTTTTTTTTTTTTGAAACAGGGTCTTGCTCTATCACCCAGGCTGGAGTGCAGTGGCGCGATCTCAGCTCACTGCAACTTCTGCCTCCAGGTTCAAGCGATTCTCGTGCCTTGGCCTCCCAAGTAGCTGGGATTACAGATACGCACCACCACACCCAGCTAATTTTTGTATTTTTAGTAGAGAAGGGGTTTTGCCATGTTGGCCAGGCTGGTTTCGAACTCCTGACCTCAAGTGATCCACCCGCCTTGGCCTCCCAAAGTGCTGGGATTACAGGCCTCGTGAGTCGCTGTGCCAGGCCTAATTTTAAATATTCTGTGCATCAGATATTTCACTAAACCAGACTGCCCCTCCTCCTACTCATTCTCATCTCATCTCATTATTCCAAATGTTAGAGGTTTGACTATATGTTACAAACACACACCTGCAAATGGAGTCAATGCCTGTGGACTAACAGAACCCATATTCAAAGCCTGAGAATCAGCTATGGGAAAGCCATCTGAGAGACAAATTATACTTGAAGGACAGCAACTCTATCCCTGAGTTAGCTAACGCTCAGCAGAAGTCTGGCCCACTGGGACCTAAGCAATTTGGTACGTAGATCTGAGTATAATAAGGTTTGGGAGCTTGCAGGAATTTCAAGAGTACACAAAGAAGGCATCAACACCACTACCTGAGCATCCATGCCTAAGTAAAAAGTGTTTGCTCCATGTGCCACCCTCTTCAAAAAAACAAACATATGAATACTCATATTTATGTAAACCATAAGCATACAATGATTATATATTTAAATCCATGAAGATGGGTATTTATAAAGAAAAATGACCATAAAGTCATCAAATTAAAATTCTGTTGGCAAAAAGGGATAGGATGAAACTTTCCTTAAATATCACAACACCGGTCCAGCTGAGCATCAACGAATAGGAGAAAACCAGCTGCCTCCAGCCCAACAACAATGGGACACAGACCTCACCTCACTTCTAGGGAAGAGCCACCACTAAGACCAGGTGATGAATGTCACTGGACAGTGATTCTGCTGAGGCTTAGGTGGCATACACCCTGCACCAGGCACTGTTCTAGGCACTGGGGATAAACAGCAAACAAAATACTCAAGGTCACTGCCCTCATGGAGCATGCAGTCTAACTGAAGGGGATAGAAAATAAACAACTGTCAAGTGGTGATAAGTGCTAAGGAATAAAATACAGCAAGCCAGAGACTGGTAAGCAAGAATGTTATTTTATGTAGTGTATCATTGACAGCCTCTCTGAGAAGGTGACATATAAACAGAGACCTTAAAGAAGTAAAGAAAGGAGACACGCTGAGTATCCGGTAGAGAAAACCACAAATGCAAAGCCCTACGGCCTGTTAGTGTGTTTGAGAAACAGCAAGGAGGGAGTGTGGCTAAAAGCAGTGAGTTAAGATGAGGTCAAAGAAAGAGCCACATCATGTAAAGTTTTGTAACCTCAGAAAGTAATCTAAATTTTATTCTGAATGAAATGAGAAGCCAGTGGAAGGTTTTGAACAGAGGAGTGACATAATCCGACTTCTGTTTTTAAAAGCTTGCTCTGGCTGCTGTGTAGAACACACGTGAAAAGGTGGAAGCAGCAGGGAACCTGTTGGGAGGCAAAAGATGATAGTGGTTTGGACTAGGAAGTAGCAAAGGAGGCAGAGAAGATAGTGAGAAGTGGTTGGATTCTAGACATATTTCAAAATAAAGACAGTATCCATTGAACCAAGGTGAGAAGTCCCAAGTACATTTATGGCAGATTGCAGAAATGGCCACAAATTCTTTCCCTCCTTGTGTTCATGCCACTGCAGTATAATTTTATAGCTCCTCCCACAAAGAGGTAGTCTTTCTCCATCCTTGGAATTTTAGCTGGACTTGTAACTCACTTTGGCCAATGGGACAATAGCAAACATGATGCAGAGATTTCAAAAGTTGTTAAGCATTTGCATTTGCCCTCTCTTACTGCTTTAGAGAACCCCAGAAGCCACCAAGTGGAGAACCCCAGGCTTTAGAGAACCCCACAAGCCACCATGTGGAGAAGCCCAGGCTAACCTGCTGGATGATGAGACTCACAAAGCCCAGGCATCCCTGTAGCCCTTGCCAACCGTCATGTATGTGAGTGAGACTATCCATCTGACGGGATGTTCATGAGTGAGCTCAGAGGAGAAGAGAACCATCACATAGCTGAGCCCAGCTTAAATTGCCAAACCACAAAATGGTGAACTAAATAAATGCCTGTTGTTTTAAGCCACCAAGTTTTGGAGTGGTTTGTTGAGCAGCAAAAGCTGATTCAAAATCTATTTATCCCCCAAATCGAATGCAAGCCACCTAACAGCATTATATAAAAGGCAAAATTTCAATTCTAAAGTAAACTGACATAGAATGGGTATGGTGTTGATGAGCTGATTAGAAAAGGAAAGAGCACAAGTCATAAATCACCGTGTAGCTCATTAAAATGTAGTATGATAGAGAGCTGAGTTCTCTGTGCAAAAAATTACCAAGATAAGAATCTCAGCTGGGTGTGATGGCTCACGTCTGTAATCCCAGCACTTTGGGAGGCCGAGGTGAGTGGATCACATGAGGTTAGGAGTTTGAGACCAGCCTGGCCAACATGGTGAAACCCCATCTCTACTAAGATACAAAAAATTAGCCGGGCGTGGTGGTGCACCCCTGTAATCCCAGCTAGTCAGGAGGCTGAGGCAGAAGAATCACCTGAACCTGGAAGGCAGAGGTTGCAGTGAGCTGAGATTGTGCCACTGCACTCCAGCCTGGACGACAGAGCGAGACTCTGCGGTAAAAAAAAAAAAAAAAAAAAAAAAAAGAATCTCAGAACACTGAAAATAAAAGATTTCACACCAATACAATGTATCTTTTCAATGTCCCACACACCATTTTTGAAAATTACTAAGTACTTTACCCTCTTGCCAAACATCAAAAATAATATGCTCTTTCAAGATCATCTAGATAGAGGAACAGTTACGCTCTTTCCTTATAGAAAAGAAACCAAGCTGCACTTCTCTTCCTTAGCAGATACAGATAGATGGGTAGAGATAGATGATGGGTGGATGGAAGGATAGAAGGACAAACATACATACCACAAATAATACTTAAGAGTAAAAGCATTTATGCTGTATTGAAAGTCTCTGGTAGACTCTGTAAGTGATCATACAAAGGCTTAATGTGATGATCACCAATGTTTATAGATATCATTTTTCTTCTCAGTAGTTGTTACTTTCTATTAATTGGAAAGGCAGATTTGAGACACATAACTACCCTTCTGTTTTTAATTAATTTTTTTAATGTTAAGATAGAAAGTGAAAACTTCCACTCCTATTCCCCAAAGATGACCAGTGTTAAGTTTCCTCGTATCTCCTTCTAGGCCATTTCTCTTTTCCAAATTACTTGTTGTTACTTATAATAACTAATGTAATATAAAAAATAAAAAATTTTTTAAAACAAAGTTAATTGTCACATACTGTAATTTTGAAAACTAAAACATATCTTCCAAGCTACCTCTATAAATTAAGTAGAATCCTCCCTACCTATAAATGTTCTGTCACAAGCTTTCCAAACTCTGTAAAAACCTAACATTAGTATTATATATTGAGTTTTAAACAACTAGTATGAAGATGGCTTGATTTCTGAAACATCTCATCACCTATCACCAAAGAGAACCAACAGCAGCAGTGGAAAACCCCATTCTCCACCCCCCTACCCCCCACCAAGAAAACAACAACAACAACAACCAAAAAACCCCAGCTATTTAATGGCTGGGGGGGAAAAATTACCTTTTTTGGAACTGAAATAGAAACTGTTTGGATGGTTAAATGAAACCACTCACTAGAGTTTATAGGCCTAGTTTATACTTGACATGTGGAAATGAGTCTTCAGGAAGAAAGAAAATTCCTGAAGATGGATACTGATTATCTCTGTTTCTGAAGATACACTCACCAAAGAAAGGCCCCTCAGGATCATGCACTGGTGTATTCAAAATACACACTGCATCGCCCTCAAGTAAAAAGGACAAGGATAGACTAAGTCTTATCAAATTATGCCCAGCAAAATGAAGAACTTGGAAAATGAGGTTCCGGTAAAAGAAAATCTCCCCTCAAATACTGTACAATCTTTCAAAAATATGAACCACTCACTAAGTGTGCTTCTCATGTTACATAAAACTTTGGAAAACCACATCAAATCCTGTTACCTCTTAATTATACACACTAATGAAGGGATAAAAACATGGAGAACCTAAAATTCACTTCCTGCATATTAAAAACAAATGAACAGATTGTAGAGCTTGGGAGGCAGGGGATAGAGGTGGGGAGGGGTTCCTGCAACAACAAACAGAAATTTTCCTTTCTAATTGTTTACTTAAAGTTAGAATTAAAATAAGCTTTTTATATTTCCTGAACACACATCAAACAAAAATAAAGAGAGCCTGGGTGTCCATCTGAGTGGAAGGGAAACTACACAGAAGACCAGAGGAGAAACTTATATAGCGCTCATCTTTCATTAATTGTGATGAGCCAGAACTGGGGCCTCTGAGCTGATATGAATCCCTATAAGGCAAGAGGGGCCAGGGTAAGAGAAAGGACTAGAATATCACACTCTCTCCCGCAGCTCACTCTTCCACTTGCACATCCCCCAGACACAAAGGTACTATGCTCTTTAGGTCCTGGGCTCCAGCCCAATGTTTTCTACGGCATATTTCAAGGAGAGCTGCAAAGTGTCAGGTTAATGCCAGCAGCAATTCTTGTGAACCAGCAAATGTCTGTCCAGTCTAAGCCCCAGATATGACAGGAAACTGAGTTTGTTTTATTGTCAAGACTGCACCAAAAGTCACTTAATGTTTGTATACTATTTCCGCTCTCCAAATCTAATCAAATAAATACTACCCAATAAATTTAGACCCCACTAAATCTTTATATCTGAATATCATATTTATTCATTCAATAAACACTTATTCCACACCTCCTACATGCCAGACACTGCCAGCTCTCAGTCACAACTGAAAAGATTGATAATAAAACCAGAAAAGGAACCTTATGCCCAGAGTCTTTCAAAGCATTTGGCCACCTTTGATACTCATGGGTCTTTCACAGACTATGCTCTGTCCAAAGCAACACCTTTCCTGCTAACCAGAGCAAGCCATAATCATAAATCTCTACCTTTAAAACTATGTTTATTATACTACATTACACAAAAACTCTCTTCATTAAAAAAAAAAGAGAGAGAGAGACTCTCTAGAAGAATATTTAAGATGCAAACCAGAAAAGAAAAAGTAATGAGTAAGAAGCGATACTATAGTAAGAATCAGCACTGTTTTAAATACACAAAGAATTCCTTTCCTGCCTGAAAGGAGGGTTTCCCTCAGCAGGTACTCTAAGCAGCGAAGATGAGAGGGGGCACTATCCTAGACAGCAAGAATACAATCGTAAATGGACATGGAATATTGACCATTTCCCTGACCTCAAAGATGGAAATATCATGACAACTGTCAATTACCAAGCGCCTATCATGTGTTAGCTGCTACTCTAGGCATTTCACATATATCACCTCTAAAATGAATCCTGCAAGGTAGACGATATTATCACCACTTTACAGACAAGCAAACAGAGGCTGTGAGGTCATCTGTCCAAAGTCACTCAGCTCACAAGGAAAATTCACTAAAATTCTAAGATTTCTGCCTAGCTCCCAAACCTATCCCTCTTTTCATAACTCTACCCTGCTGAACATGCAATATCTCTGTGTCTTTATCTTCAGTCTCCCTAGCTTCCCATGTCACTTCTGTATTTCTGACCTGGCCATACCTCCGTACAACCCTAAGCAAGCCCACCTGCAAAACTACTTAGAGAGGGGAAAAAAGAAGAAAAAAATAAATGTCAAAAATGTTAACAGATGGGAGAAAATAAACAACTATACGGGACACTATCTCAAGCTTCAATAAAGTTGAAGTCAAACAGTATACACAACTGAAATACCCTCCTCTGATTGAAGCTTTCGCTTCAGAGTCTTTGAGAATTATTCAAATTATTTAGAATAAAAAGTAAGAACTCGAGGTAGAATAGAAACTTCAGCATCTACCAAGTCAAGAAGATAACTTGGAAAACAATTCTGACTGACATTCCAATTTAATCACACTTAATGAATTCTGCACTGTCAGTGATTTCTTGGAGCCTTGGTTTCCCTCATTATATACCTACTTCAAATACACATAATGTTGTTTTTGTGAACATTATCATTCACAGACACTTTTTTTTTTTTTGAGTCAGAGTCTCACTCTGTAGCCCAGACTGGTGTGATCTTGGCTCACTGCAACCTCCGCCTCCCGGATTCAAACAATTCTCCTGCCTCAGCCTCCCGAGTAGCTGGGATTACAGGTGCCTGCCACCATGCCTGGCTAATTTTTGTATTTTTAGTAGAAATGGGGTTTCACCATGTTGGCCAGGCTGGTCTCGAACTCCTGACCTTGTGATCCACCTGCCTCAGCCTCCCAAAGTGCTGGGATTACAGGTGTGAGCCACTGTACCCAGTCATAGTCACTTATTTTCTTTTATTTTTATTTTACTTTTTTTTTTTTTTTTGAGACAGAGTCTTGCTCTGTCGCCCAGGCTGGAGTGCAGTGGTGCAATCTTGGCTCACTGCAAGCTCTGCCTCCTAGGTTCACGCCATCCTCCTGCCTCAGCCTCCCAAGTAGCTGGGACTATAAGCGCCCGCCACCACGCCTGGCTAGTTTTTTGTATTTTTAGTAGAGATGGGCTTTCACCATGTTAGCCAGGATGGTCTCGATCTCCTGACCTTGTGATCCGCCCACCTCCGCCTCCTAAAGTGCTGGGATTACAGGCATGAGCCACCACACCCGGCATAGCCACTTATTTTATTTAAATTACTTATGAAAGGAAAATTCCACAAGGGTGAATACATTTTCTTATCTCAACAGAAACTGAAGACATGTCAATGACGACCCTCATTATCTTGAGAAAAGAATGAGAAATGAGTGTTTTGGACACTGTAATAACCACAACTTCCCATGAGGAAGAAAAAGAAAAAAATCTAAGAATAAAGACTAAATATAGGTTTCATTGCTAATCAAAATTGCATGCGTGCAACAAATCCATAATTTCAGTTCATAAAAATAGCTTTAAGTAAAAGTTCACAGATGAAGAAAAAATGTTTAACACAACATGAAATTCATATTCTAAGCCACCTGCTGCAAAGATACTTTCACAAAACTCCTAGCAACTTCTTTGGATCTTGTTTAGAAGACTTTTAGATGCTCCCACTGAATGAAAGGTGTTAGGTTAATAGCGATTTCCTATCTGTCCACGTATCATCAACGTATTTCCTACATTTGGCAACCACCACCAATCCCGATGTTTCACAGGCAAGATACCAAGATCATCACACACATCCAATTCCCCAATCTCCAACCTCCCCATCTCAACACACACCAGCTGGGAAGACAGGTGAACACAATGCTTTCACATCTGTCATAGAGCAAAGCAGCTCATATTTGGCTAGGCTAATCCTTCGGTTCAGTAATGTACTAACTTTGACAGCTTCCAAATATTACTTCACTCAAAAATTCTTTCTGAATGCTTTTTAGAGCTCAATAGCAAACCTAATATATAATATATAGTGATATATTGTTTTGCTTAAACAATTTAGTCTATGGATGAACTAAATAGATTTTTAAAAACAAACACTCACTTCCCTAAACGTAGCATACAAAGAGATCAACTTTATAGGATCCACTTGAAACCCAAGTCTTATGACTCAAAAAATATGTATTATTTAAGAGGCAGAGAACTGGTCAACTATCCTTGCATCTGTGGGCACAAATGAGTATCAATTGTTAACTATGACACCCTGAGGTGGTGAAATTATGTTATGACAGTACATAATTATTACCAGCCTTGCTTAAAAAAAATAAAAAATAAAAATAGGATATCCTCCTAGTCAAGTAATGTAGGTGTAGTGCCCTACATTAACACACAAATGAAAAAGAATATTCCATTAAGTAAAACTGTGAAGAAACATAATTTCACCAAGAATATTTTGATATTAAATATAGATTTGGGCCCACAGGAATGCACACTGTCTTGACTAGCCATGAAATGACTAAAAACACTTTGAAATTTATTAACTATTTAGGTACAAGAGTGGTCATTTAAGCACTATCAAAAACCCCAAACTCCACAGTCCTTTATTTATTTTGTTAGACCCTGTCAGGTCAGAGTCTGACATAATCATGGATGATGCTTTCTTCCTTACGTAAACCATCACAAATCCAGTTTCGCTTCAAGCACTGGTACTGAAAAGCACTCACTCCACTCAATTTTCACCACCCACAAAATGCAGTGCAGATAATTCTCAATAATTTAAATTATAATAGCTCAGGAAAATTTAAAATTAGAAAGTGACAAGGAGGTGGATTCAATTTTTAACTTCATTCCATTTGTCAAATTTGAAATACTTTCAATTATTTATTTTTCCAGTCTTCACAGTAACCATAACACCACCGATGTTAATTGCTTCACCTAACTGCGGTTTTACTGTTGCTTGCATTCTCATTTAATGAACTTCAGTTGGTACTGACAATAATTCTAGATCTAATCTTCTAAACTTTTATTCTCTTAATGAATTAATTCTATTGCATTATGTTCCCCACTATTCCAAGCAGTAGTTCATAAAATAGGGAATTAAAACACATAAAAACTTAAGATTGTGTACTTTAATAACACAGTGGCATCCATAGAACATATAGCTGAGCCTACAGATAGATTTTATTTTATTAATTTTATTTTTTAGAGACAGGATCTCACTCTGTCACCCAGGCTGTGTTGCAGCGATGCAATCACAGCTCACTGCAGCCTCGAACTCCTGGCCTTAAGCAATCCTCCTGCCTCAGTCTCCCAAAGCACTGGGATTACAAGCATAAGCCAACATTCCTGGCCCAGATTTTTTTGTTTGTTTATTTATTGGTCTCACTCTGTCACCCAGTCTGGAGTGCAGTGGTGCAATCATGGTTAACTGCAGCCTCAAACTCCTGGGTTCAAGGGATCCTCCTGCCTTAGCCTCTGGAGTAGCTGGGACTACAGGTATACATCACCATGCCAGGCTAATTTTTTTTTTCTTCTGTAGAGACAGGGATCTCACTCTGCTGCCCAGGTTGGTCTCAAGCTCCTGGCCTCAAGAGATCCTCCCGTCTCAGCCTCCCAAATCACTGTAATTACAGGGGTGAGCCACAGTGCCCACACAGATTTTATTTACAGTTTTTCTTTAAGAGACTTGATGTTTTTTTGTTGTATATTTCATTTTTATGGTCTAAAAGTAAATTAGCAATATTTTTAAAAGGCAAGCAATGAAGTGACTTGTTTGCATGGAAACCACAATATCATAAAATACAATAAGCACAATGTTACCATGACAAGAGAACTTTTTAAAATTCCAACTCCAACAATAAGACTACCTCAAAGTAATCTTCCATCATAATGTTATTATAAATAATCACATGGAAAAATAAAAGTATAATATAAGAATATGCAGGCTGCTCTGCCTACAGAGTAGCCATTCTTTTATTCCTTTACTTTCTTAATAAACTTGCTTTCACTTAAAAAAATTAAAAATAAAAAAATAAAAAAAATAAAAGAGGCCGGGCGCAGTGGCTCATGCCTGTAATCCCAACACTTTGGGAGGCCAAGACAGGCAGATCATCTGAGGTCGGGAGTTCGAGACCAGCCTAACATGGAGAAACCCCGTCTCTACTAAAAATACAAAATTAGCCAGGCGTGGTGGCACATGCCTGTAGTCCCAGCTACTTGGGAGGGTGGGGCAGGAGAATCGCTTGAACCTGGGAGGCAGAGGTTGCAGTGAGCCAAGATCGTGCCATTGCACTCCAGGCTGGGCAACAAGAGCGAGACTCCGTCTCAAAAAAAAAGAAAAAAATACGTAAACATGAGGGGAAAATATTATTCCTTATGACTGGGTAGGGGATCTAGAGGTGATTTATATATTCTGTGGTTGTATATTTGAGGGTGTATAAATGTTCTTGGGATCAAGGACAAACTCTTTTTTTTTCTCTTGAGACAGAGTCTTGTTCTGTCACCCAGGCTGGAGTGCAGTGGTACGATCTCTGCTCAATGCAACCTCTGCCTCCCGGGTTCAAGTGATTCTCCCCCCGAGTAGCTGCGATTACAGGCACACACCACCATGCCCAGCTAATTTTTTTTTTTTTTTTTTGTATTTTTAGTGGAGACAGGGTTTCACCGTGTTGGCCAGGGGGGTCTCGAACTCCTGACCTCAGGTGATCTACCCACCTCGGCCTCTCAAAGTGCTGGGATGACAGGCATGAGCCACCGTGCCTGGCCTAAGGACAAACTCTCTTTTTTTTTTTTTGAGACAGAGTTGCTCTGTTACCGAGGCTGGAGTGCAGCGGCGCAATCTCGGCTTACTGCAACTTCCGCTTCCTGGATTCAAGCAATTCTCCTGCCTCAGCCTCCCGAGTAGCTGGGATTACAGGCATGTGCCACCATGTCCGGCTAATTTTTGTATTTTTAGTAAAGATGGGGTTTCACCATGTTGATCAGGCTGGTCTCGAACTCCTGACCTCGTGATCCGCCCGCCTCGGCCTCCCAAAGTGCTGGGATTACAGGTGTGAGCCACCACGCCTAGCTCCTACGGACAAACTCTTAATTCAGTCTTGAGGATTTGGCCCCAGAAAACCTTAATAGCCCATCCAGTCTCTGATCTCTAGCTACAACATTTTTTGAAACGGAGTCTCGCTCTGTCGCGCAGGCTGGAGTGCAGTGGCGCAATCTCAGCTCACTGCAAACTCCGCCTCCCGGGTTCACGCCATTCTCCCGCCTCAGCCTCTGGAGTAGCTGGGACTACTGGCGCCCGCCACCACGCCCGGCTAATTTTTTGCATTTTTAGTAGAGATGGGGTTTCACCGTGCTAGCCAGGATGGTCTCGATCTTCTGACCTCATGATCCGCCCGCCTCGGCCTCCCAAAGTGCTGGGATTACAGGTGTGAGCCACCGCGCCCAGCCAAGAAGAACCTTATCAACCTGCCTGCCCTGTCTTCTTCTCTCAGCATAATCGCTTCCTCTGAGAAACCTTCCCTGAATGGCCACCCTATTTCTCCAAAAGCACTTGCCATTGTTGGAATTCTATCTTTGTCTGTTCAGGTGATTAATATCTATCTCTCCAAATATCAGAGACCAATCCTGTTATGCTCATCACTGTATTCCCAGAACAGTGTCTGGTGTATCATATGGCTCAACAGAAATGTGTTGAATGAATGAATAAATGGACTGAACTGCATAGCCCACTGTAACAATCATAAAAATGAGAATTTAAGGCCCTTGGAGGAGACTGAGTTAGCCAGGTCCTAGGCGGACTCCTTTCATAGCTGTTTGCTTCATATACATTTAGAAAAACACATGCGTGGCCAGGTGCAGTGGCTCACATCTGTAATCCCAGCACTTTGGGAGGCCGAGGCGGGTGGATCACGAGGTCAGCAGATTGAGACCATCCTGGCTAACATGGTGAAACCTCATCTCTACTAAAAATACAAAAAAAAAAAAAAAAAAAAAAAAAAACAATTAGCCGGGCATGGTAGCAGGTGCCTGTGGTTCCAGCTGCTTGGGAGGCTGAGACAGGAGAATGGCGTGAACCAGGGAGGTAGAGCTTGCAGTGAGCCAAGATCGCGCCACTGCACTCCAGCCTGGGCAACAGAGTGAGACTCTGTCTCAAAAAAAAGAAAAAGAAAAACACATGCATATAATGTATTTTATTCAAATCTTGCCATAATTCAAGAGTATGAATACAGTCTACCACTCCTAAGCCCAAGAGTATCTAAAGCATATACCATTTCTAGAACATCTCACTAAACCAGTACAGTTAAAATAAATCCCAGTTACTTGAACTGCCTTTTAAAATGTTAAGACATAAATCTAAATATAATACAATATAGCTCTATTCAACATAAGTTTTAGAACTTCATCTAAACTGTTTTTGATTAAAATATCTTTAAACTTTCTTAAAGTGAAATGAGCATTATTTCTAGAAGACGGGTTACTATTAAAAACACCAGTTAGTTGGCCGGGCGCAGTGGCTCATGCCTGTAATCCCAGCACTTTGGGAGGCGGAGGCGGGCAGACCACAAGGTCAGGAGTTCAAGACCAGCCTGACCAACATGGAGAAATCCCGTCTCTACTAAAAATACAAAAATTAGCCAGGCATGGTGGCACATGCCGGTAATCCCACTCAGGAGGCTGAGGCAGGAGAATCGCTTGAACCCAGGAGGCAGAGGTTGCAGTGAGCTGAGATCACGCCACTGCACTCCAGTCTGGTGAATAGAGCAAGACTCAGTCTCAAAAAAAAGAGCCCAGTTAGTTGTATCAGTTGTAGGTGGAGTTGGAGAGACAAGTGCAGATGGATGTATAGAACACCTCACAGAACAGGGAATACTGAAACTTTCTTCTACTTTAAAAAGTCCCCTGTTTCAATCTGCTTTCCAGTCCTTTTGATTTTTGCTCACAAACTGGGGGAAAACACCACTCCTTCTGATGCATGGCTATCTTCCTGAAAAATTAATTTGATGAGGTTGTGCAACCAGAGGCTGAAGTGAAGTTACAAAGGTTACACGCTGCCCTCCCCCTCCCCCTCCCCCTCCCCCTCTCCCCACGGTCTCCCTCTGATACCGAGCCGAAGCTGGACTGTACTGCTGCCATCTCGGCTCACTGCAACCTCCCTGCCTGATTCTCCTGCCTCAGCTTGCCGAGTGCCTGCGATTGCAGGCACGCGCCGCCACGCCTGACTGGTTTTCGTATTTTTTTGGTGGAGACGGGGTTTCGCTGTGTTGGCCGGGCTGGTCTCCAGCTCCTAACCGCGAGTGATCCACCAGCCTCGGCCTCCCGAGGTGCCGGGATTGCAGACGGAGTCTGGTTCACTCAGTGCTCAATGTTGCCCAGGCTGGAGTGCAGTGGCGTGATCTCGGCTCGCTACAACCTCCACCTCCCAGCCGCCTGCCTTGGCCTCCCAAAGTGCCGAGATTGCAGCCTCTGCCCGGCCGCCACCCCGTCTGGGAAGTGAGGAGCGTCTCTGCCTGGCCGCCCATCATCTGGGACGTGAGGAGCCCCTCTGCCTGGCTGCCCAGTCTGGAAAGTGAGGAGCGTCTCTGCCCGGCCGCCATCCCATCTAGGAAGTGAGAAACGCCTCTTCCCGGCCGCCATCCCATCTAGGAAGTGAGGAGCGTCTCTGCCCGGCCGCCCATCGTCTGAGATGTGGGGAGCGCCTCTGCCCCGCCGCCCCGTCTGGGATGTGAGGAGCGCCTCTACCCGTCCGCGACCCCGTCTGGGAGGAGAGGAGCGTCTCTGCCCGGCCGCGACCCCGTCTGGGAGGAGAGGAGCGTCTCTGCCCGGCCGCCCCGTCTGAGAAGTGAGGAGCCCCTCCGCCCGGAAGCCGCCCCGTCTGAGAAGTGAGGAGCGTCACCGCCCGGCAGCCACCCCGTCCAGGAAGGAGGTGGGGGTCACCCACCGCCAGGCCAGCCGCCCCGTCCAGGAGGGAGGTGGGGGGGGTCAGCCCCCCGCCCGGCCAGCCGCCCCGTCCGGGAGGGAGGTCGGGGGGTCAGCCCTCTACCCGGCCAGCCGCCCCGTCCGGGAGGGAGGTGGGGGGGTCAGCCCCCTGCCCGGCCAGCCGCCCCGTCCGGGAGGTGAGGGGCGCCTCTGCCCGGCCGCCCCTACTGGGAAGTAAGGAGCCCCTCTGCCCGGCCAGCCGCCCCGTCCGGGAGGGAGGTGGGGGGGTCAGCCCCCCGCCCGGCCAGCAGCCCCTTCCGGGAAGTGGGGGGCGCCTCTGCCCGGCCGCCCCTACTGGGAGGTGAGGAGCCCCTCTGCCCGGCCACCACCCCATCTGGGAGGTGTGCCCGGCAGCTCATTGAGAACGGGCCATGATGACAATGGCGGTTTTGTGGAGTAGAAAGTGGTGAGAGGTGGGGAAAAGAGTGAGAAATCGGATGGTTGCCGTGTTTGTGTAGTAGGAGGTAGACATGGGAGACTTTTCATTTTGTTCTGTACTAAGAAAAATTCTTCTGCCTTGGGATCCTGTTGATCTGTGACCTTACCCCCAACCCTGTGCTCTCTGAAACATGTGCTGTGTCCACTCAAGGTTAAATGGATTAAGGGCGGTGCAAGATGTGCTTTGTTAAACAGATGCTTGAAGGCAGCATGCTCGTTAAGAGTCATCACCACTCCCTAATCTCAAGTACCCAGGGACACAAACACTGCGGAAGGCCGCAGGGTCCTCCGCCTAGGAAAACCAGAGACCTTTGTTCACTTGTTTATCTGCTGACCTTCCCTCCACTATTGTCCCGTGACCCTGCCAAATCCCCCTCTGTGAGAAACACCCAAGAATGATCAAAAATAAATAAATTAAAAAAAAAAACAAAGGTTACACGCTAAAAAAAAAAAAAAAATTAATTTGATGAGATAAAGATCAAAAGTAGCCTTCTTACCCTCAAAAAAACTCTTCACCTTTGCTATAAATATTCTTGCATTCAAAGTACTCATTCAATCAAAAACAGTGTTGTGTGCTTATAATGTGTAAGGCACACAACAGCTGTGATTCCTACACTGCTAGTAGAAGACAGCCCTTAGGAGCCTGAACCTACTCTGAATTCTCACTATATTTCCTCATAAGATATGGTGGAGGAGTATGCCCTACTATTGCCAGATATTGTTTCCTGGGGGCACTTCAGTAAAAGGTTAATTCAAGTCTGTATCTCCCTTATTAGAAGACAGTATTTTTCCTGAAATGGTGCCAAGTCTCAATTTGCTACATGTTCTTTTTAATGTTTTAACATTTTACTTTGAACAGTGTTCCAGGCACAAGCAGCCCTGAATTAATTAAATTAAAATTTAACGTCACTGTGAGACAAAAGTCTTTCATGGTGCCTACATAACGGATGAACTTTTGCCAGATTGCTTCTCTCACAACACTGCATATTCTGAAACAAGATCCAGGTCCACAGGGCTGACTTCAAGAAAGATAAATGGCAAACAGAGAGATGAGGGAACGCATATTTATTAAGCAGCCAACCACTATTCAGACAGTTTACCCACAATGCCTCACTTACTCTTCACAACCACCTTGGGCAGCATGAATCTCGTTTTACCAAAAGGGAGACTGAAGTTCCAAAGACGTTTAAATAACTCACCTCAGTTCATAAAGCTAAGATTATCACCTAGACTTGAACCCAGACCCTTTCCTACAATAAGTGAGTTCCCCAAAGATGGAGGGATGAGTGTTCAAGGACACCACAGCCAGAATGCTACCAGTTTACTGAACTGTTCCTTACTATTCCATGACTGACATGACTGACATGCCTTCACCAGGACACAGCATGAGTTGCACAGGGGCCCAGGGACACGTCTTGTGCCCAGCTCCCCGGCCTGGCCAGCCTTCTTGAGGAGCCCAGAGCCCACGGCCTGCCACACCTCTCCCCATCACCACCCACAGTGCTGCTGCAGGCCTGGCTGCTCCCCTCATTCTTCTCTTCTCTGCTTTGCTTTCTCACCACCTTCAGTCTCCTCGTAATTTTTAGAGTACTTGCAAAAACGTCTTAGTAAATCACCCCAGCACAGTATGACCAAGATTGCGGTTAGCTGTTCTCACCTGCACACATTTATGACTAACGGCCACAACAAGGAAGTTACCAGCTTTAGAGCCAGACCGGCCTAGGGTCCCACCCCTGGCTCTCTCTGCACGAGTGGGCAAGTTACTTTGCCCTCAGTTAAAAGCAAACATCGCTTGTTCTTGGTATTGGGCGTGCAGCTTAAATGAGACGCCATGTGGTACATTGCCTGGCACACCGAAAAACCAACAGACATCTCTTCTTAACTGATTGCTAACCTATTTCTTTACCAGCAGAAACAACCTGACTTTCTCCTCCCAAATTCTCCCAGGTCCACAGCCATTCCAGAAAAATGTTTCTTTACAGGCACACTCAATTTTATCACTGGTATTCCTATTCACCCAGCTTAATTTTTCAAATGATGCAGATCAAAATTTTCCAGCCAACCACACACTACAGTCATGTAGTAACTTCTCCCTTCAAATACCTTTTAAAATTCTATTTGGTATCAAAAAGAATCAAAAATCAGGAAAGACATACAGGAGAAGAAACCTCTAGTCATGAGAGCTCCCTTCTACAGAGAGAGATGACAAATTCTGTCTCCACTCTGAGTGAGAAAACATGCCAACCACCCAAAGCAACTGTTCCTAGCCTTTGGAGAAACTCCTTTGAGAATCTGATGAAAGCTCTACCTTTGTCCGGAAAAGTGTCAGTCTGCACAGAGACACAAAATACTCCCTGGAATTTCAAGAGGGTCAAGGGCCCTCTAAAACTCACCCACTGACCACAAGATAAGAGCCATCAACAAAGAGCCATCTGTGATACTCTTTAAACTGGTAAAATCCTCAATTCAGATTTTGTTTCCTTAAGGTGCAATAAACTTAAAAGCCTATGCAAAGACCTCAAGAAGGTACACTAAGAAAGAAGTTTCTCATTCAGTTCTTCCTGTCTTTTTTTTGAGATGGAGTTTTGCTCTGTACCCAGGATGGAGTGCAGTGGTGCAATCTCAGCTCACTGCAACCTCCGCCGCATGGGTTCAAGAGATTCTCCTGCCTCAGCCTCCCAAGTAGCTGAGATTACAGGCACCTACCACCACACCTGGCTAATTTTTTTTGTATTTTTAGTAGAGATGGGGTTACACCATGTTGGCCAGGCTGGTCTCGAACTCCTGACTTCAAGTGATCTGCCTGCCTCAGCCTCCCAAAGTGCTGGGATTACAGGAGTGAGCCACCATGCCTGGCCCTCTTCATGTCCTTCGCTGGTTCAAAATAAAATGCTGCAAAACTAACATGGCTCAAAACCCAAAGAGAAAGTTCTCTCTTTGAATCTAAATATCAAAACAAAGCTGTGTTCCAGACCAGTGTGTGTGCTGGGGAATGGGCAAGCGAAATGGAGGCACGAAAGTATTAGAACTCTATATCTTATTTTTCAATATCATCCTTTTTAAACATCTCTATGTTTGTATATGTTTTAATGTTGTGTAACAGGACAAATACAAGAGTGCTGAAGTTATATTCTCTGATAGAAGTAAGCAATTACAAAAACATTTGAAGATCCTGTCCTGGGAAACAACTTTCTCTCTTTCTGTCTCTCTGTCTCTCTTTCTCTTTCTCTCTCTCTCTCTCAATCTTTCTCTCTTTCTCTTTTTCTTTTTGAGACAGGGTCTCACTCTGTCACCCAAGCTGGAGTGCAGCAGCATGATCTTGGCTCACTGCTGCAGCCTTGACCTCCCGGAATCAGGTGATTCTCTCACCTTGGCCTGCAGAGTAGCTGGGACGACAGGAGCATGCCTCCACACCTGGCTAATTTTTCTATTTTTTGTAGAGACAGAGTTTTGCCATGCTTCCCAGGCTGGTCTTGAACTCCTGGGCTCAAGCGATCCTCCCACCTCAGCCTCCCAAAGTGCTAGGTAGGATTACAGGTGTGAGCTACTGCGCCCAGCCTAACAACTTCCAAATTAAGTTTACCTAGGCCGGGCACAGTGGCTCACGCCTGTAATCCCAGCACTCTGGGAGGCCAAGGCGGGCGGATCACCTGAGGTTGGCAGCTCAAGACCAGCCTGACCAACACAGTGAAACCCCATTTCTACTAAAAATACAAAATTAGTCAGTTGTGGTGGCACATGCCTGTAATCCCAGCTACTCGGGAGGCTGAGGCAGGAGAATCACTTGAACCCAGGAGGTGGGGGTTGCAGTGAGTCAAGATCAAGCCGTTGCTCTCCAGCCTGGACAACAAGAGGGAAACTCCGTCTCAAAAAAAAAGAAAGTTTATCTAATAATAATTTTACCTGGTAATGCTCCATAAATGGAATTTCCCTTGAAAATAATTACATTAGCCACTTTAAATTCTGATTCCAGAAACAAGAAATCTGTCTCAAACTGACATTAACTAAACAGTAATGCTGAGATTGTTCCATAAGAACTAGTTTCTCCTTTTTGCTTTAAAAGTATAATTCTCACAGCTGTATATACTCCATATTTTTCTTCCTTAAATGCAAAGAATCCATGTAACGTGTTAAAGGAACAAAAATCAACTAAAAGACGTTAGTAAACATTTGCCATTGTGTACTTTTTCCTATAATTATAGTAGTTAATATTCTTCAACTCATACAGTGTATCTAGCACTAGGCTAAATGTTTTACCTGCCTTCTGGAATTTAATCTGACTCTATGATATGGCTTCTATTACTCTCCCAGTTTTAGAGAGAAGAAAACCAAGGCTTAGAAGTCAGCTCCTGGCCAGGTGTGGTGGCTCAATGCCTGTAATCCCAGCACTTTGAGAGGCCAAGGCGGGCGAATCACACGGTCAGGAGTTCAAGACCAGCCTGGCCAACATGGCAAAACCCCATCTATACTAAAAATACAAAAACTTAGCTGGGCGTGGTGGTGGGTGCCTGTAATCTCAGCTACTCAGGAGGCTGAGGCAGAAGAATTGCTTGAACCCGGGAGGTGGAGGTTGCAATGAGCAGAGATCGCGTCACTGCACTCCAGCCCAGGCGACAATGTAAGAAAAAAAAAAAAAAAGTCAAATGGCTTCTAATGGTGGACTCAGAATTCAAACTCAGGTATGTGTGACCCCAGGGCCTACATTCTTACTGAGGGAAACTATGCTTAATTCTACTGTAACATAAAAATAAGATTCCATATAAGTTTTCAAAAAAAAAACCTTCAAATACAAAAGGTAGAAACCATTTTTAAGTATTAAAAGAGGATGTCATCACTTGCAAACAAAAGAACTACTTTAGCCTATTCGAAATATCTAGAAACTTTACTGATCTTTTTCAAGCACTACAAAATCTAATTACTATTATGAGCCAATATTATAAAATGTAAGTTTTACAAATCAGAGAACATTTGCCCATAAAACTCTGCTCTGAAAGTCCATTATAATATTCAGATATGCTATTCTCTCTTAAACTATATAAAGTCTGGTGATCTGATTAGGCTATAATCAGTCCTCAAATACGCAGAACAGAGGGATTTCACTGGACTTAACGTCTTAACTTTTGTGAAATGAAAGTGATGAATTTGCAAAGTAAAAGGAATCACTCTAAGTTTTTCGTCTATAAAATCCACTCCATTCTCTCTATATAATATACCACTTATGTTTTTAACCTGAAACATGCAGAATTACCAAAGCACAAACCCACTCAGGATTTTAATTGAACACTCAGCAATGTGATCCTTTTAAAATAAAAAGTTTTCATTAAACAAGTTTATATTTTGTGTAAATTATAAGTTAAAATAAAATTGGCATTAAAATTTTATTTTTTTAAACTAAAATTGGCCTGGGTTTTGCAAAAAAAAAATAAACTGTTTAAATATTTATGAAGGAAAAATAAATGCCTTTATTACTTATTAGTCAACTAAGTCAACCTAAATGTGAAATAAAAATGTTCGTTCATTTACTAAGAAATATTTATTGAATGCCAATTACGTACAAGGCACTGTTCGAAGCCCTAGAGATAAGAAAAACAAGATTTCTACACAGAAGATCATATTTTAATGGGGGAGGGGAGATATATCAGACAAGTGAACAAACAAAGATAAAATAATTAAAGATTATAAGAAACAACAGAGTAATAGAAACTTCAAACACTTTTTTTTCCAAGAGACAAGGGTCTTGCTGTCACCTAGAGCAAGCAATCCTCCTTCCTGTCTCGGCCTCCCAAGTAGCCAAGACACAGGTGCATGCTACCATTTCCAGCTAATTTTTTAATTTTCTAGTAGGAACAGGGGTCTCACTATGTTGCCCAGGTTGATCTTGAACACCTGGCCTCAGGAGATCCTCCTGCGTCCTCCCAAAGTGCTGGGATTACAGGCATGAGCCACCTTGCCTAGCCAAAGACTATTTTTTTTTCTTTTCTTTTTGAGATAGATCCGCCCACCTCAGCCTCCCAAAGTGCTGGGATTACAGGCGTGAGCCACCGCACCCAGCCCAAAGACTTTTTTTTTTTTTTTTTGAGACAGAGTCTCACTCTGTCGCCCAGGCTGGAGTGCAGTGGCGCAATCTTGGCTCACTGCAAGCACCACCTCCCAGGGTCACGCCATTCTCCTGCCTCAGCCTTCCGAGTAGCTGGGACTACAGGCACCTGCTACCACGCCCGGCTAGTTTTTTTTTGTTGTTTTTTTCTTGTATTTTTAGTAGACACGGGTTTTCACCGTGTTAGCCAGGATGGTCTCGATCTCCTGACCTCATGATCCACCAACCTCAGCCTCCCAAAGTGCTGGGATTACAGGCGTGAGCCACTGTGCCCAGCCGAAAGACTGTTTTCTAAAGTCATCAAGGAAGTCCCCAAGGAGGTCCCACTGGAGCTAAAACTTGAATGATAAGAAGTTGGGGAAGAAAATTCTAGGTAGAAAAGGACCACTTCATCTTATGAGAACATTCATTTGGCACTTCAATATTTATATGCCCTGTCTTGCATATAAATATTGCATATAAATATCCAGGTTACATCCTGGACGGACGCACATTATGATGAATGCTGTTTATGGCTTACAGTGTTTTATGGTAAGGGTAGATGCATATGTGCACACAGAGCAGCTAACACGATACTCAGAAAATAGTAACAACACAATTCCCATTTAGTCTAAGCCAAAAACTCTTAACTATAGAGAGAGAACGTGAATGGAAGGGATGAATCTTTGAGAATCTGATGAAAGCAATCAATTCTCTCCTCCAAAAAAGAATGCACATACACAGAAACTTTACATATAATTTTAGGAGGGTCTAGAAACCCTGAAGCCCATCCAGATATACACTGTCCCAACCAGAAATCCACGAACCCTAAGTTAAGAAATTTTTCCGTTTTTTTTTTTTTTTTTTTTTTTGAGACGGAGTTTTGCTCTTGTTGCCCAGGCTCAAGTGCAATGGTGTGATCTCAGCTCACTGCAACCTCTGCCTCCCGGATTCAAGCGATTCTCCTGCCTCAGCCTCCCGAGTAGCTGGGACTACAGGCGCGTGCCACCATGCCTGGCTAATTTTTGTATTTTTAATAGAGACGAGGTTTCACAATGTTGGCCAGGCTGGTCTCAAACTTCTGACCTCAGGTGATCTGCCCGCCTTGGCCTCCCAAAGTGCTAGGATTACAGGCATAAGTCACAACACCTGGCCAGGATTAAGCAATTAGTTCTTAATGGGATGAATATGAATGCAAGCTTCTATCCTACTTTTAAGTGATGAATATATCAGGTACACTGACTCTCAATTTCTTTTTTTTTTTTTTTTTTTTTTTTTGAGACACTCTCACTCTGTCACCCAGGCTGGAGTGCAGTGATGCAACCTCTGCCTCCCAGTTCAAGTGATTCTCCTCAGTCTCCCAAGTAGCTGGGATTACAGGTGCGCATCACCACGCCTGACTAATTTTTTTGTATTTTTAGTAGAGATGGGGTTTCACCATGTTGGCCTGGCTGGTATCAAATTCCTGACCTCAAGTGATCCACCCGCCTCAGCCTCCCAAAGTGCTGGGATTACAGGTGTGAGCCACCGCGCCTGGCCAATTTCTTTTGGCCCACATAAAACTCTGTACAATAATTTTACCTATGCTACAGAAGCAAACTATTAGGATATATTAAAAAATGTATATTCCTTCCTAAAAGTGAATGAAATTATCTCTTCATTACAACTGGGTACAATCTTTCATAAATAAAAATACAGGAGAATTTCCTGAACTCGGGAGGCGGAGGTTGCAGAGAGCCAAGATAGCGCCATTGCGCTCCAGCCTGGGCAACAAGAGCGAAACTCCCATCACAAAAAAAGAAAGAAAGAAAAAAATAACATATGTATACATGTGCCATGTTGGTGTGCTGCACCCATTAACTCGTCATTTAACATTAGGTATATCTCCTAATGCTATCCGTCCCCCATCCCCCCGACCCCACAACAGTCCCTGGTATATGATGTTCCCCTTCCAGTGTCCATGTGTTCTCATTGTTCAATTCCCACCTATGAGTGAGAACATGCGGTGTTTGGTTTTTTGTCCTTGCGATGTATACATATGTAACAAACCTGCACGTTGTGCACATGTACCCTAAAACTTAAAGTATAATAATAATAAAATTAAAAAGAAAAAAAAAAATAACATAGTTTGGCACTTGCTTTTGTGCAAGATCTTAAAATTGCTTCCCCCCAAAAAAATTATTACCACACTTTTTCAAAGGTTCTAAAACTGAACTTTAACATCTATTAACATATAGATGTTCTTTCAGTTCGAAAGTAAAGCTTATGGTTATTTTTTAAACACACACACACACGGCCGGGTGCGGTGGCTCATGCCTGTAATCCCAGCACTTTGGGAGGCCAAAGTGGGAGGGTCACTTGAGGTCAAGAGTTCAAGACCAGCCTGACCAACATGGTGAAACCCCATCTCTATTAAAAATACAAAATTAACTGGGTGTGGTGGCGCACACCTGTAATCCCAGCTACTTGGGAGGCTGAGGCAGGAGAATTGCTTGAACCTGGGAGGCAGAGGTTGCACTGAGCCGAGATGGGGCCACTGCACTCCAGCCTGGGCAACAAGAGCGAACCTCCATCTCAAAACACACACACACACACAAATCTTAGATGCCTGAAGAACACACATCATTAGTCAAAGGTACAAACTAGATCAATAGATCTTAACCCGTTTTAAGTCAGATATCCCTTTGAGAATCTGAAAAATCCCTATTGATTCCCCATTTTTAAAATAGATACACACATACAAAATGTTCACATAATTTTAGGCTGCTCATTGCATTTTAAATCCAACCAAGGATTTAAGAATCTCTATACCTACTATACAAGAGTATAATGACTGGTTGCTTCTGGGAAGGGAAACTAGGAGAAGGGATGGAAGGAAGATTTTTCACTACACTTCCTTTTGTAACCTTTGGAATTTGAACCATATGGCTGTATTATCTATTCAAAAAATGAATAAATTAAAAATAAAAAGCATTACACTAAATAACATGGCAAGATACTAATGCAGTAGATGCAACTCTCCAGGTGAAGATGTTTAGAATAGCTATTATATTAAATTCACCATATTTAAAAACTGCTTCTTTGAAATTTTTGGTTGAAAAACGTTTGTGGCTGCAAAATTATGCTCTTCATAATTTTCAGAGAAATTTCCAATTTCCACCTTTTTACTAGTAAAATATGTCATAAAAATTTCATATTATTCATATTCTAACTTTTGAAACCCCCATTAAATAACAACAGCTAGTATTTACTGAATGTGGCACTGTCACATCTATTGACTATTAACGTCATCATCATTTTACAGACAAGGAAAACCAAAGCTTTCAGCAGTTAACGCATTTGTCCAAGGCAACCCAGCTAGTGGTAAGCTAGGACTCTTGAGGACCAACAAAACCCATGCGACAATGTATCACGACATGGAGTGTAGTAACCACTAAAATAGATGACATTATTCCTTAAAAGACTATTCTTTTTTGAGACAGCATTTCACTCTGTTGCCCAGGCTCAAGTGCAGTGGCACAATCACAGCTCACTGCAGCGTCGATCTCCTGGGCTCGAACTATCCTCCCTCAGCCTTCCAAGTACCTAGGACTACAGGTGTGTACCACCACACCCAGCTAATTTTTTATTGTATTTTTTTTTAGAGACAGGCCTGCTATGTTGCACAGGCTGGCCTTGAACTCCTGGGCTCAAGTAATCCTCCCACCTCGACCTGCCAAAGTGCTGGGATTAAAGGTGTGAGTTATTTACTGTACCTGGCCTCTTAAGAGACTATTCTTATTCTAATAGGTTTTAGCACATTCACTCGTTATAAAAATCTGGTATTATATTGCATGTGCCTACTTTACTATACACAAAGCAGATATAGACGAAAAAGGCAATCATTAAAAAGGCACGAAAACGGCCGGGCACGGTGGCTCACGCCTGTAATCCCAGCACTTTGGGAAGCCGAGGCAGGCAGATCACCTGAGGTCAGGAGTTCATGACCAGCCTGACCAACATGGAGAAACCCCATCTCTACTAAAAATACAAAATTAGCCGGGCATGGAGGCGCATGCCTGTAATCCCAGCTACTTGGGAGGCTGAGGCAGGAAAATGGCTTGAACCCGGAAGGCAGAGGCTGTGGTGAGCCGAGATCGCACCATTACACTCCAGCCTGGGCAACAAGAGCTAAACTCCGTCTAGTCATCATAGTTGTAAGAATATCTAAAAGTGAATGTACAAACTATCTGCAAAATGCCTCGGAAATGTATAATGAATTGTGAGACAAGAAATAACAATGGCGGCCGGGCGCGGTGGCTCATGCCAAGAATCCCAGCACTTTGGGAGGCCTAGGCAGGCGGACGCACCTGTGGTCAGGAGTTCGAGACCAGCCTGGCCAACATGGAGAAACCCCGTCTCTACTAAAAATATAAAAATCAGCCGGATGTGGTGGCAGACACCTGTAATCCCAGCTACTCTCCGCAGGCTGAGGCAGGAGAATCACTTGAACCTGGGAGGCAGAGGTTGCAGTGAGCCGAGATTGCGCCACTGCACTCCAGCCTGGGTGACAGAGCGAGACTCTGTCTCAGAAAAACAAACAAACAAAAGAAATAACAATGCTACTTTCACTATAATTCCATCTTCAAAGAGGCAGTATTCTTCAGAAAACGTTCACCCAAATCTAAACTTACAGAATTGCTTAAAGTCAACGCAAGGAAATGAGGCACAGGAGGCTGGGGTGAGGAGAGAACATAAATCACCCAGCCAGGTGCTACTACCACTGATTATTATTAACATAAATTTGTGTGTGTGTTTGTGTGTTTGCCTAACTGTTTAGTTTGACTGTCTTACTCAACAACTTACCTAGATAACAGTCAAGGCTTGCTTCATGTCCTGCTGTGTAAGTGTAAGGAAAGTATCCAAGTCTTGACTTTCTTTTTTTTTTTAAGACAGAGTTTATAGTGGCACAATATGAGCTCACTGCAACCTCCACCTCCCGGGGTCAAGTGATTCTCCTGCCTCAGCCTCCTGAGTAGCTGGGATTATAGATGCACACCACTACATCCACGAATTTTTGGATTTTTAGCAGAGATGGGGTTTTACCCTGTTGGCCAGGCTGGTCTCAAACTCTTGACCTCAAATGACCCGCCCCCTGTCGGCCTCCCCCAAGATTTTACTTTCTTATCAAGTAAGTAAGGCACTAAACCTCTACTAGGTTTTCCCTATCAGTGAATGAGTAAGAATCTTTTAGACTCAAAGAAAAAAATGTTTTTATTTTGAGACAAAGGTCTCACTCTGTCAGCCACACTGGACACAGTGGAACAATCACAGCTCACTGCAGCCTCAGCCTCCTGGGCTCGGGCAATCCTTCTGCCTCAGCCTCCCAAGTAGCTGGGACCACAGGTGTACACCACCACCCTGGCTAATTTTTTAAATTATTTGTACAGATGAGGTCTCACTATGTTGCGTAGGCTGGTCTCAAACTCTTGGGCTTAAGCGAGCCTCCCAACTCTGTCTCCCTATGTGCTGGGATTATAGGTGTGAGCCACCATACCCAGCCTCAAAAATGTTAAGGCTCTCCAAGAACACTTTCACAAAAGCATATAAAGATGGAGAAAATGTAAATGTCTATCTTTGCAAAGTTCATCCTATAATTTCCTAACACACAGATACGGAAAAACCAGGTAGATTTATACAGAATTACAGGTGGTGTTGCTTTCTACAGGAAATAACATCAGTGATACAGATTTCAAAACCCCACCTATTAGACATAGGGCAAAATAGGCTGGGCGCAGTGACTGACGCCTGTAATCCCAGCACTTTGGGAGGCCAAGGCAGGTGGATCACCTGAGGTCAGGAGTTTGAGACCAGCCTGGCTGGTCTCAACACGTCTCTACTAAAAATACAAAAAAATTAGCTTGGTGTGGTGGTGGGCACCTGCAATCCCAGCTACTCAGGAGCCTGAGGCAAGAGAATCACTTGAACCAAGAGGCAGAGGTTGCAGTGAGCTGAGATCGCACCACTGTACTCCAGCCTGGGCAACAAGAGCAAAACTCCATCTCAAAAAAAAAAGAAATAGGGCAAAACAAAAACTTTCCCTTCACATTATGTTGCAGTTTTGCAAGTGAACAGACTTTAAAACGCTAAGAATTAATGCAGTATTATTTATAAATCAAAGATTATGATGCATATAATAAACATTCTGATAATGCATGCACAAAACGAGTGGTTATTAATGCATATCTGAGCATTCAAAAATGACATATTAAAAGATGAGTTACATAATCACTGTTTGTATAATTATCGTATTCAAACTCCCCTGAAATTAAAGACCTTAAGGACACCTCTTTGACTTCATTATTTAAAACAACTCACAAAATTCAACCATATTTTATATTGTACTCCAAATAAAATTAACCCAATTTAGTCAAAGCAATACTATAGAAAATTAAATCAATAACTACCCTTAGCATGCATATAGTGTTTATCCTGGTTTCTCTTAAGGCAATGGCCAAAAAAAATAAAATCCTAGAAAAGAAATTCCTCCTACATTTTCTTTATATTCCATAAATTACTTCCTAGAAAATCAAGAGCAAATACACATTACTGAAGTCTATTTCTGATTATACTTCCTTATGTTATTCTACAGACAGAGATGGATTTCTAATTTATAGAATACTTTCCAGAGTATTTACCCAGAATGTGCTTACTACATAACAATCACTGTTAGTCACTCTGGAATTAGGTTTGTGAGTATATAGTCCTGTTACTCTCCAATTCTCTCATACTGGCAAAATATACAAGTTCAAAAAATCACATTCTTGGAAAGCAGAGTTCTTGGAAAACTGGCAACACTAGCAGACTTCACTTTTAAAAGTGAGAAAAAGGATACAGAAATGGCCAAAAAGCACAGGAAAAGATGCTCAACATCACTAATCATTAGGGCAATGCAAATAAAAATCACACTGAAATACCACTTCATACCTATTATAATGACTACTATCAAAAAATTAAAAAGCAGAAAATGAGTGATGGTGAGGATATAGAAAACTGGAACCCTCATGCATTGCTAATGGGAATGAAAAATGGTCCAGTTGCTGTGGCAATATGTATGGCAATTCCTGAAAAATTCAACATATGATCCAGCAATTACACGTCTGGGTACATACCCAAAAGAAATGAAAGCCAGAACTTAAACAGGTATCTGTACATCATGGTCACAGCAGCATTATTCACAATAGCCTGAAGGTGGAAGCAACCCAAGTGTCCACCAATGAATTAATGGATTAAAAAGTATATGGTATGTATATACACTGAAATTATTCAGCCTTAAAAAAGAATGAAATTCTGACACCTGCTACAACAGAGATGAACACTGAAGACACTTGACTAAGTGAAATAAGCCAGTCACAAAAAGACAAATATTGCATGGCATCACTTATAGGAGGTACCTAGAGTAGTCAAATTCATAGAAACAAAAAACAGAATGGCGGTTGCCAAGGGCTGGTGGGGGAAACAGGGAGTCAGTGTTTAACAGGTACAGAGCTTCAGTTGGGGAAGATGAAAAGGTTCTGGAGATGGATGGTAGGGACAGTTGCATGACAATGTCAAGGCACTTAATGCACATTTAAACATGGTTAAGATGGTAAATTTCATGTTATGTATATTTTACCATAATTTTTTAAAATGAGAAAAAAGACATGAAAGCATTAAAGAAAAAATACATTAAAGCATGTGTCCAAATTCTTCTCATGCATGCTTCTTTCACTACCCACAAAACCAATACCCTGACTATGAGTGGTCAGTGAAGTCCTAATTTAATTGTTTACCATAAGATCCAAGAAATTAGTGTAAGTTTTTAAATTCCTTCTAATTCTAAAAAAAAAAATTTAACTGGCTTCCTCAGAATGAAGTCCTTTACAGATACAGAAGTTAACACCCATTACATATCTACTTCAGATTAAATAGATTACTAAAAACCAGTGTCTCCCAACTTTGTATTTCAAGCATAGTTCAATCTACAGTGTTTCCTACATTTTCTTTCCAAAGCCTCATAATGACTATTTTCATTTTTACCAGCAAAATCTCTAGTCAAAATTTTCTCCCCCAAAGCTCACAGGAGCTCATCTTTACTGACTGGTAGATATATCATCTTTACAGTAATCAGTATTCAGTTTCCAAAAATTTTGTATAAACATTGGAATCTTATTTATGAATCTCTCTCTCTTTTTTAAAAAAAGTATTCATATGGAAAAAATAGAAGCTTGAAATATCCTAAGCTAAATTTTGAGGATCTTTTCCGGTTACATTCCAGTTTTTCTTATAATACCTTCTGATTTCACAAACTGTTACAGAAATAAGTCTGCAATAATGAACTAGCAAACCAGGTTGCCTGGTTTCCTCCAAGCCACACTAAAGCTCATTGTGTTGTTCATATCCCCTTTCTCCCATTCTTCAGTATTCAGCACATAAACATCCACCTCAAAGGTAAATTCTGATAGTTTCCACACTATAAAAGCTATGTTCTGATATTTTTCAAACAACACCTGTTCATAAACATGAAGCAAACATGATGAAAATTAAAAGGGACAAAAAGTAACCACATACCCAAACAAAAGTTGAAATGCCTAATTTAGAAAAAATTCTTCATATTAAAAACGTGTTGGGCCGGGCATGGTGGCTCACGCCTAAATCCTGGCATGGGAACACCATGGCAATTCGAGACCAGCCTGTGCAACATGGCAAAACTCCATCTCTACAAAAAAATGGAAAAATTAGCTGGGCGTGATGGCATGCTTCTGTAGTCCCAGCTACTCGGGAAGTTGATCCCGGCTACTCGGGAAAGGGAGGATCACTTGAGCCTAGGAAATAGAGGCCACAGTGAGCCCCAACCTGCACTTTCTTTTTTTTTTTTCCCCCGAGACAGAGTCTTGCTCTGTCACCCAGGCTAGAATGCAATGGCACGATCTGGGCTCACTTCAACCTCTGCCTCCCGGTTCAAGCAATTCTCCTGCCTCGGCTTCCCGAGTAGCTGGGATTACAGGTGCCACCACCGCGCCTAATTTTTGTATTTTTAGAAGAGACAGGGTTTCACCATGTTGGCCAGGCTGGTCTCAAACTCCTGACCTCGTGATCTGCCTGCCTCGGGCTCCCAAAGTGCTGGGATTACAGGCGTGAGCCACCACGCCCGGCCTCAACCTGCACTTTCACTCTGTCCCCACTGAACTCTAGCCAGAGTGACAGCATGAGATTGTCTCAAAAGAAAATTTAAAAAACCAAAAAACTTGTTTTTAACAAATTTCAGGCCAGGCACGGTGGCTCACACCTGTAATCCCAGCACTTTGGGAGGTCAAGGTGGGCAGATCACTTGGGGTCAGGAGTTCAAGACCAGCCTGACCAACATGGTGAAACCCTGTCTCTATTAAAAATACAAAAATTAGCTGGGCATGGTGGCGGGCACCTGTGCTCCCAGCTACTCGGGAAGCTGAGGCAGGAAAATCACTTGAACCCAGGAGGTGGAGGTTGCTGTGAACCAGCCTGAGCAACAGAGGGAGACTCTATCTCAAAAGATAAAAATTAAAATTAAAAAATTAACAAATTTCAAAGAAAAGATCATACTAAACAAGTATGATCATCATACTTGTACATAGAAAGGTATATCTTTTCTACTTGTACTATGTGAAAACAAGAGTGCATGTAAACAACTATAAATGGACCATTTTTTTCTTGATTTTTAAAAACGAATTCTTCCAAATACCATTTTCTATATGTAAATTAATGAATGGTACCATCTCCTCTACTAGGGTCTACTTCCTAAGACCATAATCTGTAGTTGTCATTGTATATAATGTATCCCTAAACGTCAACAGAAGAAAAAATGAAAAACACAAACCCAGACATCTTAAAGTTTCTCTAGTACTTAGTTTACCTACTCATCAATGTGAGATATTCTCCTGATAATGTTTCTTTTAACTTGCCCAAAGACAGACTAAATTGAGCCTTTAAAAAGGAGAGTGGGTATATTTGGTCACACATTAGTAACTTCAATGTATGTGAAGTATCCCATCCCTTCAATTTGCAACACATATAAAACTCTACAAAAAGGAAATTATATATAGATGTAGAAAGATCAATTGAAAAAGAATGCATCACCTGGTCATGAGCCTTACCTTTTAGCAGCGGCAGAGGTGTTAACTCAATAGGCTTGCCTTGAGACCTAAACTGTGAGGAACTTTGCGACCTCTTCTGTCTGGCTTTTCTGACGGACTTCCGAGAAAATCCGTCTACTTTATCCACTGATGGAGGAGTAGTTGGTGCTGAGGACATATCCCTACTGAAGAGAAAGAAGTATCATAAACCCATACATTCCCAAGGTGGAAGCATACATGTGAGTTATACAAATTCTAAAATTCCCATATACAATATTCATGAAAATGGGAATATGTGCTAAAGAAAATAAAATCAGTTAAGAAAAGTCTTATCTTGGCCAGGTGCAATGGCTCACGCCTGTAATCCCAGCACTTTGGGAGGCTGAGATGGGTGGATCACTTGAGGTCAGGAGTTCAAGACCAACCTGGACAACATGGTGAAATTCAGTCTCTACAAAATTACAAAAATTAGCCGGGCATGATGGCAGGTGCTTGTAATCTCAGCTACCCGGGAGGCTGAGGTGAAAGAATCGCTTGAACCTGGGAGGTGGAGGTTGCAGTGGGCCAGGATCCCGCCATTGCACTCCATCCAGCCTGAGTGACAGAGTGAGATTCCGTCCTTTAAAAAAAAAAAAAAAAAGGGCTGGGCCCGGTGGCTCACACCTGTAATCCCAGCACTTTGGGAGGCCGAGGTGGGTGGATCACTTGAGGTCAGGAGTTCGAGACTAGCCTGGCCAACATGGTGAAACCCTGTGTCTACTAAAAATACAAAAATTAGCCAGGCGCAGTGGCATGCACCTGTAATCTCAGCTACTCAAGAGGCTGAGAAGGGAGAACCGCTTGAACCTGGGAGGCGGAGGTTGCGGTGAGCCAAGATGGCACCACTGCACTCCAGCCTGGGCAACAGAGCAAGAGTCCATCTCAAAAAAAAAAAAAAAAAAAGCCAGGCACAGTGGCACACACCCGTAATCCCAAGGCGGGCAGATAACTTCAGGTTGGGAGTTCGAGACCAGCCTGACCAACATGGAGAAACCCCATCTCTAATAAAAAAAAAAAAATACAAAAATTAGCCAGGCATGGTGGCGCATGCCTGTAATCCCAGCTACTCGGGAGGCTGAGGCAGGAGAATCACTTGAACCCGGGAGGCGGAGTTGTGGTGAGCCAAGATCATGCCATTGCACTCCAGCCTGGGCAGCAAGAGGAAAACTCCTTCTCAAAAAAAAAAAAAAGAAACAAACAAAGAAAAGAAAAGTCATATGTTAACAGGAAAACATGAAAATTTAGTGAAAATAATTTAAGTATCACGGAAACAATATGAGAACTCTAATGTATTGTGCCACTCCATTATAAGCATTAAAGATACTCATCTAGGCTTAAAGAAATCTATGCTGCCTGCCCATTTTCTAACTGCAAAGCTCTTCACATCTTCAAGTAATTTTTGGAGCTATTCTGTAACTGGAAAACTTCCATTGATACATTTTCCCAAGATACTTAATATTATGAATGGGTTCTGGAGTTGAAAAACCCTTAGTGTACTTCAAGAATCTATACCAATGTATCACAGCAAGGTGAAATTTACTACTACTGAAACTATCTAGGCATAACTTTTAATGGGATGTGCTATGTTAGCTATGATAAACTATACCACACTGCAAATGAGGACAGGCTAGATTACTTTAAACAAAACACATAAAAGGCATAATTAAAATATTTCAAATAAGTCTTCTTTTTGAATGAAGCCACCTTACGTTATTAACGCTTAATAAAAACTATGAGAAAATCAAGCACCAAAGTTGAACTGAAAACATAAATTCACAGCCTACTGAAACAACCAAGTTGAGTTCCCTTGAGGTTTAGACCTTGAAGTTCATCATCAAATACCAATTTTCATTCCATCAAACTTACGGAACTGAATAGCACTTTTGAATTGTTTAACCCTCTCGAGTTATTAAAATGAAGGCTATTTCCTGAAAGTAACAAGCGTTAAGCTTAATTTCATTCACCAAATTAAACAGATGCCATCATTTCCATGGCACTGAGGCTTCATGCAAGACTAATGGCAGACTCGGATAGAAAGAATGCATATGGGGGAAATGCTGAAATGCAATTACTCACCTGTCATTCCAATAGACAAGACAAGTGGTTTTTAACTTCTAAATAAAACAGTAAGGGAATTTCTTCCTGAACACGTGAGAATAAAAAGTTACCTGGATTACGTGGATTTTGACAATGTAAAAATAACAAAAACATTTTAAAACACATGCACACATATGATGTTGACGTTTGGAATTTGGAAGTCTTCTTTGGTTTTCTTTAAAAAAAAAAAAGTTTTTAAAAATCTACCTAATTTAGCCTTAATATAATGTGATGGATTCAAAATAGAATCACAAACTATGAATGACTATAGATGTTAAGATCACTTTAAAATATCAAAATGACTGCATCAGCCAAAAGCTCCACATCTTATTTGTACGTTGTAAATTTAGGGGCCGATTTTCCATTCGGGTATGTGAATTATTTAGACTTCACTCTAACTCTAACACTACAACATTTCAGTAAATCCTCTTCCTCCATCACTCTTTTCGTCTCTTCTTTATTCCTTATCTCTCATCTCTACAGACGATATATAGGTAGCTTTTAAAAAAATCATTTACCCCTTATGCCCGAGGCCCAGAATAAACGTCAAGGATCGCAACCCTGAAGCACTGCAAAACTGAACGTAAGGTAACAGCGGGTCCGTGCAAAGCCCAGGGAAACAGGTTTCGCCCTGGGCCAGGGCTCCCGAAGCTTTATCATCCTCTAATCAGCAGGCATGGGGCATTTCCATGGCTCAGGATAATCCAAAGGGGGTAAGGGGAAGTAGGGAAAGACAGGGAAGGGGTTTGTCTGTGGGGATGCTTACATACTCCCTTTGCTCCTAACCCACACCCCAAGCCCTGGAGACGATAAGCTGCTAGAGAATCCTCCTCACACCAAACCCCTCTTTATTCCCCGCCCCCGCCAGTGGATAAAGGGGGGCAAGAAAACGCCTCCAATCCCAGAAGGTGGAGAAAAAGGGGGGAGGGGGCAGAGTGAATGAGAGGTATCATCAGAAGCATTTGTAGGTAAATCAGACAAGTGGGACGGGCGCTCCCGCTCCCGCACCCCACCCCACCGCACCCCTCGCCTGCCCGGCCAGGCCTTCCCAAGGCCGGTGCCCCATAGGTTCCCCAGGAGGACCGGGAGGAAGAAGGGAAGCGGGCGAGCCGCGGTGCTGGAGGGACTAAGTTACCTTGAAGCTTCTGGGGAAGAATCCAAAGATGATCTGTGGCTTGGAGGGGCGGGAGACGGGCGAGGTGGCCGCAGCGGGGGCGGGCGGCGGGACCGGGACGTGCAGGGGGAGGTCCGGGCAGCTGCGGGGAGCCTGGGGCGACGGCTGTCCGGTACGGGGTCCCTCCGGTTCCGCGGCGGCGGAGCCTCTAGGCCTCACGGCCGGACCCGAACCTCAGCGTTCCGGTGGCGGCGGCGGCCTCACGATCCTCCCCCGCGGGCCCGTCCCATCAAATCGGCACCGACCCCGTTGCGGCTCCGCCGGTGGCTCCTCGCTCACATTCCTGGCGGGCGGCGCCTCAGCTCGTTGCCCCGGACCCGGCGGCGGCGGCGACGACGTGGGGAGGGGGGGAAGGGAGGGAGGAAGACTGGATCTGCAGCGGCAGCAAGAGAAGGGGACAGAATAAGGAGGAGGAGCCGCAGGAGCTGGAGCCGCCGCTGCCAGAGCCACCTTTCGCTACCCGCGGTGGGTCCCAGTCAATGCCCCTTTCTCTCTCCTATTGTCAATATCACCGGGCGGCTGAGTCCATGGCACACGCGCAACCGAACCTTCTGGCCAGCAGCGCCCGCCTCCGGCGCCCGCCCACTGGAGACTTCAAACGGGAAGCGAGGCCTCATTGGCCAGTATCCGCCTTCACTCCCCTGACAGCATGTTCGGCTGAGACCTGATCAGGGATTGGCGGCAGGAGGGCGGAGAAACGGGAGGGTGGGAAGAGAGAAGGTCGAGGATTGGGCCGAAGCTTGAGGAACCCGGATGCAGCCGCGATCTCGGGCGGTGCAGCCGCCGCTTCCGCCCGGCAGTGGGGCAAGCTGAAGTGAGAAGCCGCTGGGCCTGAGAGGAGCTCTTTAATTCCGGGAGGTGTGCGACTAGCGGATCAGCGGGCTGGCTTTCCGTGCTGTGCGGAGCCTTTGGGCGGCGGTCGTCTTGGACCGGAGGATTCCAAGGGCTCGGGTCGTCTAAGGGTCGGGGAGCCCCGGAGACTTGATCCCGCCCTGCAGCTAGTGTGGCCCCTCAGGGTTTGGGGAGTCCCACTCTGGACGGGACCCTGTGATGCGTAGGCAGGAATAAGATCCCCCGCCCGTGCCGGTGTGCCACTGCTTGTGTAAATGGGCCCCTTGAAACCCCCAGCAGTCGCTCTCCGCTGAACCTTCTTCGAATTTTCTCTCACCTCATCTCCTTTTCCTTAAACGTCTGTTTTGAATATCAGACCCCTGTAGCGTTGAAGCCAGCGCTCGTTTAATTAATGCAGGTGGGAACGCTGTCGCCACAGTTTGCAGTCTATTCATTCAGAATAACCCGCCAGTCAGCCGACTGCTCAGAGCTCGGAAAGACCCAGCTCCAAACTAGGAGTTTCGAGATTTTAATTGGCAAGTTGGACCCGAAAGAGTTAATGGAGAAGACTACTTAAATCTATCTAGAACAAGTGATGAGATATTTGGAGATGTGTTTGCATGCTTGGTGAATGCAGACGGCCAAATGGTACATTTCCAGATAATATTCTTGGATTAATGTATTTGAATGCACCCTACGTACATTTTTTGAGAGGAAAAAAGGAAGAAAGAAATTATTAATGCTAACTACAAACGTCAGAGTACCAGTTGTTCAAAACTTAGAAATTGGGGGGGGGGACAAAAAAATTAACATTCTTATTTTCTCAACTCAGAGATAACCACTTACAGTATTTGCATACTTCCTTTTAGTATTTTTTCTCTTTATGTTAATAATGTGTGTCGATCTGTAGCCTAGTTTTTTCCCTCAGCATTATATCATCTTTTCGATACGGTTAGGGAATAGAGCTATATATAAATAAAACTATATGTACCATATGTACAAGTGACAACGAAAAATGCATTTGCATTTCTCCTGTTTGTGTTGTTAAACACTAGAGTTTTGAAATTTTCTTTGCACACTCCCAGAAATGGCTCTTGAGTGGAAAAATAATTTTGTGCCATGAAAGATAAAAATATTCCTGCTTTGAACTGAAATGGAAAACGAAAAGATGACTCTTAGATGGAAGCAGTCTCCCCCTACTGACTCCAGATGATTGGCCACTGTATGGCTAGTGCCCACTTTTGCCGTGATAAAGTTCATCACCACTAAGTATGAACTATAGAATACCAGCAGTCTAGTTCCTACCCTCAAGAACCTTAAATTTTCCATATCTCAATATCCTGTACAGTCTTCATGAAAGTTCAGTGTCCCAGCCAAGGACCTGTTTTCTTCAATCTTTGATTGAGGGTAAATTCAGAATTAAAACCAAGGAAGATTTTGAAGCCAATTCAATTTCCCTTGGCAACAGTTGAACTGTTAAAAGCATAGTGCACGTTTGAAATTCTCACAGCTGTTGCTTAGAACATGTCATAGAGTGGGGATTTTGCTTGCAAATTATGGATCTCTATAAAGACAATTCATTTCAAAGTCATTTCACTTTCTATAAAATGGCTGAGCAACTGAAATGAGCAGGTTTTTTAAAATGGAAACATCCTTGCCTATGTGAGAAATTGTTCTCTGGACCAGTAATTTCTCCCATGTATCCCAGGGATTTCGGTACTCCAAGAATAGTGCAAGACAATCTATTTCGGATGCAGTAAAAGAAAGTATTAGGAAATATATTTACATTTAATTTTAATCTAAAAGGCATTACGGTCAACTACTATTTTATATAGAGTGAATGGCTCTGCCCTCAGTCCATGGAATGGTGCCTTGGCCTAGAACAGCATAGGAGATGTCCTCAGGGAAAAGTGGGAGTTACCCATTCCTAGGGGTTGGCAGTGGTGGGCCCACCCAATCAGCCCCTGACAACATATGACTTATTGCGGTTTCTTATTGCAGTTTCTGGATTCAACTAAGTGGACTTACTGATTATATTATCTAAGTTTAATTAAACTAACCCTCATAAAACAGACAAATGACTCTATGAGTCCTTTGCAAATAAACCACGGGAGAACAAGAAGAAAATGTTAGAACTGACTCTTCAGTATCAAATCTTTTTTTTCTTTTTTTTTTTTTTTTTTTGGTATTTTTAGTAGAGACGGGGTTTCACCATGTTGGCCAGGCTGTTCTCAAACTCCTGACCTTGTGATCCACCCGCCTCGGTCTCCCAAAGTGCTGGGATTACAGGCATGAGCCACCACACCCAGCCCAGTATCAAATCTTTGACAGCCACTTTTCAAAAGTAAAATACCAATCTAATAAATTCAATCAAATTTTGACTAGAAAAAAAATCAAGGCTACTTGAAATGTAAATTTACATCCACTGTTGTTGTTGTTGTTGTTGTTGTTGTTGTTGTTGTTGTTGTTGTTGTTGTTTGAGATGGAGTCTCGCTTTGTCGCCCAGGCTGGAGTACAGTGGCGCAAACGACTCACTGCAACCTTCACCTCCCGGGTTCAAGCAATCCTTCTGCCTCAGCCTCCCAAGTAGCTGGGATTACAGGCATGTACACCTGGCTAATTTTTGTATTTTAAGTAGAGACGGGGTTTCACCATGTTGGCCAGGCTGGTCTCGAACTCCTGACCTCAAATGATCCACCCCACTCGACCCCCCAAAGTGCTGGGATTACAGGCGTGAGCCACTGCACCCAGCCTACATCCACTGTTATTAAGAATTGAACTTCATTCTAAGTGTATATGTTGATTGAGTTAAGCTAATGATGGTAGCGTATGTCTATACTTTATGGACAAATACACATATATTTGGAAGAATTTTTTTGGCTGGATGTCACAGCTAATGCCTGTAATCCTAGCACTTTGGGAGGCTGAGGAGGGTGGATCACTTTAGCCCAGGTGTTTGAAACCAGACTGGGCAACATCGTGAAACCCCTTATCTACGAAAAAAATTTCAAAATCAGCCAGGCCTGGTGGCACGCTCCTGTTGTCCCAGCTACTGGGAGGCTGAGGTGGGAAGATCACCTGAGCCCAGGTGGTCAATGCTGCAGTGAGCTATGATCATGCCACTGCATTCCAGCCTGGGAGAGAAAGTGAAAACCTGTCTCAAAAAAAAGAAGTTTGGAAGCCAGGCACAATGTCACAGGCCTGCAGTCCCAACTACTCCACAGGCTGAGGTCGGAGCATCACTTGAGCCCAGGAGTTGGATTCTGTAGTGTGACATGATGTAGCCTGTGAATAAAAACATTCTAGGCCGGGCACAGTGGCTCACGCCTGTAATCCCAGCACTTTTGAGAGGCCGAGGCAGGTGGATCACAAGGTCAGGAGTTCGAGACCAGCCTGGCCAATATGGTGAAACCCCGTCTCTATTAAAATACAAAAATTAGCTGGGTTTGGTAGCAGCTGTCTATAATCCTAGCTACTCAGGAGGCTGAGGCAGGAGAATTGCTTGAACCCAGGAGGCGGAGGTTGCAGTGAGCCAAGATCCCAACACTGCACTCCAGCCTGGGTGACACAGCAAGACTCCATCTCAAAAAACAAAAAAAAATGAAAAGAAAAACATTATAGCCATCTGAGAGGCCATTATCAAGTGACAAAATGTAGTCTATTGCTCTCACATGAAAGCATTCACTTCCCAGATATCAAAGCTGAGCTTATCATGAATCTACTAGTGAGCTAGCCACGTGATAAGACCAAGACATTGACTATCAAATGATGGCTGGCTGGGGAACTAAAGGAGAACTAAAATAATAAGTAGAAGCATCGTCAGAACAATTGTCAACCAGTAGAGGAGGAAAAGACCTATGCTGATTAGATATCATGATCAGAGGTAGACTAGTTTGGTGTGTGTGGAGTGGCGGGGTACATGAAGCTGGTCGTGGACTGAGAGGAAAGAACAGTGAGGGTGAGAAAGCCTGAGGCAGTAGCTGCCTCTTAGGAAAACAGAAAGAGTATACACTGCAGGTGCGGTGGTTCACACCTGTAATCCCAACACTTCTGGGAGGCGAGGCAGGCAGATCACTTGAGAACAGGAGTTCACGGCCAGCCTGGCCAACATGGTGAAACCCCGTCTCTACTAAAAATACAAAAATTAGCCGGGCATGGTGGTTCGCACCTGTAGTCCCAGCTACTCAGGAGGCTGAGGGGCAATAATCACTTGAACCTGGGAAGTGGAGGCTACAGTGAGCTGAGATCATGCCACTGTACTCCATCCTGGGTGACAGAGCGAGACGCCCTTTCAAAGAAAAGAGTATACACAAGAAAAAAGTATACACATGGCTACTGCAGACAAGGGATTTTGGTGTCATATTTCTCTGAGTTAACATTTATCCACCAGGAAACATCCTCAGCAGTGACATTTTCTTGGGTCACAGTTTAAATACTCTAGTTACATTTTCAGATGTGCTTCAAAGATTGTGGCTTATTCGTAGCTTTCCGTGTGATTAATATGTATAATTATTGCTTGAGATTTAAAGTGTTTAGGTGTTCCAGTTCCCTAGTTAGCAGTTTAAGCTGCATTCCAGAGATGACTATCAGAGGACCCTTGCGCTGTTCTTAGTGAGAGCCCTCTGTCACTGATGGATCAAGACAGAAAGACCTTATATCACGGACAGGGAAGCAGAGTTGGAAAAAAAACAGGAAGAGAAAGCCAGTTTTGTTTGTTTGTTTTTTTTGTTTTTGAGACAGAGTCTTGCTCTGTCGCCCAGGCTGGAGTGCAGTGGCACGATCTCCACTCACTGCAAGCTCCGCCTCCCGGGTTCATGCCATTCTCCTGCCTCAGCCTCCTGAGTAGCTGGGACTACAGGCACCCACCACCACGCCCGGCTAATTTTTTTTGTATTTTTTGGTAGAGATGGGGTTTCACCATGTTAGCCAGGATGGTCTCGATCTCCTGACCTCGTGATCCGCCCGTCTCAGCCTCCCAGAGTGCTGGGATTACAGGCGTGAGCCACCGCACCCGGCAAGAAAGCCAATTTTAAGTGCCCTTTATTTCATACAGGATAAAATACAAAATAATGTACCACAAGCAATAATTTTGTTTGTAAAATAGTCAAATTACACAATTAAATGAGCTTAAAGCTATACCTAATAATGAGCATGATGGTGAGAACCCACTCTGAAATCCAAATTTATCTTAGCTCTGACAGTCAGGAGATAGGGCAGATTATTAACCCCTTCCTCCAGCCTTGGTTTCCTCACCTGTGAATAAGCAGACTAACAGTTCCTAACTCAGGATACTCATCAAATTGAAATGATGTTATGCATTTACTACAGTGCTTTGCATCTATTAACTGCTTGATAAATACTACTTATTACCACAGTCGTCTATTTTCTTATTTTTAATACTCCTTATCTGGCCAGGTGTGGTGGCTCACACCTGTAATCCCAGCACTTTGGAAGGCCGAGGTGGGTGGATCACTGAAGCCAGGAGTTCGAGACCAGCCTGGCCAACATGGCAAAACCCCATCTCTACAAAAAATACAAAAATCAGCTGGGTGTGGTGGTGCATGCCTCTAGTCCCAGCTACTTGGGAGACTGAGGCAGAGAATAGCTTGAACCTGGGAGGTGGAGGTTGCAGTGAGCCAAGATAGTGCCAGTCCAGCCTGGATGACAGAGCAAGACTCTGTCTCAAAAAAAATAAATAAATAGGCCGGGCACAGTGGCTCACGCCTGTAATCCCAGCACTTTGGGGGGCTAAGGCGGGCAGATCACGAGGTCAGGAGATTGAGACCATCCTGGCTAACACGGTGAAACCCCGTCTCTACTAAATATACAAAAAATTAGCCGAGCTGGGCGTGGTGATTGGCGCCTGTAGTCTCAGCTACTCGGGAGGCTGAGGCAGGAGAATGGCATGAACCCGGGAGGCGGAACTTGCAGTGAGCTGAGATCGTGCCACTGCACTCCAGCCTGGGCGACAGAGCGAGACTCCGTCTCAAAAAAATAAATAAATAAATAAAAACGTAAAAAATAATTTTAAAAATTCCTTAGCCATCTAAAAACTAAACTTTAGGAAGTTTTCTGTTGAGTGTTTTTTTCCCCCTCAAAATTTTCTTCTGGCATACCCCCTGTGACAGGAAGAAAACAAGGAGCAGGGAAATCACAGGCATGCCTCTCAATCTACTTCCACACTAAATTAGACAATGTGTGTGTGGGAGCATTCATTAGCAATAGCAGGGATTTCCATTTTAGAACATCCGTTTACCTCTAAAACTGAACAAAATGGTTATTTGACTTCATTTCAGAGCTTTAGCTTCATTCTAATTTTTTTCTTTTTTGAGATGGAGTCTCACTCTGTTGCCCAGGCTGGAGTACAGTGGCACCGTCTCAGCTCACTGCAACCTCTGCCTCCCGGGTTCAAGTGATTCTCCTGCCTCAGCCTCCTGAGTAGCTGGGATTACAGGCACGTGCCACGTCGCCTGGCTAATTTCTGTATTTTTAGTAGAGTCAGGGTTTCACCATTTTGGCCAGGCCAGCCTTGAACTCCTGACCTCAAGTGATCTGCCTGCCTCAGCCTCCCAAAGTCCTGGGATTACAGGTGTGAGCCACCGCACCCGGCCCTTCATTCTAATATATATTCTTTTAAAAGAGGCTCAGGCTGGGCACAGTGGCTCATACCTGTAATCCTAGCACTTTGGGAGACCAAGGAGGGAGGATGGCTTGAGCCCAGGAGGTCAGGACTAGCCTGGGCAACATAGCAAGACCCCTATCTCTACAAAAGAATTTAAAAGTTAGTCAGGTCTGGTAGTACACAAATGTTGTCCTAGCTACTCAGGTGGCCCTGTGTGTCCTAGCTACTCAGGTGGCTAAAATGGGAGGAGCGCTTGAGCCCAGGAGTTTGAGGCTGCAGTAAGCTATGATCATGCCATTGCACTCTAGCCCGGGCAAAAGAATTAGACCCTGTCTCTAAAAAAAATAACAACAACAACAACAAAAAAAAGAGGTGGCCAGACACAGTGGCTCATGCCTGTAATCCCAGCACTTTGGGAGGCCAAGGTGGGCAGATCACTTGAGGCCAGGAGTTCAAGACCAGCCTGGCCAGCATAGCGAAACCCTGTCTCTACTAAAAAATACAAAAATTAGGCCGGGCGCAGTGGCTCCCGCTTGTAATCCCAGCACTTTGGGAGGCTGAGGCGGGCGGATCATGAGGTCAGGGGATTGAGACCATCCTGGCTAACACAGTGAAACTCCATCTCTATTAAAAATACAAAAAAAAAAAAAAAAAAATTAGCCAGGCGTGGTGGCGGGCGCCTGTAGTCCCAGCTACTCAGGAGGCTGAGGTGGGAGAATGGCGTGAACCCGGGAGGCGGAGCTTGCAGTGAGCCGAGATCGCGCCACTGCACTCCAGCCTGGGCTACAGAGTGAGACTCCATCTCAAAAAAACAAACAACAACAACAAAAAAAAAA